>NC_000006.12:39150909-39453939 GCF_000001405.40 Homo sapiens
TGATCTTGGCAGAATTAAAATAAATCATTTAAAAGTTATCAGATTAATTTTGGGGACAAATAAGAACATTTTAATAGGGCTTGTATTTTAGATTTTGGAATTATTGTTAATTTTCTGAGGTATGAGCATGGTATTATGGTTGTGTAGGAAAGCATCCTTATATTTATAGAAGATTTATGTTGAAATATATAGGGGTGGAGTTCCACAAAATGTACGCTTTGCTTCCAAATTTGTCAGCAAAAAAGTGTATGTCATACCTAAGGAAAAATAAAATACAGTGAAATGGAAATAATGAGTGAATATTGGTGAGGAGTATATGGGGTATTCATTATACTAATCTTTCAACTTTTTCTGTAGGTGTGAGTTTCCAAAATAAAAAGTTATTCAATTCAGAACAGAATATCAAAGCAGCAAAGATATCTTTTAGAGAAATCAAGACCTAAAATAAACATCTTCCTGAGGAAGTATCTGGGCTTAAAGATACAATCAGTTGACTCGAAGAAACAATTCAAACGCACAGAAAGATGTGCTTACAGTTTGGGGAACAGAATATCAAGAAGACTGGAAAGCTGAAACTCTATGGAAAGGTTACACATCCTTTTTCTGTTTTTCTTTTGAGATGGAGTTTCGCTCTGTCACCCAGGCTGGAGTGCAATGGCATGATCTGGGCTCACTGCTCTCTGCCTCCCAGGTTCAAGCAATTCTCCTGCTTCAGCCTCCTGAGTAGCTGGGATTACAGGCACCTGCCACCAAGCCTGGCTGATTTTTGTATTTTTAGTAGAGATGGGGTTTCACCATGTTGGTCAGGCTGGTCTCAAATTCCTGACCTCATGATCCGCCCACCTCAGACTCCCAAAGTGTTGAGATAACAGGTGTGAGCCACCGTGTCCGGCCAGGTTACACATTTTTACAGGTAATTTTATTTTAAAACTTCCAGACAGGGGAGCTCCCTAATAAAGATTATCTAAGCAAAGTGAAGAGACAATGTCTTGACACTACTAAGTTCAAGAAGAAAAAATTCCAGACTTAAGTCGGCATGGAACAATTATTATTTGGGAAGGACAAGGTTGTAATGAATGAAATACTGAGCTCAGGAAATGAATTACATTGTATTTGAAATCTCAGAAAGTCCTAGAAGCAGCTCTATTGCACAAAGAGGATGAAACTCCCATTTTGAATAATTACACTGAGCTGCTGAAACACCTGATGATCAGGGTGAGAAGACAAAAAGTCAGAAAAGACAGACAGTAGCTACCGCTTCAACAAAATTAAGATCAGTTGGAAACAGTGGAGTCCATTTCCAATTCCGACTGTGTGATGACGTGTCAGCTAGGCAAAAGCAGGAAGCACAGAGAAGTTGGACATGGACCTTGGACACAGCATTTCATCAAAGCTCACCTGAAAAATGGATGCACAGCCTTGTAGCTGAAGCACAAGTTCTAAATGCCCTGGACAGGCAGAGAGGCATGGCTCCGCAGGAGAATGGATAGGAAGAGGGAGAGCAAGAGCTCTCAGCAGCAGAGGAAGTGAAAGCTCATCAGCAAGTAATTTAAGAACTGGAGGATGAATTACAGGGTGGGTGGGGGATGAGATCTAATAAGACCTAGATTGCTCTTAATGGTCGGAAAGTCCGTGACAGCAGGCATACCGCTGGTGCTGCAGAAAGAGCTTTAGTTGGAAAGAAGAGGCAAACTGCCAGACCCGGACAGAAATTAATACAAGGAAAACCAAGACACCAATGCTTCAAACACCAGTGGCTATAACTCCAGGAAGACACGATTACCAAATCCTATTATAGAGAGCTCTCCTGTGCCAAAGCTGATCTTTTGGCCCACCTGCCAGAACTGGAGGTGTCCTCTCCCCAGGGTCTGCTACATGAGTTGCTGGGTCCAGTACAAAATAAAAATGTGTGTCTCTTGATCGAAAAGCAAAGCCTGGGCAACATGGAAAAACCCAGCCACTACCTAAAATACAAAAAAAAAAAAAAAAAAATTAGCTGGGCATGGTGGCACACACTTGTAGTCCCAGCTACCTAGGGGACTGAGGCAGGAGGATCACTTGAACCTGGGAGGTCAAGGCTGCAGTGAGCCAAGATTGTTCCACTGCAGTCCAGCCTGGGAGACAAAGTGAGACTGTGTCTCAAAAAAAAAAAAAAGAGCAGGAAAAAATGCCCCTGAAGGTACTAAAATATATAGCTCTTTCCTTTCTTCTGAGGTTTGGTGCTTTCTGTCAACTTGGCATGGTATTTTTTACTTGCCACTTAAGGTAAATCTCAGTAAAGAAAAATTAAAAATTGTAATTATACCGTTCATCTTTACATTATCTAATGGCAGTTTTACTTATGTATTTAGAGACAGAGTCTTGCTGTTCCCCAGGCTGGAATGCAGAGGTGCAATCATAGCTCACTGCAGCCTCAAATTCCTGGGCTCAAGCAATCCTCCTGCTTTAGTCCCCTGAGTAGCTGGGACTATAGGTGCATGCCACCATGCCTGACTTATTTTTTTTTTTTTTTATTTTTTTTTTTTGTAGAGACGTGGTCTCGCTATGTTTCCCGGGCTGATTTTGAACTCCTGGCCTCAAGTGATCATCCTGCCTTGGCCTCCCAAGGGGATTACAGACCTGAACCACCATACCCAGCCCACCAATGGCAATTTTAAATGCAAATATAACAGCATTTCTCTCATATGCAGAATCACTGAAATGATACAATTCTCATTTTTTTAGCTTATATATGTATATATTATTTTGTTCTTATCAGAAAAATGGAAATGTTGCACAGAACTAACTAAACTCTTTTTATTTCACTTCCAATATACCTACGTTCCACCAGCATGCTCTCTCTTCAGATGACTGAGGAGTGAGGAAGGACTGAGGGTAAAAGGAACCATGTGCTGTCCTGTCTTTCCCTCTCCTTCTGTGTCATAATTGTCAGTGTCTATGGCTGGCAAATACAGGGAGGTGGCATGAGTGAACAGGATGTGAATGAGGATGTGACAGAGTTCCTTGGTCCTTCATGTTTCTTAGAACACCGTTGCCTTCTTTCTGCATTTAAAGCAAGTTCTGGTTCAAAGGGAAAGTGTGGTCTCAGCTTACTCACTCAATACACATAACACACTTACGTTGCTCTTGCTTTGTGCCTTGTCTCACTTAACTCCCACGCATAGAAGGCCCACCAGAATTCTGTGCTCAGAAAACCAAAACACAAATTCAAAGAGAAAAGTATGAAGAGTTTCAAGAAGGCAACAGCAGAGCATTAGACCAAGCATGAGGCCTGAGCACAGGGCCATGTGCCACTGCACACACCGCATACCCAGAAGGCCAGCCCTGGCTCCATCCCACAAGTCATCATGGGCTATCTGGGCGAATCCTTTTCTCTCTAAGAGTGGGATCTAGAAGGGAATTTGCAACTGTCAGTCAGCCTCTACCTGGCTCTGGAAGCCTCTCACATTCCACGATGGATGACATAATTGATATTGTCCAAGGAGTACCAGCATGATCTCACCAAAGAGAGGATGCCATTGTCCTGGGTGAATGTACCACCTCCTAACCTAACCTTAGGCACCTCCATACTTTTTCCTCCCAGAGTCCTCCTGGGCCTGTTCTTCCTGACCAAGAGAAGATTCCCTAGACTTTCATCAGGAATAAGGGTCCTTCAAGTATTTCATGGACATCCACTTTCTAGATCCATAGTTTCTTGGCCTAAAATGATGTATTCCTTCTGGTTCCCACTGACTCCTCCCAACCCCATGGCCATCCAAGGAGAGGCCTTCACATTTCAGTGTCTGCACTGCCTCCTACATGCATTTGTTCTCAATGTCGTATACAGGACATTTCAGGGGCTTCTCTCGGACTTTTACCCTGAGTCCCTGAATAGAATTTTTAAAACTTTTCATATGCTTCAAAATGAAATATGCCTTTACCTTGAATATTAGACTTGTGCTTACTATTTTTAAATGTTCTTTTTTTTTTTTTTTTTTTTTTTTTTTGCTGACCAAGCAAGTCGACTCTGAATTTTGTAGAAGGGAAAACATTTGTATTTATTAACATGAAGATCACCTCTGAAGCTTTATCCTGCTACATACCTGTTCTAGTTTTAGTTCCTGTAGTTTGGGTCATTGATACGTCTTTATTTTTTTATTTTATTTTTATTTTTTGAGACAGGGTCTCATTTCTTGCCCAGACTGGAGTGAAGTGGTGCAAACATGGCTCACTGCAGCCTCGACCTCCTGGGCTCAAGTGATCCTCCTGCCTCAGCAACCCCCAAGGAGCTGGGACTACAGGTGGATGCCACCACACCTGGCTAATTTTTGTATTTTTTGTAGAGACGGGGTTTTACCACTTTGACCAGGCTGGTCTCAAACTCCTGACCTCAAGTGATCCGCCCACCTTGGCCTCCCAAAGTGTTGGGATTACGGGTGTAAGCCACCATTCCTGGTCTTGATACATGTTTTTACGTGTTAGGAAAAATATAATATGTTTGAATAATTTTTCTTTCCTAAATTCAAACACACACACATACACACAAATTGTTCCCATTCTCACAGTAGAAAATGACTTCATTGATGAATACAAATAGCAATCCCAAAACGTTTGTCAACAGCTCCCTGTGTACTTATTCCCGGAATGGTACCGACAGCTAGAAAGCACAGCTACCCTACTCAGAGAATTGAAGAAAGCCAAACCACGGCAACAACCAAGCCTTGTACATCTTGCAAGGGGTAGCTGGGGCCTCAGCTCCTCTAAGGAGCCCCAGATCCTGGCCCACCCCACACACTGAAACCATCCTTCTCTGTACTTCCTTGACCCTTTCATTTTCCCATTCTGTTACCCTCTGCCTACCGCGAACTTTTTTTTTTTTTTTTCCAGAGAATAACCTTTATTTAGAGTATTTGGCCCCTGAATTTTTCAAAGTATGTCCAGATACTCTGGCATCAGAACCCCACCAGAGTTGGGGTGGGGAGAGTTTTAAAGTGCAGACGCCAGCCTCCTCTACAGACATTTTAAAGCAGACTCTCTGGGACTCCCAGACATCTGCAGCTTTAACAAGTTCCCTAGAGAACTCTAATGCCCACTAAAGATTAAAAACCACTGACCTGGTCCCATTACCCATTTTACATTGGAGGAAATTGAGGCTCTGAGGTCACACAAGTCAGAAGCAGAGCAGTAGGGACTAAAGCCTGGGTCTTTTCACTCTTAGCCCATCCTGAGTCCCTAAACCAGCATCTCTAGTTTCTCTGCAGTTTCTTAATCTACATCTTTATCCTTGGCCACCTTGTAAACTCCTAAGCAACAAGGACCATATGAATTAAATTGAGTACCAGGCACAGCGTTGGGTGTGAAGTCACAAATTGTTATTTCAGCAAGTAGATTAACAAATGAAAAAAAAAATAAATGAACGATGATGCCTACAATGAGGCTTTACAACTTTCCAGTTCATTTTTTGTTTGTTTTATTTTTTTTACACAGGATCTCACTTTGTTGCTCAAGCTGGAGTGCAGTGGTGAGATCACGGCTCACTGCAGCCTCAACCTTCCAGGTTCAAGCAATTCTCCTGCCTCAACCTCCTGAGTAGCTGGGATTACAGGCACGTGCCACCATGCCTGTCTAATTTTTTATTTTTATTTTTGTAGAGATGGGGTCTCACTATGTTGCCCAGGCTGGTCTTGAACTTCTGGGCTCAAATGATCCTCCCCTCTTGGCCTCCCAAAGTGCTAGGATTACAGGTATGAGCCACTGTGCCCAGCCTCTGGTTCATTTTAAGTTCACTTTGACATGTCTTAATTGCTAGCCATTGCACGTCCTCTTTGGCAGAGGGCTGGGTTTAAAAGATAAAATAAATGAAGCTGAAAAAAGCAAGGTGTTCCCATGGAGCTAAAAACCCCTGGCCTAACTGTTCAAGCACCCAGCACAGGGTCCCCAGAATGACTCCCCAGCAGAGCTATCACCCTCTTCCAGCGTCAGCACTCCACCCACACTGTACTGTTTTAATACCTTGACTATGGCTTTATTCCCTCTCCATGTGGCCAAGGTCAATATTTATAATTGTTTGCTGCCTCCCATTTGAGCTGCTGGTGCTTTGCTTACATAAACATCCACCACCCCTCAGTTGGGTCAGGGGCTGGGAAGGAGAAGTTCATTAGTCTTTATGGCCATAATAATATTTCATGTCTAGGCAGTGGGGGGATCTGCCCATGCCTCCCTGAGATGCACGGCTGGCTGCAGGCGCTGACTATTGATTGCATCTATAATAATAGGATGGCTGCTCTCTGAAGTGGGACATGTAAATACCTTGACTCTTGGGTGGGAGGGAAAAGGTCTTTGTTGAAGGCAGAAATGTGTCATGAGTGTAGTTTTGCTGGAAATGGTCTCACCAGGTGGCATCTCTTTCCCACAATACCTTCACCCTGCCACTCACCCTGATGCCTCATCTTCTCGAAACAGAGAGATGGGTGGAATCACGTCAGTTAACTTTGATGAATAATAGTATTTGAGCATCTGAAGTGAATGGGCCCCTACAGATCTTTGAGTCCAACACCCTCATTACACAGATTAGGAAACTGAGGTTCAGAGAAGCTCCTGCAAATTCAGGACGTCACTTAAAAATGCTAGACTCCTAAATGGATATCCAGGATATTAACATTCCTTCATTCTAGTAGATAACGACTATGTACTAGGGGTAGAACTGCTTCTAGCCCATAAGGTGCCTTTTTGCAAGTAGGAAAAGGCACCACTTCCTCTCCATGGACGTGGGCCTGCATCAGGGTGCATAAGTGGCAAGCAGAGTGGCAGCTGGATCTCAGCCCCCTGCTGTCCCTTGTACGGTAACAACCTGCACAGTTGTCACTGGAGGCTCTGGCTAGGGAAGGACAAAATTTGTCCCTGAAGACAGGCCTGAGCCTTATTTACCTCTCTAAATTCCATCTCATCTAGAGCTATGCCTGGCCCACTGCAGGTGGAAGATAAATGCTTACATAAGGAAAGAAAAGAAAAAGGGGAGAAAGAACAATATCCAATTTCCTTGGGAACTTCATCAGTGAAACTTTGTGAAGGAACAAAACAAGCAAAACCCAAACAGCCAATTGCTAGGTCTGGTGCAGGAAAATAAAGCAAAATGAAATAGAGTCCAATTAGTTTGCTTAAACAATATTGAACTCCAGAGGAAAACGGAAAGATAGCCCTGCTGACATTACTGAGAGCTGCGGAGAGGGACCAGGCAATTATATTAGGGAAAACAGATAAGTTTGTGGGTTGCCAAATAAAGAAGCAATCACAGAGATAAAAGCAGGCACTTTCCCCAAACGGAAAGCATAACTAAATCATTCATCAGCTTCCCATGCAGAGCTCAGGCACCTGATCTGGAGACAAATAAGGAGGGGTTTTTTTTTTTTTTTTTTAAATGGTGTTATCTTGAATAGGCTGATTCCTTTGCCTAGAGCTAATCTGGATTAATCTGTCTTCCCAGGAGGCTATACAATTCTTCCTTTTCTCCATAAACCTTTGGAAGGACAGATGGTCACTTATCTGCAAATGAAGTTTGAATTCCCTCCCCCATGACAGGGGTAGGGAGGAGTCTTGGGGAGATGAGGGTGTCAAGAGCAGGGAAGCAGAGGAAAGGAAGAGAGATAAAATCTTGTATCATGTGCTGGGCGCGGTGGCTCACGGCTATAATCCCAGCACTTTGGGAGGCCAAGGCAGGTGGATCACGAGGTCAGGAGATCGAGACCATCCTGGCTAACACAGTGAAATCCCGCCTCTACTAAAAATACAAAAAATTAGCAGGGCGTGGTGGCGGGCGCCTGTAGACCCAGCTACTCGGGAGGCTGAGGCAGGAGAACGGCGTGAACCCGGGAGGCGGAGCTTGCAGTGAGCCGAGATCGCGCCACTGCACTCCAGCCTAGGCAACAGTGACTCCGAAAAAAAAAATTCTCGTATCATGTTTAGAAGTTCAAAAATATCTTCAACATTTTTCTGTCTTGTTTATTTAAACAACAAGTCCCTGTCCTTTTAGAGTCAGCTTTGGCATGTGTCACCCTGGAACAGGGATTTTGTCATCTTTTTGTAGTCACAGACCCCTTCGAGAATCTGGGCAAATGATGTAGATACCCTCCTCAAATAAAAAAAAAAAGACATATGCATATGTTCATACACTTTCACAATTTCAAAGGGTTCATGCGCCCCCTGAAGCCCATCTGTGGATCCCAAGTTAAAAACACCTGTTCTGGATCCCAGAATGAAACCTATTTTGGAGAGGGTCCTAGAGGCTTCAGTGATAACACCAAATGATCATTTTGCATTTTAAATAGGTTTGAAGACCTCAATGCATTAAGAAGAGAATCTCGAAAATGACATAACTTAGAAGCATTAGTGGGGGCCCTGCTAGCTGAGATCTCGGAGAGAAGGAGGAACTGGCAGGGAAGTGCTAGCAAAATCTTTGTAAGGGACAGATACTTTAATACTCAAGAAGTTACATCTTAGGCTGGGCGCGGTGGCTCACGCCTGTCATCCCAGCACTTTGGGAAGCCGAGGCGGGCGGATCACCTGAGGTCGGGAGTTCGAGACCAGCCTGACCAACATGGAGAAACCCCATCTCTACTAAAAATACAAAATTAGCTGGGCGTGGTGGCGCATGCCTGTAATCCCAGCACTTTGGGAGGCCGAGGTGGGCAGATCACCTGAGGTCGGGAGTTTGAGACCAGACTGACCAACATAGAGAAACCCCATCTCTACTAAAAATACAAAATTAGCCGGGCGTGGTGGCACATGCCTGTAATCCCAGCTACTCGGGAGACTGAGGCAGGAGAATCGCTTGAAACCGGGAGGCGGAGGTTGTGGTGAGCCAAGATCGCGCCACTGCATTCCAGCCTGGGCAACAAGAGCAAAACTCCATTTAAAAAAAAAAAAAAGTTAGGTTTCCATGAAAGTTTAGCCTGTAATTCATGAATACTACCACAAGGTGGGAGTGCTGCAGTCATACGTCTCTTCTAGGCAAGCTTCTGTGTGCATACTTGTGGGTTCCAAAACTAAACCAATAATTTTCCACTCCACTTTTTTTGATAACTCAAGAACAAACACAGAGAGCCAAATACTCACCTATGAAGTGCACATTGCTGATGTGGGCATTGGGGATAGAAAGATAAAGAAGACACATTCCATTCTTTTTTCTTCCTCAAGTAATAATTTGCCATCATGAGGCTCGATTTTCATTCCTCAAACTCTTTCAACCATTTTCTCTTTCAGAGTCAGGTAATGAGTACCTATATACCTTTCCTTTCACTTTTGTAAAATCTGTGTGAGATATACCTGGCATTTTTCCTCCCGGATCTCTTGAACTCTGAGATGATGTAGTCTCTTTTCTCTGATTAATCAAAACAAAGAATTATTTATTAAACTAGCTCACTACGATACAGATGAAGAAATATTACTAGTCACCAAGGAGTTCACTAAGCTGTCTTCATAAGCTAATGGTAGAGTTCCTAGATGTGCCATCTCTCTGTCATCCCACCACCAAACATATATACACAGCCACTCTTTAGGCTATTGAGAGGTAGGTCTGCTTCCACGAGGCAATTTGGCTGAGGCCTTGAAGGAAATTTCTCTGATTCTCTCTCAACGTACTTGCCTTCCCTTCTCTGAATTGCCAAGCCCTTATGGTCAGGCATTTAGCATACATTACCTAGTATTTCAGCTACTTGTCTCCCCAGGACAGGGGTGTGTTTCCTTCTGTTGGGGCATCTTTAGCAAAATGCTCAATAAGCAGCAGTGGTCAAATGCACCAATCAGCAGGATGTAAGCAGTCAGAGAAGAGTAGGGGGTGGGCACACTGGGCAGAAGGAATCACAAGCACAAAAACACCTAGGCAGAAAACTCCAGGCCCTCACAGGAGACGATGGTTCCTCCCATTGTGACCAGGGAGGTGTCACGAAGATGGAGGAAGACAGAGGGCTGGAAGGGTAGGGAGAAGACAGACTAAAGGGACTTTGAGTGCCAACTTGAAGCACCTGGATTTGGCTCAGCAGGCAAAGGGGAGCCAGCGAAGGTTCCAGGTAAAGAAGATCTCAGCAAGATGCAGAAAAGGCAGTGTGAGTGAGCAAGGAGCAGTGGGAACACACTACACCGATTCAGGGGTGAGATCATAGCAGGTGCAACTGTGCAGTGCCCTTGACAATGACAAGAAGTGGACTTGAATGAGACAGCGAATGGAAGAATAAATTAACAGGACCTGGTAGCTGCATACGGGGTGGCCAAAGAGAGTGACCTGGGGCCTGTGTGGAATGAAATGAAAAGGCTTTGCGGCCAAGACTCACATTCAAAAGAGTATCACATGCAAACTTTTGTCTCCAATTTGAACATACAATTACAAAGACACACACAAACAAGATTCTCTGTAAATACAGACAAATTGATTCCAAAAGTTATATGAAAAGAACACAAAAAAACCCCAACTTGAATAGCCAACATTTTTTAAAAAAGGAAATAAAAATGGCAAGACTTACATGACCTGATTTTAAGACATGCTATAAACTATGGTAATCAAGACAATGTGGTATTGGGAAAGGGTAGACATATAGGTCAATGGAGCAGAGTCCAGAAACAGACTCATATAAATATGATCGATTTTTTTTCCAAAAGTGCAAAGACAATTCAGTGGTATATTTTCAACAAATGGTAGGCTGGGCATGGTGGCTCATGCCTGTAATCCTAGTACTTTGGGAGGCCAAGGCGGGAGGATCGATTGAGCCCAGGAGTTTGAAACCAGTCTGAGCAACATAGCAAGACCCTGTCTTAAAAAACAAACAAACAAACAAAGATGCTGGGACCAGTAGACAGACATATACTTTAAAAATGAACGTATAACTCCCAACTTATATAAAAATTAACCTAAGATGGATCATAGTCCTAAATATAAAATGTGAAATCATAAAACTCTCATAAGAAAACATCAGGAAAAATCTCTGTGACCTTGAGTTTGCCAAAGAGTTCTCAGATATAACACCAATATCATCCACAAAAGAAAACAAGATAAACTTAACTTCATGAAAATTAACAACTTTACTCTGCTAAGGACACTGTTAAGACAGTGAAAATTCAAGCCACAGAATGGGAGAGAAAATATTTGCCAATCATTTGTCTGACAAAGAATTCGTATCCAGAATATATAAAGAACTGTCAAAACTCAATGAGAAACACACAACCTGATTTTTAAAAATAGACAAAAAGGGCTGGGCGCAGTGGCTCACACCTGTAATCCCAACACTTTGGGAGGCCAAGGCAGGCGGATCATGAGGTCAGGAGATCGGGACCATCCTGGCTAACATGGTGAAACCTCGTCTCTACTAAAAATACAAAAAATTAGCCAGGCATAGTGGCAGGTGCCTGTAGTCCCAGCTACTCGGGAGGCTGAGGCAGGAGAATGGTGTGAACCTGGGAGGTGGAGCGTGCAGTGAGCTGAGATCGCGCCACTGTACTCCAGCCTGGGCCACGTAGTGAGACTCCGTCTCAAAAAAAAAAAAAAAAAAAATAGACAAAAAGTTTGAAGCAACATTTCACCAAAGAAGTTATTCAGATGACAACACACACATAAAGACATGCTCATCATTTAGTCATTAGGGAAATACAAAATTAAAATAACCATGATGTATCCTTACAGACCTAGTAGAATGGCTATGGCTAAACATTTTTTGAATACCTGACAATACCAAGTGCTATCAAGGATGTAGGAGCAACTTTCCTATGTTGTTGGTGGGAATAATAAATAGTACAGCAATTCTGGAAATGGTGTGTCGGTTTCTTATAGTTATGTATACACTTACCACACAACCTCACATTCCCACTCCTGGGTATTTATTCTAGAGAACTGAAATTTGTTCATACAAAAATCCGTCCACAAATGTTTATAGCAGCACAATTCATAATCACCCAAATTGGGAATAACCCAAATATTCTTCAATTGGTGAACAAATAAACTGTGATACATCCATACCATGGATAAACAAACCATACAATAAAAAAAAATAATAAAATCAGCCAGGCATGGTGGCTTATGCTTGTAATCCCGGCACTTTGGGAGGCTGAGGCAGGCAGATTACTTGAGGTCAGGAGTGAGAGACCAACTTGGCCAACATGGTGAAACCCCGTCTCTACTAAAAATACAAAAATTAGCCAGGTGTGGTGGCACACGCCTGTAATCCCAGCTATTCGAGAGGCTGAGTCAGGAGAATTGCTTGAACCCAGGAGGCTAAGGTTGCAGTGAGCTGAGATCATGCCACTGCACTGCAGCCTGGGAGATAGAGCAAGATTCTGTCTCAAAATAATAATAATAATAATAATAATAATAAAATAATAAATAATAGAAGTAGCAATAAAAAAGGACAAACTGCAGATGCATGTAACAACTTGGATGGATCTCAAAGGCATTATGCTGAGTCTCAAAAGATTACATACTGTGTGATTCCATTCATATGGCCTTCTGAAAAAGGTGGTAGGGACATGCACTAGGCTAAGTAATGCCCCAAAATGTATTACTGGAGTCTGTGAATGTTAACACATCTGGCAAAAAAGAATTTTGCAGGTGTGATTAAGTATCTGGAGATGGGTCTCTTAATCACAAGTGTCCTTATAAGACGGAGGCAGGAGATTTGACACAGAAGAATTGGTGATAGGAAGAGGGAACTGAGAGAGAGACTTGGAGATGCTAGCCATGGAGATTAGGCTAGTGTGCCCACAAGTCAAGGAATGCTGGCAGCCACCAGAAGCTGGAAGGGGCAAGGAATGGATTCTCCCCTAGAAATTTCAGTGTTGGAAATGTGGCCCTACCGACACCTTGATTGTGGCCCCATGATGTTGAAGTTGTACTTTGGGACTCCAGAACTTTGAGAGAATAAATCTCAGTTTTCGAAGCCACTAAATTTGTGGTAATTTGTTACCTCAGCCACAGGAAATGAATACAGGACAGAAAACAGATCAGTGGTTTCCAGGGCTTGGCACTCCCCAGGGTGCTGCCATGGTTCTGTAGCCTATTTGTAGTGGTGGTTACAAGAATCTAGGCATATGTCAAAATTCATAAAAATTAAACACCAAAAAACTGAATACTACTGTATTTAAAATTTTTAAAAATCAATCAATCAATCATTCAGGCCAAGTGCGGTGGCTCATGCCGGTAATCCCAGCACTTTGGGAGGCCGAGGTGGGCAGATCACTTGCGGTGAGAAGTTCGAGACCAGCCTGACCAATATAGTAAAACCCGTCTTTACTAAAAATACAAAAATTATCTAGGTGTAGTGGCAGGCGCCTGTAGTCTCAGCTACTCAAGAGGCTGAGGCAGGAGAATTGCTTGAACCCAGGAGGCAGAGGTTGCCATGAGCCGAGATCACACCACTGCACTCCAGCCTGGGTGACAGAGCATGACTCCATCTCAAAGAAAAAAAAATCAATCAATCAATAAAAACTTAAAATTAAAAAATCTATATACTGGGGTCTCAAAAGAAGAAGTGGTCCCAGCCTCCTCCAAGCTCTGAGAGGCCCTGGAAGAATGCTGAGGGGAAGCCAGGTCTCCAGCCCGTGTGACTCCAGGGCCATTACAGGAAGTGGAGAAAGGGATTGGTGTGAGGTGTGTGTGTGTGGAGGGGAGGAATCATCAAGCTGTCCTAGACACAGTGAACTTGAGGAGACCTAAGGCTTTCCAGGTGGTGATGTGGAAGGCAGTTGGAAACCATGTCTCTGGGAGAGGCAGAACAGTGTGTAGGAGACACGCGAGTGCACTGATTATGAGCATAGATTTTCACATAACGCAACGTATATGAGCTATGTGGCTTTGGCAAGTTACTTAGCCTCTCTGAACCTCAGTTTCATCTTCTTTAAAATGGGACAATCCTCAAGCAAGGATTCCATGAGGGAACGGCAGTAAACACTTAACCTTGTGCCTGCCACGTGATAGAGCAGGAAACATGAGCTGGGACAATTATTGTCAGGACAGTGATTGACCTCGAAGTGACTTAGAATTGGATTTGGGATCATTGCAGAGATTCAAGATGGATGCCACAGGAGTGGTGAGGGCCTGCAGAAGAGACTGAAGACTAGAGGGTGGAGGCAGAGCTGGAGATGAGGGGCTGCTCTGGAGGCAGGAGCACAGCCAGGTAGCTGAAAGAGGATGCAATGGTGTGTATTCGTTTGCTAGGGCAAACTAATATGTTTGCTGCCATAACACAGTACCACAAACTAGGTAGTTGAGAACAACAGAAATCTATCTCACAGTTCTGGAGGTCAGAAGTCTGAGATCAAGGTCCGTGGAGTTGGTTCTTTCCGGGGGCTCTGAGGGAGAAATCTGTCCTGTGCCTCTTCCAGTAGCTTCTAGGTGGTTCTGGGGTGCTGCTATAACAAATACTTAAAAATGCAGAGGTAGATTTGGAATTGGATAATGGGTGGAGGCTGAAAGCATTGGAAGGCGCATGACAGAAAAAGCCTAGATTACCCTCAAAGAGATTGTTGCTAGAAATATGAATATCTCTCTCTCTCTTTTTTTTTTAACCTTTGTGGAAACAGTCTCACTCTTGCCCAGGCTGGAGTGCAGTGGTGCGATCCGGCTCACTGCCACCTTCACTTCCTGGGTTCAAATGATTCTGGTGCCTCAGCCTCCCAAGTAGCTGGATTACAGGCACCCACTACCATGCCTGGCTAATTTTTCTTTTTCTTTTTCTTTTTTTTTTTTAGTAGAGATGAAGTTTCGCCATGTTGGCCAGGCTGGTCTCAAACTCCTGGCCTTGAGTGATCAGCCCATCTTGGCCTCCCAAAGTGCTGAGATTACAGATGTGAGCCATGGTGCCTGGCAGCAATATGAATGTTAAAGGTGCTTCCAGTGAGGTCTCAGACAGAAATGAAGAGCACGTTGAAAACTAGAGGAAAGGCGATCCTTGTTATATTACCTCAGAGCTGGGGGAGAATAAACCTGGTGGTCTCTGTGCATCAATTGTCCAGCAGACCTGAGGGCTCTAATGTCTGGCTATAGTATTGCACCATGGGGCCAGCATGAGGCTCAACAGAGGAGGACAGGAGGGACATGGTCCCAGCTCCTGGTGGGGAATTGCTGGGATCTGGGGAGCTTTGCAGACAAGATGAATTTCTTAAAGGCAAAGGGTGATGAATCCTGAGGGCCTGTCTCTGGGGTCCCTCAACTGCAAATTCCTTCTTCCCACTCTCCTCTTCACCTTTGTCTCCCACAAACTCCCCAGCGCTGCTTTCTCCTGGCAGAAGCCTTCCAGCCTCACCCCTCTCTGCCCAGGGCTTTTTGCAAAAGGTGTCTCACAAGCCCTCGCAACAGCTCCTGAGGCCTGTGGGATGGGAACTGTGAGTCTCATTTTATAAACAAGAACATGGAGGCTCAGAGAGGTTATCAGACTTATCCAAGTCACACAGCATGTTGAGGACAGCAGTATTCACGCCCTGGTCTCTATACTCCCAGGCCGGAGCTGGACACACCGCACCACGTGGCTTTGGTTTCTGATGGTTCTTGCTTTGGGAGCCTTGGCCTGAAGGAGAAAGGGAAGCCAGAGGCAGATTCCCTGAGTTATCTGGTTCTGATCCCAGCCAGAGAGCATCTGGCTTTGGGGGAGGTCTTCGTCCTCCAGGCACTTAGAGCATCCCCACTGCAGGGACAGGACGCTTCGGCTTTGCTGGCGGCATGACCACAAGGGGGCAGTGGCGCTGCATGTGACGATCTACGGGCGGGAGGGACTCGAGGTCTCCAGAGACGGGCAGGTGGCTCTGCTTCCCTGCGACACCCTCAGAGCCCCCAGCTGCCAGCATCCTGCCCAGACACCTCTCCTCCAATGAGCGCTCATCAGCCTTCAGAATACATAACTTTGACTCTCAATGGTCTCTTCTGGGTTTCCCTTAGCTGGGGCGGGGCTTGCTGCTGGAGAAGCCTCCATCTCCCACCACAAACTCCCACATTCAGCCCCGACTCGAAATTACTGGAGTCCCCTTCACTCCATGCTTCCTCCTCCTTCTCTCCCCTTCCTCGGGAGCTTAGAATTTGAAGAGGACAGCTCCTCCAGGTGTTCTCAAAGTGGGTTCCACAGAGCCTGTGAGATCCCTAAGGGAACCCCCTAGGAACGTGTGGGGAGCAAGGTGGGCTGGACAGGGACTTGGAACTGTTGGAAGAAGAGTCCAAAAGTCCATGCCCACACAACCGGCTGAGACTCTGTCACCCGTCCCACAGTCATTAACCAAGCACCTGCTATGGGCTGGGCATCTAGACACTCGGGAGACAACAGAGAGCAAAACAAAGATCCCAGCCTTTGAGAGACTTAAATGCCATGGGGAGTTCTGTTTGTTCTGCATCAAAGCAAAAATGATAAGAGAGATAATTTACAAACCCAGCACACATCACCTAATTGTATGGCTGCTGGGCCCAGGCAGCACCCTCCTTGTGATCTTTCTTTTCTTCTTATTCCTGGTCCTTCTCTTCCATCTTTCCTGGCTCCTGGACACCTCCTTCAAGGCAAGAGCTCATGACAGGCAAGAAGGGACCCACACAGGGCAAGGGATGAGTGGGGAGAGAGCTTGCCACATGGGGAAGGGCAGGAAGAGGGGATGCCAGAGGCCCCGCGGTAAAGCCCCTCGGCCCATCACTCAGCCCATGAATCTGGTGTGCTGGAGCCTGAGGAGTCAAGAAGAAGGACTGCTTGGCAGGGACGGCCTTAGTCCAGAGACCTCACACTCCAACCCTCTCTGCCCCACAGCAGCGGGAAGGGAAGAGTGAGGGAATGGGATGGAGGGGCAGCACTCAGTGGGCAGAGTCTGGGCAGACCTTGGGGAGTCCCAGAGTCATGTCTGTTAAGAAGATCCAAGCCAGACCTCCCTGAACTCCAGCCCAGAAACAGACTGCTGTTCCCTGAGTGTTTCTACAGAAGCTGCCGAAACTCAGGGAAAGTGAACTCATCCCACACGTGTGGGAGACACATATGCAGAGTACAAAACAGTCCTCAGGGGACCAGCTTCTCAGGGAGCCCCAGTCTGATGGAGACACAGCCCCGTCCTCAGGGAGCCCCAGTCTGAGGGGAGACACAGCTGCATCCTCAGGGAGCACCAGTCTGAGGGAGACACAGCCTCGTTCTCAGGGAGCCCCAGTCTGAGGGGAGACAGAGCCCCGAGCTCAGGGAGCCCCAGTCTGAGGGGAGACACAGCCCAGTCCTCAGGTAGCCCCAGTCTGAGGGGAGAAGCAGCCGCAGTCTGGAGTGGAGAGAGACTCCACCTCTAGCGTCTTGGATGGGCTATTCCTGTCCCTCCCTGCCGCTGTCTTTCTGCCTCTCTATTCCTTTTTCTCTCTCATGTAAGTGCATTCACACAAACACATCTACACACACACAACCATATGCAGACATTCAGAAAGAAGTCTTAAAAGCACTCAAGACTACATCTCAATATCTGCGAAGAGCATAGCTCAAACTCCAAGCACAAGACCAAACCCACCTCTCTGACTGTGTCGTGAGTCAGGAAAGTCCTTGAGGTTGAGCTGCCAAGAGTGAGGTCCAAGCCTCACTGGAACTCACGGGCTTTGAATCCTGTTGCACCCTCTGAGGGTTTGAGAGTGAGAGCCCTCACCTGCTGACCTATCCTCATCTGCATGGTAACTTTCTAGCTCTGATACTGGGTCAGACTGCAGAGGAAGCAGATCCTGAGGACTAGGAGCACTTAAAGTGACTGAGAACATCGAGGGATGGGGTGATGTGGGATAGTGAGGCTGACCACCCAGCTGTCCAAGCTCCCTATGGGAGGCCAGGCCAAGAAGTAAAGAATACCCCCGCCCTCGTACCTCCCTCACACACATGCTTGTCTTAACTCCCAGAGCCCTGGGCGCCAACAGGAGTTAGCACCCTCCAAGGTTCTGTCCCATGGTTCTTGTTTGGGCCTCTGTGCAGGGGGGGGTCAAGGGCCTGGGCAGGAGGGACCCTAAATGGGTTCTGGTCCAATAATATTTGGAAACTACCCTTTTTGTCACTTGCATGACCCTAGTCACTTTCTGTTGCAAGAAAAGGGACACCCCAATTCATTCATAAACATCATGGAAAGCAGAAGAATTAACACTGTTCAAATGAGAGGTGGAAGAAAGGAAGAATTCATGAGTGATCTAGGGACGTAGAGAAGCTCCGAAATCAACTTTTCTAGCACTCTTTAAACTCAAGACTGATTCCCTTCCTTGCAGTCTGGTCCAGAGGCAGAGGGATGAAACACTGACATCTCTAACTCCTAAGGCTCAAAGTGGCAAGATCACCTATCCCTCAGGGACAGTCACGCTGCCAGTGATGTGGAGCTCACTCTCTCTAAGCTCCCCTGGCTTTGCTAGACGGCCCTGTGTGGTGGGATTTGGAATGTGAGGCTGCTGGGACCCCTGTCCTCCACCTGGTCACAGGTGACTCTAGCAAAGAAGAAGGTGGCGTGCTGAGCCATGCGTTCCATTTTACAATGAGCCCCAGAGTCTTCCTGGCTGAGACTGGGAGCTCCTTCTTGAAAGACGGATTTCACAGATGAGATTTTGCTCTGAAGTGGCCCCATTGTGCTTCCAGACGGCACAAGGGAGGTGGGGGTAGTGCGGTGAGGAGGCTTGGCTCTGGGCTGTGCTGTGATGAAGGTACATTCGCCAAGGGCGCTGCCTGGTCCCATCAACAGGGTGGGGGTGGGAGGCGGGTGTCCGGGCCTGGCATGATGCCTCTTGCCTTGGCATTTCCCACGCCTGGATTATGGTTCAGCCAGACTTCCTGTGCAGGTCTGGCCAGTCCTGAGCCCTGGGGGGCAGCGGAAGCTGTGTATGCCCTAGGGCTATGCTGCCTGTCTGGTGGACAAACAAGATGTTTATTCAGTGAAGGCAAAAGGAGAAGCCCAGGGATGAAGCTGCTGGTGCCCTAGCCCTTCCTTCCTGCCTTCCCCCTCCCAATGCCACACACACCCCAATCCAAAGCTCAGAGCACTAGAGTCAGAGCCCCAGGAAGACACACAGGCACACCCAGATGTCAACACTGAGGACCCCATGGGCAGACAGACACACAGCACACACATACACCCACCGTACAACAAGGGAAACTCTGTGGACAAGTCTATGTTCTCTTTTCTGATATAACCTTCCTACACACATAGCCTTTGTGTTTTAAAGTCAATTAACCCTGGAAAAACACAAAGTTAAAGGGGTGGCGCCGGTCCAAGAGTGTCACAGCAGCCACCAGTGCCAAGACGGAGAATTGGCCTTGAGAGGGTAGGAGGTGGTGGCTGGCAGCAAGGGCAGGGCATCCAGGGTACAGTTGCCAGGTTTGTGGTGTGGCGCCTCTGGGGTGGACAGATTGGGCCTTGATCTTGGATGCTGTCCTGGGAGGCTAATAGGATGAAAGACCTACCTCCCCAGACTAAAGAGCCAGGCTCTGGGGCAAAGAAGAAGGTGGCGTGCTGAGCCATGCGTTCCATTTTACAGGGAGACCCAGAGCCTTCCTGGCTGAGACTGGGAGCTCCTTCTGGAAAGACAGATTTCACAGATGAGAGGCAGAACAGAGCAGAGCAGGGAAGTGGACAGATGGACTCCTAGAGGGAATCTGGGGCCCTCTAGGGCTATGCTACCCACAAGTGTGGTTCATGCACCAGCAGCATCTTAGAAATGCAGAATCTTGGGTCAACCCAGACCTACTGAATCAGAGACTGGTTATTCATATACATATGAAAGTTTCTGAGGCACCTCTCTAGGAGCTTCCTGGACCCTGGATGAGAGTTTTCCCCTGGGTAAGTCATGGATTACAACATCACTCCTGGTAGACTGTACTCTTGGGTTTGGAAGACACCTTAGGAGGTCAGCCCAGCTATTTCCCAAGCTCCAGGTGGGGTTACAGCCCTGGCCTTTCAGGTGGATTCATTCATTCATTTCACACGTTTGCTGTGGCACCATTCCAGGCATTAGGGATCAAACAATAAGTAAAAGCCAGACCTGGTCTCTGCCCTTTTGGAGCTCTCAGTCTAGTGGGACTGACAGGTAAGATTTTCCTGAAGAAGTGTCGCTTGAGTTGCATTTTGAAAAGGTCAACTTGGTGAAAAGAGGAGAGAAGCATATTTTAGGCAGTGGAACAGCTCATGTAAAGGCCCTGAGGCGAAACAGTGTATGGCTGGTTTTTAGAACTGAAAGGTCAGTGTGGCCAGGGAGCAGAGAGTGGGGAAGACCCTTGCATCTGATGAGATGAGTGCCTCCAGTAAGGTCTCTGTGCCTGCCATACCCTTTGATTAGTAGGTTACGGAGAACCTTAGGATATTAGAAAGTGAAGGAACCTTGGCCTTCATTCAGGCCAATGCTTTGAACCTGGCTTCAAGCCTCAGCTCCATTATAAATTAACTGTAAATGTGACCTTGGGTCATTGTTTTCTCATCCGAAAAATATCCAGTCAGGGGTGCAAGAAGTGACACCTACTTCGTCTAGACTAGGAGGGTGTCACAGAAGGCTTCATCAAGGAGCTATTTTTATTAGGACACATAATAGGCTGCTATAAAAAGAGACTGCAAATACAGAGACTTAAACAAGAAACACTTTGATTTCTCTCTCATGTAAACGTCTGAGTAGATGGTCCACAATATGGCAACTCAATGGTGGGGGAAGCCATGTGCCTTCTGCCTTATTGCATGGCCACCTTCAGCATATAGCTTCTGTTTCATATGGTCTAAAGTGATTGTTCCAGCTCCTGCCATCACATTTGCACTCCTCTTCCTTTTAAAGGCACTATCCAGAGGTTGCACACGCCATGTCTGCTCATATCTCGTTGGGACATAAGTCAGTCATGTGACCACATGTAGCTGCAAGGGAGTCTGAGAAATGTAATCTTTAGCTAGGGAGCCAGCTACAAATTCAATTACTGTGTAAGAATAGGAGAATGAATATTAAGAGGCAACAAGTAGTCTCTGCCACAGGGGATGACCCAGGGTTTGAAGGTGAAGTTGGGAGCCAGGGCTCTCCAAGCTTCTTCTCTGCCTTGAGCTGCCCTAGCCTGCTTCACTGAATTCAACAGGGCCAGGCTCCATCTTGCTCCATAATCCACCCCTATTCCTGCCAACTTCAGGAAGTCAACTCAGCCTGCAGAGGCTTTGGTAGTGTAGGGTTGCAGTCATGGAGGGTAGGCAGGCCCCATCATACCACACGCTGGGTTCTGGGAGGGTTCCCAGCAGGCTGGTAAGTCAGGCTCGAGATTAGGCAGGTTTCCATGCCTCACACTTGTCAGAGGCTACTGCTGCCACCCTTGCCTTCATGGAAGAGACCAGTCTGGAGTGGGTGGTGGGCTGGCTGTGTTTTCATGACCTGTTCCTGAGCCAGCACCAGGGCTGGTCCCCATAGTCAGGTAACCAGCTGGCAGCAGCAGTTGGGATGGCTCAGGAGCTCTTTCCCACCAGGTTATCTGACTCTGAGAAGGCCAAAACAGCCAACACCAGCAGATTCCAGGGGCTTGGGCCCTGCGGGCTGTCTGGGCAGCTCATCCCAGCCTTTGCTGGCAATGGCTGCCTTTTGGGGCCCCTGCTCTCCATGCTTGTTTTATCTGAGAAGGGTTAGGGATGGGGTGAAGCAGGGGCTATGGTAGAGCAGGGTTTCCCAACTTCAGCATTATTGACATATGGGGCTGGAAAACCCTTTGTTTGCAGGGGGCCGACCTGGGCATTGTAGGACGTTGAGCAGCATCCCTGGGCTCGACCCATGAGATGCCAGTGGCACCCCTACTCCCTCCCACAAGTTGCCAAACGTCTCCTGGGAGTGTGGGTGAATCAATCCTGACTGAAAACCACTGGTGTTGTTGGAAAAGGTCCTGATGTACCAAAGGAAGAAGTCAGGCATGGATGGATGGAGGGAGAGGGAGAGAGAGCAAGAAAGAGAGAGAATGGGGGAAAGGAAAGGGGAGAAACAGGTGGGGGGAGAAAAAAGGGGGAAGGATAGGTACTGAAAGTGAAAAAATAACATTCAAAAGGAAAATAAAAGGAGAAAATAAAAGAAAGAGGCAAGTTTAGAAAGGCCAGGCCCTAGAAGGCAGGGGCTGGAGGTAAGGGTTGGGGGATGTCAAGCAAGTCATCAGACCCCAGGGGTTGTTCTGAGGTCTGGAGATGTGATGGGGCAATGTAGGAGCTGGCCTGGGGCAAAGGGGCCATCTCAGAACTCTAGAGTTGTCAAAATTGAGAACCTGGATTCCCATCCCCTAGCAGCCAGGCCACATAGCAGAGCTTTTAAGGGTCATTCCTTAGCCGGGATCAGCAGGCAGGCCAGACTCCTCAAGCTTCTCCCAGGTCTCTGGATCTCTTAATGGGGTTAGAATTTGGATGTGGGATCTCTTCAATGTTTCTTTTTCACCTACAGAGAATTTTCACCAGTGACTGGGCCATTGCATAGAGGCTGACCGCTTTTGGTCTCTGCTATCTCCTAAAACCCCACTCAGATGTTACTGAGAAGGCATAACCCACAAGGACAAGAAAAGTGAAGTTGTGGGGTAGTCAGCAAAATTCTGGAAACTGAAAAGGGGAAGGACAGTTACTCACCCCCGGGAAGCAGCTGCACCGTAGCTGCCTGGCCTGGAGGTGGGAGGATGGTCAGGATGGCAATGAAAAGCAGGCTGCTTTGAGCTTCGAGCTTAGGGAGCCTCCAATGGCTCAGCGCTTGGAAACACTGGATACCTCAGAAGCGGGTGCCAGGGTGGAGGGCTGAGAGGGACTGGCTGGAAGTGAGTGAAGAAGCAGTGAGAGCCCCAGATCCCCTCCTACTTCTTGCAAAGCCTTCTCCACTATAGCAGAAGATGGGCTGGCTTATAGAGAGGTTAACACAGGTGAGGCTAGAAATTAAGTGCAAGTCTGCACACCAAAAGTAGTTTCCCCAAGCCCTTCCCCACTCAGCATCAGAACATTGGAACTGGTTTATATCTCTGAGCAAATTTGAGGGACTCAGCAAATTACTGGGAAATTGACCCAAGAGAAAGGACCTACAGATGCTGACATTTAGAGGTTTCTCAGTGAAAAAGTGGGCTGGCTACCAAGTTTACTGGGCACCAGCCCTGTTCACATACAGTCAACCCTCGAACAAGACGGGTTGAACTGTGCAGGTCCACTTATACACGGATCTTCTTCTACCTCTGAGACAGCAAGACCAGCCCCATGTCTTCCTCCTCCTCATCCTACTCATTGTGAAGATGACCAGGATGAACACATTTATGATGATCCGCTTCCACTTAATAAATAGTAAACAGGCTGGGCATGGTGGCTCACGTCTGTAATCCTAGCACTTTGGGAGGCCGAGGTGGGTGGATCATGAGGTTAGGAGTTCCAGACCAGCTTGGCCAAGATGGTGAAACCCCGTCTCTACTAAAAATACAAAAATTAGCCGGGTGTGGTGGCTTGTGCCTGTAATCCCAGCTACGCGGGAGGCTGAGGCAAGGAATTGTTTGAACCTGGGAGGCGGAGGTTGCAGTGAGCTGAGATTGCGCCACTGCACTCAGAGTGAGACTCAGTCTCAAAAAATAAAATAAATAAATAAATAGTAAACATATTTTCCCTTCCTCATGATTTTCTTAGCAGCATTCTCTTTTCTCTAGCTTACTTTATTATTAGAATACAGCATATGTCACATATAACACAAAAAATATATGTTAATTGATTGTTTATGTTATCGGTAAGGTTTCCTGTCAACAGTAGCCTATTAGTAGCTAAGTTCTGGGGAAGACAAAAGTTGTACATGAATTTTCAACTAACATGAGTGTTCTTGTACACTCCTTATCCTGCACAGGTGTGAATGTGACTGTAGGATAAACTTGTAGAAAGGGATCACACCCTCTTCCCACACTGTCTAACATGCGCATTCAACCCTAGCCCCCATGTTGTTCAAAGGTCAACTGTAATCAGAGCTTCAGCATTAAATACGAATGGACAACAAAATATCACTAGGTACTGCAAGAGATATGTGAAAAAGAGAAACCAAAATAAACAAGAAAAAATTGTTTTAAATACTCAAGAGATGGTACATAAAATGGAATATTTGGGAGGCCAAGGTGGGTGGATCACGAGGTCAGGAGATTGAGACCATCCTGGCTAACATGGCGAAACCCTATCTCTACTAAAAATACAAAAAATTAGCCGAGCGTGGTGGCATGCACCGGTAGTCCCAGCTACCTGGGAGGCTGAGGCAGGAGAATCACTTGAACCTGGGAGGCGGAGGTTGCAGTGAGCCGAGATCACACCACTGCACTCCAGCCTGGGCAACACAGCGAGACATCATCTCAAAGAAAAAAGAAAAAGAAAACAGAATACATATATGCAAATATATCTTTTGTCTCTTTGATATAGTATTCTCAGAAAAATACCAAAACCTTTGAATAAAGAATAAGATGCTATGAGAAAAAGTAATGTTCACAAAACAAGAAACACTCTTGAAAATTAAAATTATGGGCTGGGTGCAGTGGCTCACGCGTGTAATCCCAACACTTTGGGAGGCCGAGGCAGGCAGATCACCTGAGGTCAGGAGTTCAAGACCAGCCTGACCAACATGGTGAAACCCCATCTCTACTAAAAATACAAAAATTAGCTGGGTGTGGTGGCGCACGCCTGTAATCCCAGCTATTCGGGAGGCTGTGGCAGGAGAATTGCTTGAACCCAAGAGGAGGAGGTTGTAGTGAGCCGAGATTGCGCCACTGCACTCCAGCCTGGGCAACAGAGACTCTGTCTCAAAAAAAACAAAAACAAAACTTGCCTAGATCTTTAAAAAGTCAGTGCTGGGCCAGGCATGGTGGCTCATGCCTGTAATCCCAACACTTTGGGAGGCCTAGGCGGGTGGATCACCTGAGGTCAACATGGCGAAACCCCATCTCTACTAAAAATACAAAAAATTAGCCAGGCGTGGTGGTGGGCGCCTGTAATCCTAGTTACTCCAAGGACTGAGGCTGGAGAATCGCTTGAACCCGGGAGGTGGAGGTTGCAGTGAGCTGAGATTGTGCCATTGCACTCCAGCCTGGGCGACAAGAGTGAAATTCCATCTCAAAAAAAAAAAAAAAAAAGGCAATGCTATGGGGCAACAAAAAGATAGGAAGACTACAATAGATTTTAGAAAGACTAAGGAGACCTAACAACCAAATGGAATGAGATAAGATCCCAGTTCACACAGACCAGTTACAAAAGATAATTTGGGCACAATTTAGAAAATTTAAATATGGATTTTAAAGATATTAGATATTAATTTTCTTAGGTGTGATAATAGTGGTACGATGATGTAGCAGAATGTCCTTAATCTTAGGATCTGCAGGCTAAAGTATTTAACAATCAAGAATAATGTGTTCTAGGGTGCACTAAAATCTCAGAATTCACCACTGTATAGTTCATCCATGTAACCAAAAACCATTTGAACCCTAAAAGCTATTGAAATTAAAAAAAACTAATAAAAAAATGTAGTCTACAAATTTCTTTGAAATAGTTCTGCCAAAGTATACATGCAGTATATAGATATACAATTAATTGTTCCTTCTTGTTTCACACTAATACAGTAGCTACTAGTCACTAGTCACTTGTGGCTACTATTGACATCATCTGAACTGAGATATACTGTGATTACAAAATACACACTAGGTTTTAAAGGCTTAGTACAGAAAAGGAATGTAAAATATCTCATTAATAATTTTATATTCATTTCATGTAGAAATAATATTTTGAAATAAATAATATATATTTTAAAGTTAATTTCCTCTGCTTATTCTTACTTTGTTAATGTGGCTACTAGAGAGTTTAAAATTATTTACGTGGCTCACATTGTATTTCTATTGAACAGCACTAACCTAGGTAGAGGGGAAAAGTATACTATTTTATTGAAGTATTGTTTATATTAAGTTCATTTAAGTATAATATTTTTTCAACTTTTCTGTATATTTGCAATTCTTTTAATAAAAAGTTAAGAAGAAAAAAGAAACAAAGTCAAAATAAAGTAGAATTTTTAAAAATCAGTTAGAGGGTTGAGAAATAAAGATTAGAAAATCCTCTCGAAAGTAGGATAAGAAGACAAAATGTAAAGATTAGAAAACCAGGAGACCAATCCAAGTGGTCCCACTCAAAAAGATAGAACTTAATAGGCCCAGAAAGGAGCAAAGGGCACGAGCTTCTGGATTGAAGGGGAGCTCTAAGGACCCACATGGTGAATGGAAAAATATACCAACCAATGCACTGGAAATAAAGAGATTCTAAAGAATTTACAGAGAGAGAGAGAGACAAAAAAACAAAAACAAAAACAAAAAAACCCCAGCCATATCTGAAGGCCCAAGGATTAGCATGTCACTGAACTTCTCCACAGCCATAAAGGAAGCTGGAGGACAAAGGAAAAACTCAAAATTTTGAAGAAAAAAATTTCAAGCCTAGATTTAGATACCCAGCCAAACTATCAATCAAGCTTGAGGGTAGAATAAAGTTTTTTTTAGGCATACAAGGTCTCAAAAATTTTACCTTCCTTTCACCATTTCTCAGGAAATGATTGAAGGAAGCATTTCACTAAACAAGGAAGTAAACAAGAAAAGACAGATGGCATTGGATTCAAAAAACAAGGGCTCCAATGTAGGATGAAGGCAAACGGAATTCCCAATTAATGGGGAAGCAATGCTTCAGGGTAGTAGGTATGCAGCACGCCTAGAGAGCAACCATCCAGCCAGGAGCAGAAAGATGGTCAACCCTGGAAGATACGTTGGCAAGAACAAACAAATGGGACTAATAGGTAACCTGTTTGAAAGGAGCTTTATAGCGATAGCAGGGAGTTTGGGAGTTATTTGTGCTAGGAACATACAAAACCAAGCAAAGAAAGAAAAAACACGGAAAGCAAAATGTCATGTAAGAAAGAAAGTGCAACTTAAGTACCTTATGTAATATTTATGCATTCATAATAATGTAAACACCAAATTGAGATTTAAGCATAAATTGAGATCTTGCTATATTGGGAGGATAGGCAAAGGATGTGTGTTGGAGTGGAGAGGGGCTAATCCTCATCTTTTGTTGTAGAAAGAGAATCCATACTAACTAAGTGGGACAAGAAAAATAATCATGCGATAAGAAAAAACAGTCAGATGATATTTAGAAAAATAAAAAGAAATAACTTGAAAGTCCAAAAGAGGTCGCCTCTGGGGACTGGGGTTGGGGAAGGGTGAGGCAGGCAACTGCTGTTTTCCATTGTAATCCAGGTAGTATTATTCGACTTTCTGAAGGTATTTTTATATATCATTTTGCTAAAAATAAAAGTTGAGTTAAAAGATAAAAAGAAAACCTAGGTCATTCACAGCAAGGCAAGTGACTGACCAGAATTAGGGGTCATTTCAGATGTCACAGCCTGTCAGCTGCCTACGTCAGCTCCTCCGGACATGGCTGGAGGGAGCCTTTTTGGAGAAACATTATCCTGCCTTGCATTGTCCCCATGACTCATAGGTTCCCATTGTTTCCGTACCCCCACCGCTCTCCCACCACAGGGATGTGTGTGCGCTGAGGTGGGGAGGGGGCAGAAGGAACTTTCTTGTACTCTTTGTTTACTGCACTGCTCCACTCCCATCCCCAGGAATACAGGCTTCCTTGCCAGGGACCAAGTGTCAGGCATGGGGCACCGGGTGCCAAGAAGGAGAAAAAACAATCTTAAAATACCGCTCTCACCACTCATTGTGGAAATTCGGAATCACATGGTTGGGCTGGGCCTTTGAGATCAACTTGTCAACATTTCCATAGGTAGACACCTACGCTTTGCCTGAGCAGTTTCAATGACTGGGAATTCAATACCTCAGTGGGATGTTGTTGGATATTGGGGGCAAAGTGAGGAGCACAGCAGGGTCTTTTGCACCTACAGGCTTTTTCATGTTGCCTGTGCCTAGATGGGTCAAGGCTCTTTGAGTGCCAAGGAACCTACTAGTTATAAAAGGTGAAGGTCAATGTTAAGATACAAATCTCAGGAGAACCAAGGCTGGCCTGGCTCCTGTCTCTTCCTCTCTTGCCACGTGCTAAGGTTTGATTGATGGTCTCCACTCCAAAGTTCATGTTGAAACTTAATCCTCAGCGCAACACTATTAAGAGGTATGGACTTTGGGAGGTGATTAAGTGGGGCAGTATGTACATTATCGTCATTCCTTCCCTCCTGGGAATGGGTGACTCCTTGAAGTTCAGGGAGAACTATGACTGGACAGCTGTCACTTTCCAAGTCAGATCTGGACAATTTAGTTCCCTCTCTCTCCTGCTCCCTTAGGGAAACTTCAGGCAGCCACATATCTGGGATTTACCAGGGATTCGGCTTAATAGGAATAACCTCTTACATTCCTGTAGTGCTTTCCAATCCTTTGTCTCTGTCAATCTTCCCAAAATCTAGTGAAGGAGAAATATGTATTCCTGGTTTGTAGGTGAAAATCTGGCTGCTCATTGACTTGCTGAGGTCACAGGGCTATTGAGTAGGGGGATCTCATGCCAGATTTCAGACCCTCAAGCCGCATCCCTGCTGTAGGGCAGTCCTCCAGCCTCCAGGCTCCCACACTGGCGGTAAGTATCAAAAGAGTTAGAGAATCCAGCTTGGTCCATTTCTAAGGAAGAACCACTCTGAGATTCCTCCTTAACTGGTAGTGTTCCTCCTTCCTTCAGTGTCTTTTTGGTTTTGAGAAAACTCTTCATTTTGGTCCAACTGGAGCTCCCCAGTACCCCCTCGACTAAGAACAGAATGTTATAGCTGAAGGGAATTCATTCCTTCAAGGAGCATCTATTGAGCACCTCTTGCAGGCTAAGCACCACTTTAGCCATTGAATTATTAGCAAAAATCTAATGATTCACCTTTAATCCAATGGTCCTCAACCCTGGTTGCATATTTGAATCAACTGGGTTTTTTTTTAAGTGTGTCATTTAGACCCCATTCCAGCCAATGAAACCACAATCTTTGCAGGAGTAGGGGTGGGGGTGTGGTTGGGTTTCAGCATTTTATTTTAAAACTCTCTAGATGATTCTGATGTTCTCCCAGGGCTGAGAACCTTTGATCTAGTTGAAATGTGGCCTCCATCATGTTACAGAGGATACTGAGGCCCATAGAGGGGCAATGCCGTCCCCAAAGTCACAAGTCTAGGCCTAGTTCCCCTGCCTTCAAACTCTCAGTGCTGTTTCTGAAGATACTTGGTAAATATTTGTTGAAGGCATCCATGAATGAATGTGGAGTGGGAGGGAGAGAAGATGGTGAGTGTGGTAGATATATTTGAGATGCTTTCCCTACCCACAATCCCTGCTGAAGACGGGCCAGCCTAGGTGGCTGTCTTTGAACTATGTGACCCACCTTGGCAAAGCTAACTAGGAGAGGAAACCTGAAACAAGATAGACCAATGAGAGGGCCTGGGAAGGTATTTGAAATGAGGTGCCATCGCTCTCACCCTTGAGGTACGTTAGAATCCCCATTTTTCCAATGAAGAAATAGAGGCTCGGGTAGGTGAAGTGACTTGCCTGAGTCATGCAGCTAGGAAAGGGCCAAGCCTGGAATTTGAGGCAGTTCCAAGAACAACCCCTCCCCTCCCCTCTCACCGGGAAGATGGGACAGACACCCATAAAACATCTAGAGAACAAGTTAGCAGCCGCAAATGTGAAGTTACCTGCCAGGCAGAGAAGAGCAGACAAGAAAATCTGGGAGGGCGAGGACTACCAAGTGAATCTTTCTAGACGGTTAGTGTAGAATCAGGCCACCCAGTAGAGGAGACACTTGAAGAAAAGACTTCTTATGCATATCTTGGGGTGCCTCTCCTGGACAGTAGGTCAGGGTCTCTGGGGCTGAGAGTTGGGGATGATACAGTGAGGACACTTTCCACAGTGACCACTTTCACGAGCTCAAGGAAAGAAGAGAGTGTGTGATCAGGATACAGCAGGAAATCTCAAGGAAACCTAGGAGAGGGCCCAGCATCCCCTTGAAAGTCCTGGCACTGAAAGGTGTCTCCCCTGTGGCCTCCAATCCATCGCCAAGTTTGTGCCCAGACTGTGGGCTGCTCCCTGCCAGGAACGGAGTGCAGCAGGAATAGCAAGGCAGGTCAATTCCCAGGAGACATGTCTGAGACGCCTTTGGCTCTAGGACTCCCCAGCAGCCTTGCCTAACTTTCCTTAGCCTGCGTGGCAGTCTAGACTGCTTCCACCTAAGCTTCAACCTTCATAGGCACTGGGATAGAACTTGCATGGTGGTCAGACAGCGTTCCCAGCCTCTCATAGGTGTTTCCCTCAATGCAGTCCTCTCTGGTTTAATCCAGTCATGGCATCTGCTTCTTGGAGAACCTGAACTAGTAACGCACTGCAGTTCTGTGTGGGTCATTAAGGATCCCTGATTCCAACCCTTCACAATGCCTTCCTCCACCTCCTACCACAAACACAGACACAGACACACACACACACACACACACACACACACACACACACACACATGAGTATGAGAGTGGAAGAGAACAAAAGAAAGAGGAACCTTTTCCCGGGGTCCCCTTGTACAGTGCCAGGCACAGAGCCTGTCAAAAAGTAAGTGCTCAATTAAGAGCCATAATTGTTAGAGGGAGAGCACCACATGTGGCTCAAATGCCCGGAGCAGGCCTGATGGTCTGCAGGATGATGCCTGCCCTGATGGGACGGGGCTGTACTACGACTGGCTTGTGGGGTGAGACCGAGGGGCCCTGGACCTCTGTAGTAGCCACTTCTGACTGGGGCCATGGACATCCTGTGTGGAGTCATCCCTTCCTCTTCACTCGAGGGCAGGGAATTTCTAGAAGACCTTAGATTCCCTTCTGTGTTCCCTCCTTGCCTCAGTCACAGTATCCTATGTGTCAGGCTGTGTGTTTCTGCTCAGTGATATGATCTTTGCAAAGCCTTAGTCTGAATCTGACACACTCAATAGCTTTCATCCAGTTGCCAGGACCTAGTCTTTGCTGAGAGGGTCTCCCCTTTAACTATAAAGAGACCCAGGACATAGAGACTTGTCTGAAGCTGCAGTGCAGTTCAGCAGAGGGCAAGACAGCTCCTGGACTAGGCCCTCGGCAGTCTCAGAACTCCAGCTGAAGGCAGAAGTCCCTTTAAGCCTCCAGTTTGGACCATGACCCAAGAGCTTCTATGTACATTTAGGGGGCAAGTACACATAGACTGCTCACTCATCACCCCTGCAGTTAGCTCCTATGGGCCTTGAATCTTCATCCCTAATCAGCAATGGTCTGAGGCGCTCGAGGGAGTGCAAGTGACAACTTCACGAATTACATTCTCCCTGAAATCCAGAGACTGCTTCTTCCTTTCCAGGATGGACAAAACCTCACTCTCCCCTGCCCTTCCCAGCCTGCAAATCATTCCAGAGGTCAGTGCAGTGATGTGCTGATGAATGTTTAACATCTGGTTCTCTGGAGAGCAGAGATCCCTAATTGGTAGTGTTTGCCCATTTCCACGGTGTAAATGCTTGTCCTATGGGCAATTTTTAGCTACCAATATGGTGTCACAAAACGTCAAGTTGGAAAGAGAAACACAATAGCATATCTACAGGTATTTGCATATACCTGTAGAAGATGAAAAATCACCTCAAAAGCATGAATAATAGTAAGATGCAAAATAGCTAGGAAGTGATGAATTTTACATACTTATGACCTTTGTTCTTAATACCATCTAATTGCATATTTATATAATTTAATTTTTTAATTTTTTTTAGTAGTGGCTGTGGTTTAACAACCAGCTTGCAAAATTTCCAAAAAGTTAACCACCAGCTCCCGTGAGCTGGTATAAAAGGGCTCCAGGCCACTGGGTCAGAAAATTTCCCCTGGAGTGAACTGTTGAGGGTGGGAATCTGAGCTGATAGAAAGAGGCAGGTGTCTGGCTGCTCCAGGCCTGACTGCCAGGTAGCTGTTCATTTGCCCTCAGTCACCAGCATCAGGTGTTCTAGGCAACCTTCGAGAGACTCAACAAATACAGGTCATCTGAGTTAAATAATGTGTGATGTCAACACCTAAAACGCAGCAGCTCAGCTGGCCAGAGCTGCAGGTGAAGGAATCAAAGAAGGAGGAGGAAATTTTACATTATTGATGTCAACACAGATTTCAATGCAGAATGAAAACAGGTGGGGATGGATTGGCAGGGATGTGGGAAGCTTGGAGAGACCTGACCTTTGTTTGAGATCTCCAGCCAGGTGTTCCCAGAACCTGGGTATTTCTGGGCTTTACCCCAGAGCTTCTGAATCAGAATCTTCCCAAGGTGGAGCCCAGGAATCCCCTGATGATTCTTGGGTAGTCCCTGCAGGGTTGGTTGGTCCACCTCACTGGTCTTGGAGATGAGGAGGGCAGACTCTGGGGAGTGGCTGGAGCTGCAGCCAGGACACCCTCTCTGTACACTCTTGTCCTTGAGCAGGAGAGTTTTGCCCTGGCCGGCTTACACTGTAGTTAATAGCACAGGCCCTGGATCCTTAAGTTAGAACCCAGACTCCACCTCTAGCTGTTGTATAATCACTGTGAGCCTCAGCTTCCAAACTGGGTAATAACACTGTTGTGGGATTACGTGAGATCATATGCATAAAGTATCCTGGGCAGTGCCTATAAGCATCCTGTCAATGATGGATATGGCCATTAAGGTCGTGCAGCTGGATAGTAGCAGAACCCAGGCTCTTTAAACATAGCAGGGAGAACTAGAGACCCTAAAGTAGAATGGGCTTTGATATCTGGAAGGTACGAACTTTGATGTTGCATAAGGAAAAGAGCCCCGGGTGAAGAGTTAGAAGACCCAGTGACAGTTGGTCTCAGCTCTGCCAATTATTGTGTTCGAGGGCAAAGAGTTTTAGCCTCCAGGTAGGAGATACTATTTGTGCCAGGTGGCCCAATCCCTCAGCCCACTTGGCATTTCACCGCTGCTGTAGTGCCACCTCAGGGTGCCCAGGTGTCTCTCTACCTTTCTACCTCCAAGCTTTCTCCAAAGCCCGGCAAAGGTCACATAGCTCAGGGCAAGCCCAGCCAGTGTTCCAATTATCTATTGCTGTGTAACAAACCACTCCCAGGCTTTCAGGATTATGAAAACAATCATTTATTTTGCTCATGATTCTGCAATCTGCGGGCTGGCTGGGCTCCACTCTGTATGGCATCAGCTGGGCCTGCAGTGTTCAAGATGGAATCTCAGTGGGGCCAATTCTCTCTCCATGTGCCATCTCCATGGGCGAGTTTGGGCTTCTTCACAGTGTGGGTCTCAAGGTACTTGGATTTCTTACATTGCAGCTGGCTTCCGCCAGAGCACCAAAGTGGAAGCTGCCAGGCCTTAACATGTGGGTTCGGCCAGGTGCAGTGGCTCACACCTGTAATCCCAATACTTTGGGAGGCCAAGGTGGGTGGATCATGAGGTCATGAGGTCAGGAGATCAAGAGCATCCTGGCTAACATGGTGAAACCCCGTCTCTACTAAAAATACAAAAATTAGCTGGGCATGGTGGTGGGTGCCTGTAGTCCCAGCTACTCGGGAGGCTGAGGCAGAATGGTGTGAACCCGGGAGGCGGAGCTTGCAGTGAGCCGAGATCGTGCCATTGCACAACAGCCTGGGCACTCCAGCCTGGGCAAAAAACAAACAAAAAAACAAAACACACACACACACCCACACACACACACACGGGTTCAGAAATCACAGGAATCACTGCCATATTCCATTGACTAAAACAGTCCTGGGGGCAGCCCACATTCAAAGGGAATAGACTCTGCTTCCTGTTGGGGAGTGGCCAGTTCATTTTGCAGATGAGAATGTGAGTGGGGAGATATTGTCGCAGTCATCTTTTGATAATACCGCCTGTTGCATCCACATGTATGAAAGGAGGGTGGGGATGAATTTCCCTGGGGCCATCCTTAACCAACAAGGGTGGAATTGGTGGATAAATGGTCCCTGTCCTTCAGATGGACAAATCTGAGGTGTATTCTACAGGTTTTTCAGGGGAGGTCTAGTGGGATTAAGCCCCAGTTGCCCACAGTTGAAACAGCTCTAAAATGAACATGTATGACCTTTTCCTCTTTCCCCATGTTTACCTCTACATCCCTTTCTGCTACTTCTTCTGACCATCTCCCAGTTCTAGCCTTAGGCCTTGTTTTCCTGGAAAATCAAACCAAAACATTTATTACCTCATTTGGAAAAGGCCCTTAAATTGAGGCCTGTAAAATATTGCACCTGGCTCCCTGCTGTTGCGTAATCCCACCCAGGAATGGGTGTGAAAGGGCTTTATGAACTGAGAGGCTGGGCCCGGTGTGCAGGGTTGCTGGGAGCAGAGGTAATCCTGAGGGAACCGTGGGGACTGGGGAGCTGCTGGGTTGGGAGGCCCAGCTCCCGGAATCACCTGGGAACAGTAAGAGGTGAAGATGGGGAGATGGGGCAAGTGGAAAAGGGGGTGCCAATGACAGTGCTCCCTGGGGTGGGGAGAAATAAGGTGTGCTTTATTCCAGTACTGCCCTGCAGATTCAAGTGACTTGGCACAAGATAAGGTGACTCACCAGGCCAACTCAGCCTGCCACAAGGGCCCTCAAGATCATCCACCTGGCCTTGTGGGGACTCGCCCTTCTGGAACAAGCCTTGCCCCCTGATTTGGCCTCTGCCCCAGGAAGAGAGGGACTGAATTACCAGTAGGAGGGGCCAGGCCTCTAGTTCATTTACCCTCCATTTAGTAAACATGGAAAAGCTGGGCCCCTCTCCACACTGGGCTCCCAGGAATCTGAAGGTGGACAAGCTACTCCCTGTGCCCTTTAGCGGCTCCCAGTCAGGGGAGGAGGCATAAGACCAGGAGGCAGGGAGCTGGAACAACATCAGAACAGCTCGGTGGGAGAGAGGCAGCTTACTGAGGAAGGGGCTCTGGAACACAGAGGAGGAGCACCTGGCCCAGAATCCGGGAGGGCTACAGGTAATTGTGGAAGTCTTCCCAGAGAAGGTGATATCCATATCTAATCCCACTAGGTCTCAGGACTTACCCAGGAGAGAGAGAGGAAGGGCATCAGGGCAGAGGAAACAGCAACGGCAAAGTGGCTGGAGCCCAGAGAGGTGGGAAAGGAGAGGAGGCTGAAGAGAGAGGTGGGGCGGGGGGGAGGGGGTGGAAGAGCAATGGGGAGCCCCTGAGGAGTTTAAAACAGAAAAGAAATGGGTCAGGTTTGAGTTTAGGTTGCTGGCTACAGTAATGGCCAGGTAGAAAGGGAGTCAGTATTAGAGGCAGGGAGACCAGCAGATGGGGCTCATTCATTCATTCAACAAATATCTGTGGACCCCCTACCAGGTGCCAGGCCCTACGCTGTTGTGGGAGATCCAGGTGAGGGGCCAGGTGGCCTGGACCCTGGTGATGGGGCCATGATGGATAGACGGGACAGAGATCTTAGGGAGGGGTTTTCACTGTGAAATACATCCTGACAATTCACGAGTTGTCATTGGTTCCTGGACCAGTTGTGCATGAATTTGGAAACCGGGAACCTGTTATTTCAAGAATGGAGAGATGAATGGCAGAGCTGAGACCAAACCTCAGGGGCCTCATTTCTGGAGGCCCCACCCAGAGCTGTGCAGCCCAGCTTGCCTGTCCCTCCCCACCACTCTACCCCAGACTTATGAGAGCTTCAGATGCAATGGTGGCTGCTGATTACCTTGCCTGGCTCTTTCCAGTCAGGAGGTGAAACCCAAACATCCTGGTTTCTCTTCATCACCTCTGGCAGGGAGCTAAATGTCTCCTCCAGGATCATGCAGGAGATAAGAAGCCCAGCTGGGACCCTGAGGGTCTTTCTGTGCTCTCCTCCTTGTCAGATTAGACTCCTTGAAGGGAGACGCTGTCTCTCACCTCCATCAGACTCTGGGTTCTCTGAAGATGTCTCCCCTGTCAGATCAGAAACTTAGAGGGTAGAATGAGGAATGAGAATGCAAGTCAGGGAAGCTGCTTTGCTGCCAGTTAATAGTTGTTTCAGCTTGGAAAAAATCCTATATTTGCCTCAATTTCCTCATTGTAAAATGAGGATAATGATACATAGGTGCTCAGTAAACATTAGTGGAACAAATAATGGAGAGCCCAGGTGGTGCTGGTGGAGAGCAGGTGCTGGTTTACTAGGACAGCGGAGAAGCCTGCTGGGAATGGAGCCCTGGGGCCTATGAAAGGAGGAGTGCTGCCTCCACGAGGACCCCAGCAAGTCGCCAGATCTCACCAATCCAATTATCTCTGCCTTGCATTAGAAATACAGCAATGACGGCCGGGCACGGTGGCTCACGCCTGTAATCCCAGCACTTTGGGAGGCCGAGGTGGGCGGATCACCTGAGGTCAGGTGTTCAAGACTAGCCTGGCTAACATAGTGAAACCCTGTCTCTATTGAAAAATACAAAATTTAGCTGGGCGTGGTGGCTCACACTTGTAGTCCCAGCTACTCGGGAGCTAAGGCAGGAGAATCACTTGAACCGGGAGGTGGAGGTTGCAGTGAGCTGAGATCATGCCACTGCACTCCAGCCTGGGGAAGAGTGAAACTCGGTCTCAAAAAACAACAACAAAACATCAATGACTTCAACAGAAGGATTTCCCTGCTAGTGTTATCTCCAGTGACTTCCCACCCATCTGCCACTCCTCCGCCACTCGCCAGCCTCCTCCACCGGCCCCACTCCCATCCACCCTATAGCTCCCCGGACTGTGATGGAATGTTCCCCATGCCTCCACATGGTACCCCTCCCCTGCTCATGACCCCTGGGGAACTTGAGGCCTCCTGGGCCCCACCCTTTGCTCTAGCTGCTGCCCTACCTCCCATCTCTTACTCAGAAAGCTCCAGACTAACCCTGGCCACAGTGACCCAAGGCCACACCTCCACCCAATCTTGGGTCTGTGCTTTATCATCTGTGAACACAGTTCTGCAAAACTGTGCCTCAGTCCAGCTGGGTGCCCTTAGGAAGTCATGCTCCCCAAGCTCTCGTCTCAACTGTAGATGGGCCAAATAACCTGGGCTATGTTTGTCAATGGGGTTTGTGAACAGGCCAAGTGCTGAATAAAGGTGGGGCTTACAGTGTTATGGAACTGTTATTGCCTTGAGGCTGAATGTGATTAAAGCAAAACCGGAGAACCTTGGACCTGTGTGTGATGGCAGGAGAGGGGTCGGGGGGAGCAGAAAGAGGGCAAGAGGGAGTGATGTTGGCAGAGGGAGGGATGGTGTCGTTGCAGAATTGGCTGGTAAATACATATAATCCTTTGTAAACACATCCATGCCCTCATGAAAAATGTGGTTCACTCCGGAAATCATACTTTTTTTTTTTTTTCCAATGAACTCAGAAATCATCCTTTCTGGTGCTGAGCCCTGAAATGGTCATAGAAGGGGCCAGTCCCCAAACAGCTGAAGCCTGACAAAGCCTCCCTTTAGACAGATGGAGACAGATGCCCGGCTGAGCCTGGCTCCATTCTTCCTTCACATTCTTTCCAGTCCACAGTGCCCACGCTCAGGCTCTACATTTCCTGCCCACCCCTTGAGTTGAGAAGGCTTGAGCTTCGCTCAAGTTCTCTGGTCCACCTACCTGGAGACAGGAGCCCTTTCCAGAGATGTTGGGTGTGCCACAAAACCACAGGTAGTCTTTTTCATCTCATCACAGTGGTAGAGGGGACAGGAGCTGGGCTGCCTGGGTTTGAATCTAGTCTCACCATTTTTACTGAGATTTTGCACAAGGCAACTTCTCTGTGCCTGTTTCCTCGTCTATAAAATGGAGATGTACTGATGCCCTCTCAGGGTTCTTGCCAGGTCAAATGAGTCCACTCACGTATTATTCAGTGCAAGCATTTAGTGCCTGACAAAGTGGTGAGTGACATGCGTTTGCCATGATCACCCCGCCTCTCCCCTTGCTCCTCCCACTCCTTCCTGATTCTCAAACCTCTACTGCAATGTTCCTCCCGCGTCCTTACCTCCCCACAGAGGCCTGCCTCTCCCCGCTCTCTTCATCTCTTTTCATTCTTTTCTCCCCTCCAGACCATCCAATCCTCTTATCAGTCTGTCCTGAGTCCTCTCTATCTTCTGTGGATGCGCCCAGGCTCCCCTGCTGCTCAGAGGCCAGAAGCCAACCCCTCTCTAACCTGACCCACACACAGCACACACCAAGCTGGCCTGTCCACCTCATGTTTTATTGTAAAAATGTTAAAATAAATTACATTTGACATCGTTGCCAGTATGTACATACAGTGTGCGCGATGCCAGGACAACCAGCAACAACATGGTTCATTAAAACATTTCACAGAAAAATACGAGGCTGCTCCTTTTCAGGCCCCTGCTGGGTGGCGGCCTCTGCAAACGGCTAGAGAAGTGGGGGTGTGGGCACGTGCCCATCACTGTCTTCACATGTTGGGGAGGTGGGCTCTGGCCCCACTGCCCCACAGTAGTGGGGCAGAAGGCAGAGAGTGAACGGAGCTGAGCGGCTCTGATGACTTGCTTCCTGCCCGGCCTCCAGTCACCCGCAGTGGATGCCCCTTCCTGCTTTTGCTCACCTCAGTGTCCCCTTCTCCACCTCTGCTTGGGGACATGGCCCTTGACATCATGGCCTTGGATGAGGTCACCGAAAAAGGCCCAATTGAGTTGCAGGGCAGGAGGGCAGACACTAGATCTCCCAATCCTTGGGACCCTGCTCTTTAACCACTGGCTCTGAAGCCAACAACAGATTCCAGGTATATAAAAACAGCAGTTTGTTTAAAAAATAAAACAAAAAATAACAAAAACATTCAGGACACAGTGGGCCAGCCCCAGGGTGAACATCATGGAGAACCCAAGAACTCTAGTAGCAGCAAGTTCTGCCCACCCCTCACCAGAGAGTCCACCAACAGTTTCACATTATCTTTTGCTCCCCAGCCCAAATCCTTTCCTTTCTTAAACACACACGAGTGCACAGGTGTGCGTGTGCACACACGCACTGTGCACACACACGTGCACATCAAACACTAGCTAGAGAAAGGAGCTTGATTCACATATCTGACCATCACCCATTTGTGGGCCAAGAGCAATTTGGCCTCACCCTGCCTGGCCCAAGGGGGCTGGTGGGAGGGGAAGGCGGGCAGTGAGGTCCTTGTTCAGGGCACAGGGAAGGAGAAGACAGCAGGATTGGGAGTGCAGGTCCTGGGGCCAGCGGGCAGGGTGTGCAGTTCTCAGGCGGGCAGGAGGGGTAAGGGCAGAACCAGCCAGAGCTGAGCCTCACTCTTGCAGCTCCCTGGCCACCAGCCCTAGCAGTCCCGGCTTCCAGTAACCCATGCTCTGCTACTCTCCCTCCTACCACTTGGGGGCCCACAGAAAGCCTTGCGTCTGCCACTGCTTGACCTGAGACAGGGAACACAGCTCTGGGCTGGGCCTGAGTAGACCAACAAGGAGGATGAGGACCCCAGGCCCCAGGCCCACATAGGACTTGTTTCCAGGCCCTGTGAGTCAGGACTGTTTGAGACCCTGCCCTCATCTCCTCACTCCCACCTCCAGCAGCCTCCACCCCACTACGGTTTGTAGTAGGTGCCCGACCTGACCGGCAGGCCCACAGCTGGGATGCGGGCGGGCCCTGCTCCTGCTGTGGTACGGAAACACCTGACCCCACGCACAGCGGTACCTCCCCAGACACTTCAGAGCTCCCTCTCCAAATGCCGAGCTCAGTAATACCGGTAAACTTAAACAGCTGAGGCCCCAGACCTCAGAGAACCGTGTGATACTCCACCAAATGGTGAGACAAAGACCCTGCAGGCAAGGCCTCCTCAGGGTCAGTCCTGCCCACCTGTCCCGCCAGCCAGCATGTCTTTGCATTGTGAGATACACCAGCCAAGCTCAGGACAGATGCCCCCACAGCCAGGGTATGGTTCAGCTGGAGAACAGAGGCCCTGTCCCGGGCATACATCTAGCTGAGGATGATGGAAGGTTAGGAAGGCCCCTGGCCCCCCACTCCCAGTTCCGAGGCTGCCCCCCCACCAGGGGCCAGGCGTCCCGGTCATCTCGGGACACCCTAGGGTGAGGGGGGAAGAGGCCATCAAAGGTGGGGTGGGGAGCCGGCCCTGCCTCATGTGCCCTTGGGGCTGTTAGCCTTGTTGTACTCATTCATCAGCTGTTCGTAAGGCACAGAGAGCTCAGACTCAGTGCTGGTGAAGGTGGACTCGGAGGAGGAGGGGAACTCGCCCATGTTCAGGGGCGCCTTGGCTTCAGCCCCCTGCTGGGGGCTCTCCTCCCCTGCCAAGTTGTCCTCTAGCGAGGACTTGGAGGTCTCCTCGTCTGAGAGGCCAGCCTCCGTGTTCACGAAGGTGATGCTGGCGTCCTGGAAGATGAGTGGGTGGTAGTCCTGGGCGTCCCATGGCTCGCATTCCTCGCTGATGCGGTCCAGCTGGTTCATGAACACCTCGGGGGCAGGGGAGCTGTCTTCAGGGGCCCGTGCCACAGCCTCCTCATCTGGGGACCTTGATACGTGGCCTTTGCTCCTCAGTGTCTGTGACACCTCTTCCAAGGTGGGCACCCGGTTCTTGGAGTAGACTACCAGGGGCACCAGGGAAGGGGGCAGTGCTGGGAGCCCACCGCCTTGAGGCCCCAGCCCTGGGCCCGGGCCCGTCTCCCCACCCCCGCTTGTCTTCATGGCCTTCTTCCCGATCTGCTTGATGAGGTCGTTGTAGGTCTCTTCCTTCTTGGAAAGAAAGCTGAAGATGTTGACGTCCTTGGAGGCTGTGCTCCCCTTCACCTGCAGGGCCTTCCGGGAGTGTGGGGAGCTCTCAAAGGACTCCTTCCGTCGCCGCCGCCGCTTCTTAATGGCTTTGTGGACTTCCACAAACATGCTCACCTTCCAGTTGACAAAAAGGGACAGCCAGGCCAGCCCCAAGTAGATCCAGAGCTCCACGAAGTAGCGGTACAGGGCGTGGTAGTTGGCGCTGGGGTTCACACCTGAGCGGACAGGCAGTCCAGAGGTCAGGAAGAGTTAGCAGGGCCCGGGAAATGTGCAATGGCCAATGCTGTGTGATCTGAGCAGGGGTCAGGCCAGAGCACAGGACGGGGGTGCAGTGGGATAGAAAGGGGCCTGTTCTAGACCCTGGACTATCCCATCTTCCTCAAGGGCTTGGGCCTGCCATCATTCATGACCCCATCCCAGTCTCCAGCCTGTCTCTGAGTCTCGGTTTCCTCAACTAGAAACGTCAAGACAGGCCAGGCATGGTGGCTCACGTCTGCAATCCCAGCACTTTGGGAGGTCAAGGCAGGTGGATCACTTGAGGTCAGGAGTTCGAAACCAGTCTGACCAACATGGTAAAACCCCAGCTCCACTAACAATACAAAAATTAGCCAGGTATGGTGGCGGGCCAGCTACTCAGGAGGCTGAAGCAGGAGAACTGCTTGAACCCGGGAGGCAGAGGTTGCAGTGAGCCAAGATCACACCACTGCCACTCTAGCCTGGGCAGCAGACAGAGACTCCGTCTCAAAAAAAAAAAAAAAAAAAAAAAAAGTCAAGACAGTGACTCTTTGAAGGAAGCTAAAGGGGCTTTGGGGGACTGGCAATGTAACCGACACACAGGTCAAGAAACAGTTCATGAGTATTTGCCTTTCTGTTAATTCTTCTACCATCCCCAGCTGTTCTGCGTATATGATACAGTTCACTTAAAAACGGAATGGATGGATATTACACAAGGGAGCCCCCAGCACCCTCCAAGCTGGGGCTAGACTCACACTGGTGGATTACAAACAAGGCTGGTGGTTAGGTTGAGATGACCCAGGAAGCACCCACCGTGGCAAGAAACGCTGAACCATTTTTATTTTCATTGAAGGTCTGGTCTGCCTCCCTGACTTCCTCAGATCAGCTCTCCCTTGACCTGGAGGAGGGCTCTGTCTGCTCCACATCCCCCTCCTGCTGCAGGGAGCCTTCTTGGCTTACCCCCTACAGCTCTGAAGGTTCCCCCTACACTCCAGGATTATTTGAAATGTCGTTGACGACTACATGTACAGGCATGTTGACCTGTATTCCATTTGCCCCCTCGACTAGATACAAGAGCAACTTACAGAAGGGACCTGGAGGAAGGGGGCTACCTCTCTCATCAGACTAGAGGTTCCTCCAGGTGCTGTAGCCCGGTCAGTTCTCCTCCCACGACCGGGCTCAGATAGCAGGTGCCCTGAGTGGTCCTGTTAATCCTGCTCAAGGCTCTCAATCACAAGCAGAGTTTCATGATGACAGTAATGAGGGCACACACTGATATAGCCAGGCCCTACCCTTAACACTCATGAATAGTAATTATTATTTTTACTAATTTTACAGAAGAGAAAGCTGAGGCAGGGTTTGGTGTCTTGCTGGTGCTGAGAAAGTATGGCTAAGTGTACATCTGTATTTCCCTAATACCAGAGGCACCTCCTTAGCCTGCTCTGGGCCTCAAGGGCTGGACAATGGCAGGGTTGTGCCTTGTCCACATGTACTGCCCAGGACAGCAGGCCCGGACTTGGCAGGGTCAGGGGAGTGTTTGTGCCTCTCTTTCCTGTTCCTCCCCCAACTCAGCCAACTGCTCCCAGATGCCACATACATCAAGCACAAGGCTAGTGGCCTCCCACTGCCCTCTGGGCAAAAGGGAGGGGGTACAGAACAGAGGCCTCTGGAGCAGAAGTTGAGGTCACTGGGGTGGTGGGTCAACAGGGTCAAACAGGGTGTCAAGAAGATTAAGAACCAAGATGCTGTGCAGGCCACAAACACAAGTACATGTGTGGCTGGGGCCAGCTGGTAACAGGCCTTCAGACAAAGGGGCCAAAGAACCTCATCACTTCCCTGGATTAAGCAGGGGAGGAGTAGGAGGGAGTGTCAGGGCTGGGGGCAGGGCAGCTGGGGAGAAGGCCTCCCTTGTCTTTAAGCTGCTACAGCAGGAACAAAGCCCCAGGCCTCTGAGCCATGCCTTCAGGACACCTCCCTCCACTCTTGTGAAAGATGAAAGGCTGCTGAGGGCGTGGAGTGGGTGCTGGTGGGCTCAGGGGCTCCCTGGGTAGCAGGTACCAACCGTGCAGGCAGAAGGCCCTACTTGCAAGTCCCCCATGAAGCCAAGCTCAGGAGTCATGGGAGAACTGAGGGAGAGGAGATCAGAGACTGAGCAGAGAGGAAAGGAGGAGGAAAAAGGCCATGTCTGAGAAAGGGAACCAGAGAGAAAAGAGTTTTTTGTCATTACTCTGGGTCTTAGTTTCCTCTTGCAAATGGCAGAGTGGGTTGAGAATCCCACTGGGTAAGAGAAGTGCCCAGAACATGGAACCCTACCTAGGGCACCCCCAACATAGGTCTGTTGCACTGAAACCAAAGAAGCAGAAAAAGAGGTGGGAGGCAGAGGCAGGGACTCACCGGCCACAAAGTCACCGAAGCCGATGGTGGAGATGGTGATGAAGGAGTAGTAGAGGCCCTCGATGTAGTTCCACCCCTCAGTCACCATGAATACGAAGGGTGGGATCACCAGGTGGACTAGGACGCCCCACACGATGAAGATGACTGTGCACGTGATCTGCGCCTTCCGCTGATGGGGAGCAGGAGGCCAAGTCAGAGAATAGTGGAGACTTGGAAACCCAGCAAAGGCACCCAGAGGGCCAGGGAGGCAGCTAGAGGAGAAGCTAGCTGGGTACCCAGCCTGACCCGGGAGGGCAAGGAGCTCTGAAACTATCCTCTTGCCATCTGTCCTTACACCCTTGGTCCAATTCCTAGAGGCCTCCTGTCCTCCCCTCACCTGTCATGGTTCCCCCATCTCTGCCCAACACCCAGGGTAGGGGACATACCAGACTCACACCTCTCTTGGTAAGGAACTGCCCTAGTCTCTTGGCACGTCCCCCGAAGAACTTGCCCAGGGCACTGATCCACGTCAGGCAGAGCGGCACCCCGAAGAGACCATAGAAAACACAGAAGAGGCGACCGGCGGGGGTCTTGGGAGCCACATTGCCATATCCTGAGGAAGGAGAGAGTGAGGCCAAGAACAGGAGGGGTGGTCAAACCAGTGGGCCTTGCTTCCAACACACACACAGCCCGTTCTCTAAGATAAATTGATATTGATCTATTGTCAGTACTTAAGTAATGATATTTCCCTTGATCATACTCTGATCATGATCATTGATAAAGCAATTATGATGACATGAGCTGTATCTCCTCCATCATACAAGGAGCTCCCTGAAGGCAGGGACTAAGCCTGGTCAACAGGTCTTCCACTAGTCTATATGGTACCACTGTGCAAGTTATAAGACATGCTCTCTGTGTAGATTCCCCAGAAGCACTGTGGTAGATGGTCTCCAAAGATAGCCATCCTCCATTCCCTCCCTTCTTATGCAACTGCTCACATCAAGGTGTCATCTAATCCTCTTCCCTTGGAATCTGGGCTTTAGTGGCTTGACAACAGAAGCAGTCTAGGCAGCGGAAGAGACGCTGGACAGGTGAGGTCTAAGAAGCCTGCTGCTTTTCGCCTTGGTTCCCAAACACATGCGGAGGCCTTGTGTTTTCATCCCCAGCTGAGCTCCCAGCCAACAGCCAGCATCAACTGTCAAATCTGTGATGGGAGGAGCCATCTGGGCCATCAGATGAGTTTGGCTTTCAGAAGACTCCAGCCCAGCCATTGTTCGACTGCCACTGCATTGGGAGCCCAAGCAAGAACCAGCCAGCTGAGCCCAGTCAAGCTGACAGAATGGTGAAAGAGAAGAAGCTGCGTTCTGAGCCAAACTTCTGGACTGGTTGGCTATGCAGCCTGAGAACTGAAACAGACACCCAGCTTGGTAAGTAGTCATGATCTGGGTTTCTGCAATGAGCAGTCTGGTTAATCTCTTGCATGGCTCTGGCCATGAGGCTGTGTCATTGTTTCTGCTCAAAGAGCCCAGGTCAAGACTCAAGGAAACCTTCCCAGGCATGATCAGCTACCAAGGACTTAACAAATCCCTAAGAAAGTATCAAAAGAATAGCCTGCAACTGATCTGATTGTACCCCCAACAGGGCTGAGTGACCAGAGCTGGGTTTCTAGAAAGGTTCTGAGGAGCTAGGGCATGGATGTGGGTGTCCTACAGGTCCCAGAAGACTTACCAATGGTGGTAATGACGGTCGCTGCAAAAATCATTGCATTGGGCCAGTTCCAGTTGTTGAAGGTCTGGTTCCCTGTGATGGCCACACCCTGTCCTGCAGCATCAGATACCACCTAAAATGAGAAACAGTAAAGGTCAGAGCTGAGGCCACACTTAACAGATGCTGATTGACAGAACTGCACTAAACTCCTTGTAAGCATTTTCATTTAGTCATCACAAGAAGAAGGTGGCAGTGTCTCCATGTTACAGATGAAACATTGTATAGAGGATCAGAGAGGTTACCTGATTTACCCAAGGTAAAGATATGAACCCAGGCAATCTGGCTCCAAAGTTCATTCTTTCACTGAGTCAATGCTTCTCCAACTTACTAGCATGCACCAGGATCACCTGGAAATCTTGTTCAACAGACTGCTGGCCCCTACTACTCCGAGTTTCTGATTTAGGAGGTCTAGAAGGAACATTTCTAAACATGTTCCCAGGTGATGCTGTGGACAGGGACCACACTTTGAGAACCACTGCACTAGATTAATTCTGCCTCTCAAAAAAAGCACATGTGAGGCAGACACACACAAGGAGGTCCCCTGTGCCTCACCCAGCCCTCCATGGAGGGTGTTCTACCTGCAGAGACCAGGTCCTTGTTCAGGGTTGGCTGGGGAGGGGCCCCCCATATACCCTTCAGCCTACTGTAGGATACCTGCTCAGGTCAGCTCAGTGCCCTGTTGACTTGTCCTCGGAGGGCATGCAAATCAGCAGGTCCTCCTTTCCCCCAGCCTAGGACTCTAATGTACCCTCTCCCCTGTGGGATCTCACTTCCCTCCCTTCCCTGTAGCCCTTTCTCTCTCTGCCCTGGGCTGAGCAGCTGTCTGGGAAGGGACAGATCAGAGGGTGAGTACATTTCAGGGTGACTCATAACTGTGCTATCAATCCCCAAAGAGCTTCCAGTAACTGTGGATAGCAGGTGAGAGGCCACCTGGGGATGGGATGTCCCCCTGGAGAGTGCGAGGAGCGGTGGGGCAGAGGTGTGGGGAACTTATCTACTCCTACAATACTGACAGCTGCAAACCTGTTTCCATCTGACTAGGCCCCAATTCTGCTATCACCACTGGCTCCAACCTATCTGTGGGGCTTTATCAGCTGGCAGGGCCTGGACCCCAGAAGTCACATAAGAAGGGACTCTAAATCTGGGGCTCAAGTCCTGTCCCCAAGGAGCGCCTGCAGATGGGTAGGCCATCCAGACCAGAAGCTAGGCATTCAGCCAAATTGCCTATAAAAACCAAGACAAGGACTGAGAGAGAAGAGACAGAAGAGTGAGGGATGGAAACAGAGGGAGACAAAAAAAACCTTGTTTCTAACCTACCCAGAGCATGACTGAGGTTTGGTGGGAAAAAAAGGGCATGGGTGGGTTGTTCTGAAGGAAAGTGTAATTTGCAGAAGCAGCAGCCGGCCTGCGTAAATGGATCTGCACACTCTGCAAAGAATTTTCCATGATGGCACGCTTGTCTGTCAGACCATCAAACCACACAGCTCACTGCGCTGCCTCCTCCGGCATTTCACAGCATCTCCGAGGCTACGAAGGCTGTGCAGCATCAAAGTGGAAAGTGGGGACCATCGCATCAAACTCTGGCCAAGGCAGCCCCTGCCCTCAGAGAGCTCTCTGTCTAGCTGGCCAGACCATTTCAATGTGAAATGGCTAAAGGACATTTAGATACTAACAGGCCAACAGGAGAGCTAAAACAAATACTAAGGACCATCCAATGGGTTTCTGAAAACATCAAATCTGTTTGGAGCAAGAGAATGAGGAAGTACCAGGGCCACGTTAATGTTAAACAGATGGCAGAGAAAGCGGAACCACCCAGCTCTCCTTTGGCATCTACCTTTGCTACCTCAGATATCGATCTTGAATGGGACCGGCCTACAAGAAAAGAGTATATAAGAACATACAAGAACATCTTGAAATGATAATTGAATCACTGATCACAGGTGAGGCTGCAGCACCACCTCTGGTCATCCCCATGGAATCATGGGGAACAGGAAAGATGTCAGAAGACAAGCTGTTCCCATTTTTCACAAAAAGGAAAAGAGTGGATTCTAGAAATTCAGAAAACAAACCTGAACTCTTGCAAACTTCAAAATGGGGAGAGGAGAATGTTTGGAACATGCAGAAGAGGAAGTAGTGGGCACTAGAAACTAGCACAGATTCACCCAGAACAAGTCATGCTCAGCTAAGTGCATCTCCTTTTCAAAGGGTTGCAAAGCCTTGAAGTTCTGTGGAATGTAATCCATCTAGATATCAGCAAGGCAGCTAACAGATGGGATTAAAGAAATTCATGTGGACAAGACACAGAAATGTCAGTGGAGCCAGGATTAATTGGGTCCATTCAAAGGCAGACAAACAACCCTAGGAGGTATTGATCATTATCAACCCAGACTGAGTCTCCACCATCATGCTTAAGGCCTGGTTTTCTTCAATATTTTAAACCACAGCACAGTGAGGACAGAGATGGTTTACTAATCCAATGTGCAGTGGATGCAAAATTGGGGATAAGGATGGGATGGGAAGATAGCTAACACATAGCAATGGCAGTATCAAGATTCAAAATCATCTGGCTGGATATAGGGGCCAAAATCAACAACATACAAGTATCCACTTAAATGTTTAAGTCTTATACTTTGGATTGGAAAAGACTGGTAGAGGATTGAAGGGAAAAGTCCCTGGATATTAGCTGACCATGGATCAACAAACAGTAATCCTACTGTCCTGCTGTCACAAGAAAAGTAAATGCAATCTCAGGCTATGTCAACTCCAGGTCTATCCAGGGCTGGGAGGTAACAAGCCCACTGTTGCTTGCAGGGTCAGGCCATATATGGGGCACCTTGTTTCATTCTGGGTGTCAGACTTCACATGATATGCTAACCAACAGGCCAAAGTCCAAGGGGGAGATGGGGTGGCTGTTTTGGATAATGAGTCTACAAAGGGCTACTCCTTGTAGTAATCAATTTCTGATAATGCAAAGTATTTAGACCAGGGTAGCCAGCATCCATCAAGGGTGTTGTGGAAGGTATGTCTGGAACAGGGGTTCTCCACTGGGGTGGTAGTGCCTTTTGGAAGTGTCTGGAAATGCTTTCTAAGGAGGAATGTTGCATGTACCAGGCACTGTTCTAGGCAGTGAGTATACTGCAGTGAACGGACGGAATCCCTGCCCTCCTCTTATGTTTATTCTAATGGGTGATGGGAGATGCTCTGGCATTGAGAAGGCAAGGGGCTAGAGATGCTAAATGCCCTGCAATTCACAGGACAACCACACCCACAAGGCCAAAAATGCTCCCCCTGGGAAATGCTAGTGCCAAAGGTAACCTGTGATTTGGGAATCATTTAGTAAGTGCTAAGGAGACATCAAACAAAAGAACTGGCAAAACAGGGTAACTGAAGAAGGCATTAAGTTTGGGAGTGGGGAGAGGTGGAAGAGCTGGGCTTTCTACCCTTCACCCCACTGATGGTGTGCCCTTTGGGGACCAGCTGGCAGCCTCAGGCCCTGGCTTATCAGGCAGCCACAGCATTATGTGCTTTCCCCATGACTTCTAGTATCCCTCTGTGGTTGCCCAACAAGGGGCGGGCAAAGGAGGCACTGGAGAGAGCCCCTAACTCCCCGGGGCTGCAAGCACTACTCATTCCTTGCAAAGACCCAGTGGTGGCAATTACACCCACTGGGCGGAGAGAGGTTGGTTACCTGGCAGAACTGGGCTAGGTTGTAGACTGTCTGGTTTCAAGTCTGCAAGTTCAAGCCTCCCTGCCTCCATCTGCCTGGGTCTGCCTGCCCCTGGGCTGCCCCACTGCCCCTTGCGGTTGCCTCCTCTGCTGTGGTTCCCAAGCAGCTGGCCTGGGAATCAGCTCAGCTCCACCCAAGTGCTGGTGGAGAGAAGCTGTGCTAGTGCTGCTGTATGTCAGACACCCCTCGCCGGGGCTTTTACACACGTTACCTAACTGGCTCTTCCTGTCATTCTGCCAGGCATCACTTGGCAGAGGAGGAAAGCCAGGCTCAGGGAGCTGAGGTCTGGATGTGAATTTGGGGTGCTAGCTCCCTATTCCCACTGTGTGTATCTGTGGATACCTCACTGATCATGGCTGGGATTATGCAGGAAGAGGAGGGGGCTTTAATTGGTCTCCCAGAACAGAAAAGCTGACCCAGGACTAAGGCCATCACTGGGTTAGGGGAAGGGACATGGGAGAGCCAGGTAAACACCCTGTCAGACAAGGCGTCCCGTCCTCGGGGTTAGGGAAACAGCTTTCGCGGGAGGAGGCGGCCCCTGTTCACTGGCTGGATTCTTTAACTTGGCTCCCAAATTCACACGAGACAATATTTTCATTTTCCATACAAGCCTGGAGAGTAATGGGAAAAGGGGAGCCTGCACAAAGCTCAGGCCCAGCTCTTGTTTGGGAACGGAGTAGAGTTCCCTGTCTCCATCACCGTCACCATAAAGCAGCTGTGATTTACGGAGGGCTTCCTATGTGCCAAGAGTTGGGTAAAGCATTTTATGTGCCTTTAGCTCATTTAGAGAGGACAGATTCTTGCTGGGAAGATACTATAATTTTTTTCCATTTTGCAACTGAGGATTTGAGGCTTACAGAGGTTAAGAAAGTGCTAAAAACAGTGAAGCCAAGACTAGAACCCAGGCCCATCTGGGTCCTAATTGCTGTTCTCCTATCTCCTGTCCCCATAAAGGCCACAGGAAAGAGGCCTGTGCATACTCCCACCCACTTCCCACCAGCTGAAAAAACAGTGCCCTAAAACCAGTCCAGCCACTCTGACCAGCTCTCATGCTGTTGCTCCAGTGAGGAAACAGCCATGTGTGCCCTTGCCCAGAGCTTCAGATGTCCAGCTGCCCCAACCCCACCTTCCCAGGTGCTCACTGTGCTGACTGAGTAATCTTGACTCCCAGACATCCCCTCATCCCCCAAGGATCTGAGGCTTCCCTTGGCAGTGGTGGGGCATCCCCTTCCTGGAGAGAGGGATCTAGATTGGGGCTTTGGGACATGCCACCCACCTTCAGACATGGGCAGGCAGGGCAAGGTGGGGGCTTCCCCTTTACGGGGTGGGGTAAGGGAAACCAAAGTCAAGATGTTAGCCTGTTGGGATCACAGCTATCTGGCACCCATAGAGCTACTCCCGGCCCTGCCTCCAGCTCCACAGCCGCCATCACTTTAGGATCACAGGACTCTTTCTTGCTCTGCAGGATACAGCCTTAACAGTCTTCCTCCATTCCAGCCTCTGCTAGACTCCTGGATTGTCAGTGGTTCATGGGTTAATGGGTTAATGGGTTAATGGGTTCATGGGCCAACCCTCCTTTACCATTCCCAGCTGCATCAATTCTTTTTTCTTCTTTTTTTTTTTTTTTGCGATGAGAGTCTCACTCTGTTGCCCAGGCTAGAGTACAGTGGCGTGATCTCAGCTCACTGCAACCTCAGCCTCCCGGGTTTAAGCAATTCTCCTGCCTTAGCCTCCCGAGTAGCTGGGATTACAGGCAGGTGCCACCATGCCCAGCTAATTTTGTATTTTTAGTAGAGACGGGGTTTCTCCATGTCGGTCAGGCTGGTCTCAAACTCCTGACCTCCGGTGATCCACCTGCCTCGGGCTCCCAAAGTGCTGGGATTACAGGCATGAGCCACCACTCCCAGCAATCAATTCTTAATTCACTGTGTCAAAGCTCACTTGGCCCTGCGGAGGGATGGTAAAATTGGGCCCTGGAAGGGAAAATAGAGCTGACCCTCTTATGTGCGTGTGCTTGGTAGTACAGAAAGAAACTTATCATTCCTCTCACCTCCCTTCCCAGCAACCTTGTAAGGGGTGTGGGCATGGCTATTCATTCTTATTTCATAAATAATACATTGATATTTAAGCACTTATGAAGACAAGCACCTAAATCCAAGCACTTTACTTATCTCACAAAATGCCAGTACCCTCTAAAGTTTACTGTATTTTAGTTTAAAGTATTACTACCCCCATCTTACAGAAGCATTTGCCCAAGGTCACAGAGCTAGTTAGTTGTGGAGCTGGGATGAGGGCCCAGGTGGCTTCTAACCTCTGCACTATCTAGAGACGGGGGTGAAAGGCATGCAGGTGAGCTTCTAGGTGCAAGTGAAACGGCCTACCAGGCAATATCCACAGACATGCAGAGACTCCCCTAGAGTGCCAGCTTCATGGGGACAGGGCCTTTTGTTTTGTTTTTCACTGATGTATTCCCCAAACTTAGAACACTGCCTAGCACACAGTAGCTATTCAACAAATATTTACTGAATGAGTGAATAAATACATTTAAATAAATAAGGGTATATTCCCTGGCCTCAACTAACTTGTCCTCTAGTGCCCCTCCATCCCCAACCACTTCCAGCATCGTTCTGCAGTTGGCTTTTCACTAAATTCATCAGTTAAACAAGGTGGAAGCCTGAAGAGCAAGAGGGCAGGAAGGAGAGGCACAGACCCCAGCGGCGGCGGGGCTCACAGGGGCTGCTGAAACCACCAGCCTCCAACTGGTCTTGGGTTGCAGAGGTGGGGATCACCAGGTTGAGAGGAGAGGGCAGGGGGCAGGAGCTGGGGAAGGGGCAAGGTGAGGGAGGCAGACAAGAGCCCAGAGGAGAGGGTTCAAGATGGGAGAGTAATCAGCAGTGGAGTGGGAGAGGTCCCTCAGGTGACTGGGACTGTCCTTCCTGCAGGGAGGCCTGTCCCCTTGGGAAACTCCACGAGGGCAGTAAATGTACCGAGAGCAGGCAAAGGAACAGAAGAGTCAATAGAAATTGCACATCTACTTCCAGCTGACCACTTTCCTTACTGAATCCCAAAGCCCCTCCTCTCTGAGGGCACTCAATCAATCCCATTGGCAGCAGGGCCTCTGCAGCTCAGGTTTAGCTCTATCTAGGAAGCCACAGGGCCATCTTCCAAATGCAGACCTGTGCTCATGGAAAAGGTGGAACCAACCTGGATTTGAATCAGAGGGGTCTCTCGATGGCTGGCAGCAAGCCTCTGGGTAAATAACTCAGCCTCTCAGCCTTACTTTCTCTGTCTGTAAAATAACACCTACTCTGCACACATGAAAAGAACCTAGGACTCAGTAAGCACTGGATAAATGTATCTGCAATCAATATTGTGATTCACACGTGTGTCCGTCAGGAACAAGACCCTGCAGAGATCTGAGACCCAGGAGCAAAGCTGCTCACCCCCAAAGCTGAAGCAGATGGGCTGGCATGTCCTGGACAAGCAGTAGAGAAGGACTAGGGATTTCAAGCCCTGTGCCTGGAAGACAGGAAAGGGTGAGAACACTGTCCCTAACCTTCTTCACAACTGCCAACTCTTCCCATTTCCCCATTTTAACAGAGAAAACTGTCGATTTTCAGCCTGATCCATCAGCTCCCTCAGGCCACATGGAGGAAGGGACTGTGGTTCCAGAGATGTTCCCTGGCCACCTGATGGCTGGGAGTCAGGGGCAGAGGGAAACGGGCAAGCCCAAGATGCCTCACCCCATCCCTCAGAGGCCCCATCTCTCCTGGCCTCTGCCCCTCAGAGGCTCACAGCCACCCTGGCCAGTTTCTCGTCCAACCAAGCAAGTTGGGCAGGGCTGCTGAGGGAAAGAAATGCCACCACTGGTCCCATCCTGTCTTCACCACTTCCCCCCCATCACCCCTGGCAGCCGCCAGTACCTCCCCAGGTGAGGCTGAGGCCAGGAGGTGTTAGATGGCAGCTTCTCTGAACTCTAGTCCAACTCCCTCCCAGCCCCCACCCAGCGTGAACATGAAGCAAGACAATGGGCAGTGGCTCTCGGTACAGGCTGCCCAGTAGATCCCCTTGGAGGTTAAATAAATGCTATGCCTGGTCCCCAACTGCAGATATTCTGTTGACCTGGCACAACTTTTAAAAAGCTCCAGAAGTGATTCTAATATGCAGGGGCTGCCCTAGTGGAAGCTGACAGGGGGAGGGAGGCTCAGGCCTTCTCCATCTTCCTGTCTAAAAAGGAGTATGCAGGGCAGAGAGAAGGAATTCTTGGTATTTTCCTCACTGCCTCTCCCCCCGGGTCAGGTGACCAGGGTGTGGCTCGGAGGGCAGCTGTAGTTTACGAGCAAGGTATTGGCAAGGGCCCAGTGGTGCCACCCTGATACCTGCACCAGCAGCCAACCCAGCTCGCCTGAGCTTTGTCTCTCCCAGGGAAGGAGCAGATACTGGACGAAAGGCAGCAGGGCCACACCCGTCTCCTCGAAGACCAGAGCTGGGCTGTTGCAAAGCGGACTTTGTTAACTTGTGGTTGCTTATCTCTTTTCTCAGATTTGCTCTGATATCTATCTGGAGTATGGATCACATTTGAGAAGAAGGCAGGCAGGCCAAATCAATGGCTGGAGGCTTTGGTGTGCTAGGACGTCGGCGCAGGGCCTAAAAACCCAGGCTCAGCTCAGCTCTGCCAGTACTGTCTTGAGATCCTCGAAGAATCTTTGATTGCTTTGCCTGCCTGCTTCTCTGTACAATGAGGAGGTTGGACTATGACTACTGGAGTCCCCCTGCCTGGGCAGGTGATACCTCCCCTACCTCCTCTCCATAGCACATTCAAGAAAATGCATTTCTATCCTCAGGACTTAGCTCATCAGTCACCATACTACTTCTTAACCTGGACTACAAACTGAGATCATCTGAGAGAGCTTGGAAAAATACTCCTGCCCGGGTCCTGCCCCTAGAGATGCCAAGAGAAATAGTCTGGGGCTTGAACTGCGAACCAGGATGCTGCAAAGCTCCCCCAGGTGATTCTAATCTTATGTTCAGCCAAGTTTCAAACGCACTGCCCTAGATCCAATCCATTCTCCCTCATTAGGGACTTGAGCGCAGCCCCACCCCTGACATTAGCACGGGGCAGGCTGTGCATGCACACAGGCAGAACTGTCCTCTTGTCCACCTTTGGGCTTCCCCCAGCCTGCCCTCCTGGGCCATCTCTCAGCAGTCTCTGCAGAGCCCAGAGGCACTGCTAGGTCTCACGCTCAGGAGGGCAAGCCCCTGCCAGATGGGAGCAGGTTTTCAGCAGAAACCCTGGGCTTCTGACTTTCACAGGCCTGGGAGCCCTGTCCTCACTGGGAGGAACAAAGAAAACAAGGCAGGTGACCCTGCCCGCATTGTTCTCAGGCTGGGACGGTAATCCCCCAGGGCAGGGGGGCAGCTGGGCATCCCTCCTGTGAGAACAAGCCCAGGGCAGAGCTGACCTGAGGTTGCAGGTTTGGCTAAGGCAAGCAGTGAAGGGCTGGTGGGGCCCAAGCTCAGGATGGAATGTCAGCGTGAGCTCTCAGGCACCTGGAGGGCTGAGCTGATCAGTGACTGACACTGGAAATCCCTGTGCGGGCAGACACAGGGGACCTCGAGGGCCCCTTCCTGGTCCCACAGCACTGCTGTGTGCCTGAGAAGTGGGCCTGGGGAGCAGGAAAGAGCCCCCTCCCTCTCAAACACACATACCAGATGACCCTCTGAGGCCATGCTCTCAAAATCTACCCCTGCCTCATCTTCTCAGGGAAGGTGGGATGTGTCCAGGGAGGCTTAAATGACAAGAGGGACATCCTTCATTTACCTATAGCTTCTCTACCCCAATTCACAACCACTGCCCTGCCCAGGGTGGCTATGGCCCAGGTCCATGGTCCTGTGCTGGTGTCTCTGCCCTATCTGGGACACTGAGGCCTGGATTTGTGACTTTGTCCCCTTCTCTGCCCCCAGAGTTCAGATCCCAGGGGTGTCTGACACCTCTCTGCCCTGAGCGATGCCAAGGGGTGTCTCCCAATTAGTGGGACAACAGTGTCAGTAGGGACAGGAAACAGTTTTAGCTGGGATCCCTTGAGCCTGTCCAGCTGGGCAGAGCAGCCTCCTCCATTCCTCCATAAGGCTGTGGGTCACTAGGAAGAGGCCTTACTTCTAAGGTGGGGTTAGAGAGCTCTAGCCCAAGCCCCTGCACTTGGATTGGGCCCCTGGCACATTGTCCTTTCCAGGGAAGCCAGCAGTGCTCTCAGGCCTGGCTCATTCCTCCCCGACTTGGTTAATAAGGGCCTGAGTTAGCATTTCCCCACCAAAACCCCACATTCATCAAGCACCTCTCACACCCATAACTCCTCTTCCACCGTCTAATCTGAGACCTAAGACCCTGAAGGGAAACCAGACAAAATGGATACACTATTCCCATTCTGTAGATGAGGAATCTATAGAGAGGCTAGAAAGATGGTGAAGCCAAACAGAAAGATGGTGAAGCCAAACAGCAAGCTGGTGACCCAGCAGAGCAGGTGAGGCCCTGTCCACAGAACAACCAGCCCTCCACTTGCCACCCGGAACTGGGCTGAGAAACACCAACCAAAGCACAGCAGGGAATGTGCAGGTAGACACTGGTGACATAGCAGAGATAAAGGGCTGTGCTGTGCGGTCATACCCACGGATCTGACCTGACTATATGAGTTAGGGTAAGCGCGTGCCTACGCTCCCTACCCCATTCCCCTGCAGATGCCTCAGATTTACCTTGACCTTGGGGTGGGGTCAAGGATCAGCTACAGGAAGCCACCAGCCACTCAAGGTTTCTAAAAACAGTCCTTGGAGCAGGCCAGAAAGGTGGCTGTGGGAACTGCTGACTCATCACCTTCCCATCCCGGGCCAATGACCTGAGGGAGGTGCAGTTCCCGGGCCGCCCAGCTGCCCCTCGCGTGCTGGCCTGCTTCCTGTCCTCCCAAACCCAGCTCTGCACTGGCACACAAGCTGGGCTGGCCAGTCTCTCCAACACAAATATCAAGTGTGGGGCCCTCTCTGAGCAGCACAGGGGAGAGGGCAGAGGGGAAAGGCCACATCTGGGTTCAAAATCCTGACTCCAGCATCCACTAGCGGGTTACCTGGGGCATGTCTTATCACCTCTCTGAGCTTAACACTCCGTATCTGGAAAACAAGAGTCATGGCTTCACTGTGTTGGCGCGTCGATTACAAAAAAATGATGAACAGCTCAGTGCTGGGCACATGGGGCGTGTTCCAGAAACGAGCACTGGGAAGGAAAATAAATGTGACTATTATTGCTCTGTGAATAGAACAAGGGGCTTGGGGAGGACACCTCCATTCTGAGGGTCTGTGTCTGCTGCATGTGGCCTCCAGAGCTGGGGAGCTGGGCTAGGTGTTGACAGCAATGCCCTCCTTCCATTTACCACCTCCTGGGCATGGGCCAGTCCCTCCGGCTCAGCAGTTCACCCCCCTGTGCCTTTGCAGGTGCCTTCCTGCAGCTCACTCTTACTTCAATCAGGTTTCACCTGAATGTCCCCTCCTGAAAGAGGCCATGCCACCTGGAATATTAAGCCTCCGTCCCGCTCCCGCTCCTCACCTCACTGCACTCATCACTACCTGACATTCTACTAGGCATCTGTTTCTCTGGCTTCCTAGTTATCTACCCTAAATAGATCATGAGCCCTACAAGGAGAGACTCATGGATCCCTTAATCACAGAACAGAACCTAGCTCTAGTATGTGCTCAAGTATTTGCCAATGAATGACTGAGTCTCCAAGACGTGTGCCTTCCAAGGCTGGACGGTGGGCTCTAGCTCCACTGGAGAAGGCAGGGAGCCCAGACAGGTGCAGGCACAGTGCGGGTTGATGACTGTTTCCAGGCCCCGGGGTCTCCTCCCTACCCTACCTGTTTGCAAGCCCAAAGCCCCCAGAGGTTCTAGCCCTGGTGAGTCAGTTCCCCTGCGGACTCTGGAACCATCAGGATTCCAGAGGAAGCAGGCAGGTGGGTGGCGGGGGTGGGGGGTAGGAGCTGAGGGATACCAGGGTGTTTGAAGGCCTGATGGCCCCAGCTCTCCCCATGCATTGCTGCTGATTTCCTGCCCTTCCAGCAGTGGGAAGGAAGGATGCTCTGATCCATGAGGCTCTTTAGTCCTTGTGGCTGCCAGTCCTGTTCTCCTGGACACATCTGCCTGCCCTGGGCCCCCTTGCCGGGGGCTCTAAGGACAAGTCTCACCACCGCCAATACCGCCAGACTCCTACCTCCCTGGGAGGAAGCTGGCTCCTGACCCTTGTGCCACATTTGTCTCTCTAGGTTACACCTGTATCCTTGAACACAGTTGGGGCTGACACTACCCTACCTCTTGCCTCTCAGAATGCCCCTGACAACCTAGCAAATTCCCCAACCCAGGGGCCTCCTCACCTGCTCTTCCCTCCTCCCTCTCCCCCTGTGCCTGTGGCTGGCAGCTTAGGGTAATAAGTAACTGCCATCCTTGAGGGCTGAGGTTCTGATAAGAGATTATTAAGCCTACCCATTTATTACAGTTTGTTTAAGATTATCAAGTGGTTAAACTGTAAACCTCTTCATTAATTAAAAAAGAAAAGCCTATGAGGAACCAGGATGGGATTAATCCTGTACCAGGGGTGGGGCCACTGGGTTTCTCTACCCCTATGAAGTAAGCTCCCTGCCTGCTTAATACACAACATTCCCCTTCCCACCCAAACCGGGCCCCCAGGGAGCTCATTCAAGGAGCTGGTTTTCTCATCCACCCACGGCCTCTGAGCATGATCTTGCCCCCATCTTTCTTCTCAAAGCCCCCTGCAGGATCCTCCTGAGAGCCAACCACCTGTCCCGAAATCCTTCCTTATTGTCTGACTCTAACCTAAATCCCTCCGGCTGCAGTCCAAGCCCATTTCCTTTGGTTCAGTCTGCGTCTGAGACAGACAACAGCTGGCCTCCATCCTCTCTGGAATAAATTGTATAAGAAACTACCAGCAAACCAGCACAGACATCTTGGGATGGATGGCATTCTGTGCAGGGGGGGAGGGGGCTTTCTGCCATGATGACCCCCAGATCCTGAACGCAAACCCCACCAGAAGACTGAGTCACAATTAGAGACAAGAGCAAGATCTCGATGCCCAACAACCTCAAAATCACTGGGCAAGATGCAAAAGGAGGCTGGGCACAGTGGCTCATGCCTATAATCCCAGCACTTTGGGAGGCCGAAACTGGCAGATCATCTGAGGTCAGGAGTTTGAGACCAGCCTGACCAACATGGTGAAACCCCATCTCTACTAAAAATGCAAAAATTAGCTGGGCATGGTGGTGCATGCCTGTGGTCCCAGCTACTCAGGAGGCTGAAGCAGGGAGAAGTGCTGGAACCCGGGAGATGGAGGTTGCAGTGAGCTGAGATCACACCACTGTACTCCAGCCTGGGTGACAGAGAGAGATTCAGTCTCAAAAAAAAAAGCAAAAGGAGTATTTAGGAGTATTACCCTAAAGTTCAGGCTCCCTGACTCAGATCTCAGGCCACACATCAGTTACCCCAGGGGCTCTGGTCACCAAGGCCCCCATTTGGAAACCACAGGGTTGCAATTCAAAGACGATCCCCAAATAGTGTAGGAAAGAAGAGGGAGCCTATACATGTGGCTGCTATCCCCTGACCATGCACTACCCCTGCCCTCACCATCCAGGTATGCCAGGAAGCAGACAGGCCAGCCAGGCACAGCTGTCCTGCCTCTTCTGCCCTGTATGCATTGCCCCCGCCCACCATCCATCCCCAGCCAACTGGGGCGTGGGACGTGACTGGGATTAAGAAACAGAGCCATTTTGTGCTGAAGGTATGGAAAAATACTGCCAGGCCCTCCTAGTACAGAGAGGCTAGGCTGAGGTGAGGGATGGGGTGGGGGTTGGAAAAACCTCCAACTCCCCTAACCTGGGGCCCAGGATGAGAGGCCAGGCAACAGGAAATGGAAATTCTTCACTCTGAGACATAGCCCCATTGTGAAATGCGAGAGGCAGAAGGAACGAGGGCCATGCCTCAGACACACACACATCCTTTCTCTCCTCCACAAGGGCTGGGATTTTAAGCACAGACGTTTCCAAGCCTGTTTAACCCCTAACACCCAACCAGGCTCTGGCAAGGCCTCAGCCTTCCTGGTGGAGTGAAAGAACATTTGACAGATGAGCCTGTATAGCATTGGCTACTCCCTAGCCTGGAGTCATGACTGCGCTTTCTTCACCTGTAAAACGGGAACGATGCCACCTCCTCATCAATTCTCAAGGTTATGGATCAAAAGGCTCGATAGAGAGCAGGAAGGCTGGTGCATAGGCAAGTTAGAGATGCTCCCGATGCATGAACTTGTTTACAAACGTCCAGGGTTGTGGGGTAAGAGTGCTTTGTATGTGGCCGGGAGGATATAATGAAAGAAGGGAAAGTAATGTGCCAGGTTTCTAAGTCAGGCAGGGGAGCAGGCCCTATGCCTCACACAGCTGCATCCTGTCCCCCTGTGAACTGTTTTCAGTGAGTGGTAACAGGGGCAGCCACTTGTCAGACTTGCCCAGGGAGGTCCGTCTCCCCTCAAGCCTGCTGAAGCAGAGCCCTTCATCCCGGGCTGCTGAGAGCTAAACAACTGACCAAGCAGTGGACTGCCAGGACACAGTCCCTTGGCCCTCTCCCCATGTGTAAAATTAGGCTCCTGGCTACTTCCCAGGAAGAGTAGGGGAACAGGAGGGCAAGGTGGTAGAACAGGGGGTTCTCGTCACCTTCACTCCCCCTAGGGACCCCTGGGCCATGCCCCTCTTTGGAGGCACAAAAATGTAGCTGGGCACACCTGCTATAAATGCCAGATCTAGCCAGGCACCAGCTCCCCGACCCATGCACAGGGCAACCCACCCAACCTATTAACCCAACAACGATGGGGCCAGAGTCATGGACAAACTTCTGTTGCTCAATGAAGCTCAAACCAGGGTCGACTGATTCATCAAGTGTTTGCTGAACACCAACCATGTGCCCAGGCACTGGGCAAAATAAAGGAAGTGCAAGACACAGACCCTGCTCAGGAGGATCTCATAGTTTAACAAGAGACAGGCAGGAGTCGGGAAAGAGGGACATGACAGCAGAAGATGGCAGAGAAAGCAGCCAACAAACCAACAGCGAGGCCAGGACAGTCCCAGGGGCTCACTCCATGCTCCTTCAAGCCCAAGCAATGGAGCATGAAGCAGAGCAAGAAGCCAAAACACAGATGGGGAACTGAGGCTCAAAAGACATGAATGAACAAGGACCAGAGCAATTTCCCAGTCAGGTGTTCCACCCATCCTAAAAACAGTGCCCGCCCCTCCTCCCCTTCCCCTACTCCACCTTTCCTGGCCCGGGACCCCCACCATGGGCCCTAAAAAAACCTGGAAAACTGAAAATTTTAGCCGTCCCCTTCTTCCATTCCTTCTAGATTTGTGGTGGGAAGATAGTTTTCACCCTAAGAAGAGAAATACCTGCTTAGCTGGTAAAATCACCTGATCAGTGTACATTATGAACCATAAGAGCTGAGGGATACTTGGTGCTTCCCCGCAGAGTGGGGAGGCTGGGCTGGAGCAGGCCATTAGAAGGAATCTGGAGACTATGAGCAACAAGTCAGAGATCAATGAAAAAGGATTCTCTTTCTACAGCCTGGTCCACCTCCAAGGGAGCCACTGCTGAACAATCTGAGTCCACGAGGACTGACCTGGCAAGGCAATCACACGGCTTGCACAAACACATGCTTTCTGTCAGCTGGTCCAGGGGGTGCGCTCGCCTCGGCTGTGCTTACAAGTTTTCCAGTGGATAGGACCAGAGCAGAAATGAAAGCTGACGAGGCGCAGAGGGAGGCCAGATGTGGCATTAGAAACCTCGGGTTCTGGCCCAATACTCTAGTACTGCCCAAGAGAACTCTCCGATGATGGAAATGCTCTGTATTTGCGCAGTCCCCACTGGCTACGGAGCACTAGAAATGTAGCCAGTGACTGGAGAACTAAAATTGAATTTTATTAGTTTTAATTTTAAATTAAGCAGGCAGGCTGGGTGCGGTGGCTCATGCCTATAATCCCAGCACTTTGGGAGGCCAACGTGGGTAGATCACATGAGGTCAGGAGTTCAAGACCAGCCTGACCAACATGGTGAAACCCCGTCTCTACTAAAAATACAAAAATTAGCTGGGCATGGTGGTGAATGCCTATAGTCCCAGCTACTCTGGAGGTTGAGGCAAGAGAATCTCTTGAACCCAGGAGACGGAGGTTGCAGTGAGCTGAGATCGTACCATTGCATTCCAGCCTGGACAACAAGAGCAAAACTCTGTCTCAAAAAGAAAAAAAGAAAAGAAAAAATTAAATTAAGCAGGCAGGCCAGGCACGGCGGCTCAGGCCTGTAATCCCAGCACTTTGGGAGGCTGAGGTAGGCAGATCACTTGGAAGTCAGGAGTTCAAGACCAGCCTAGCCAACATGGTGAAACCCCGTCTCTACAAAACATACAAAAATTAGCCAGGTGTGGTCGTGCATGCCTGTAATCCCAGCTACTCAGGAGGCTTGAGGCAGGATAATGGCTTGAACCCAGGAAGCAGAGGTAGCAGTGTGCCAAGATGGCACCACTGCACTCCAGCCTGGGTGACAGAGAGAGATTCTGTCTCAAAAAATAAATAAGTAAGCAGGCGTAATGATTAGTAATATCAAGTCAAAAAGGTAAAATTGCATAGCGGCATGTGGGTAGTGACTACCATACTAGTACCAAGACTGTATCAAGCACATCCTACCTGCAGCCTCCTTTGGCAGAGCCTGCCTCCCCTGGACCCTCAGGATGACCCATGCCATGGGCCACTGTCCATAGCACATTCCTGACTTTGGATTACAAACAGTCCTGTGCTGTTTCAAGTCTTGCCTGTGCTTGTGTTTTTCGTTCATCTGAAGGACAGGGCAAGTCTTGGGCCCCCACGGGACCGGGTGGAGCTGAGAGCACAGTGGGTCCAAGGCTGCACTTGTCCATGGGCCTCTGCAGGACTCCCCTCCCAGACCACACCCCCACCACCTTTGTGTGGGAAATGGATCAACACTGGAAACAGCCGGATGGGTGTCCCTGGCCCTGCCACACTCTCTTCTTGGTGACTCTCTGTCCTGGTATACTACCTCCAACTTGGTCTGCAGACCAAAGGCTCACCTAGTTTCTCTTGTCCTTCTCCTCAAAGCATTCCACAGCACTGCTGCCAAGGAAGCTAGCAGTCTGCTAGCTAAATTTAAAGACTCAAAAGACAAGAACGAACTAGGCTCGAAAGACATGAATGAACTAGGACCAGAGCATCTCCCAGTCAGGTGTTCAATACAGTCCCCGGGAACCAATCCAGGTTGGTATCCTTGGAGGGGGATTGGTTCCAAGACCCCCTGTGGATACCCAGATCTGCAGTGCTCAAGTCCCACAGTCAGTCCTTTGGAGCCCACAGATACGAAGGGTCAACTATACACTGTTAGTGATTACAAAAGTGATACTGGTTTTCAGAGTATGTTCTGCTAAAACCAGATGTTTGTATACCTCACACATTAAAAATAACCAGTGTGGAAGTGGGTAATGGTACATGCATGTATTTTATCCCTTAAAAAATTGAGTTATTTGTTATAAAAGCAATACAACCACATTACAGAAAATGTGAGAGGCAGAGAAAGAAAAAGTCATCAATAATCCTGTCTCCCCAACTCGGCCCTGCCTGGCTTCTGTTTTTAAATTGAGTTTCTATGACGCAATATTAACGGAGAGAACCACACACTTTAACTTGCATCTTCCTGCTTTCCTCACCCTCCTCATCTTGATTTTGTATAACTTGAAGTCTGGTTCATGCCTCAGGCCCACTTTGAGAAACACCAAATGGAAGCACCAGGTCCCTATTCCAGCCTGTCTAAGGGTCTCCCATGCCACAGGCCAGAGCCCACCAGTTCAATAAGCACAGATTAAATTGTGTGCAGAGCAGTGGGGAAGAGGGGTGTAAGAATGTGTATACACGGGTGGGAAGCCGGCCTCAGGCAGCTTAGAGTCTAGGGAAAATTTTAAGATGTGTACACAGGCTGGGTGTGGTGGCTCACACCTATAATCCCAGCATTTTGGGAGGCTGAGGTGGGCGGATCATGAGGTTAGAAGTTCCAGACCAGTCTGGTCAACATAGTGAAACCCCATTTTCCAGACCAGCCTGGCCAACATAGTGAAACCCCGTTTCTACTAAAAACACAAAAAATTAGCCGGGTGTGGTGGTGTGGGCCTGTAATCCCAGCTACTCAGGAGACTGAGGCAGGAGAATTGCGTGAACCCAGGAGGTGGAGGTTGCAGTGAGCCGAGATCGCACCACTGCACTCCAGCCTGGGTGATGGTGTGAGACTCTGTCTCAAAAAAAAAAAGATGTGTACACAATAACCCCAACGGTGGGTAGGTGGAGATGGAGGGTTTGACCATATGCAGCAGCTCTCAGTCTCAGAGCATTCCAAAAAGAGAGGCTGTGCCAAAACTGAGTTCTGTGAACTCTGAATTTCCAGTGTGGTTGGTGGTGACAGGAACCTTCTAGAACAGGACCCAAAAGTACCTGCCTCGGCTGTGGGAGCCTGCCCTGGGTTTAGATAGACATGCTCCCAGAGTGATGCTGACACATGCTTTCACCAGGCAACCTACTGACCTGTCCAAACAGAGCAGAGTGTCCCCAGCTAGGAGGGCACTGCATGGATGACGGGCAGAGGGGTATGGTCAGCACCAGCACATCTGCTGGCTTGGGGGAGAATCTGGCCCGGCAGGACACCCACTGCAGGGGCTAGTGACAGTTTTCCAGATTGTTTCCCAGGAGGTGGGCCCAGCTGAGGGGCAGAGGAGGGCTCTGTTGGTGCTGCCTCTGGGCTTGGGGGCTGTTGGGAGACAGGACAAAGGAGAGAGAGAAACACGGCTTCATGGTTCAGGACATTCATTAATAATTACCCTCATGCTTGGTGCTAGGTTTCGGATCCAATCAGGTAAAAACCGAGGGCTTGTAGGGAGGGAGGGCAGAGAAGGGTGCAGACCAGGCAATAGTCCCCGTGCAATGTCCTCTGACACGGGGCAGGGGAGCCTAGAGAGCAATGCAGCTAGAAAGGAGGCAACCCCCAGGCCAGGGTCAGGGGAGCCACCTAAACAGCCCAAGCCTACAGGAACTTTTCTACCTTGAAGCACACAGGCCCTCACAATATGCCCCAACCCCACTCAATTCATAATATGCATTGCATGGTGATACCTTCCCACCAACCCCAAAGGCAGAAATGATGTCCAGTACTTCATTCCCACAACCCTTAATCCAGCACTGGGCATACAGCGGGCACTAAGTGTTTAATTGGCCTTATTGAACAAGTGCTTAGCTCAGAGAGGTGCAGTGACCTGGCCTAAACACACAGCAAGTCAGCAGAGCTGGCCCAGGACTCAGCTGTCTTCTAGTCTCCCAACTGTGGGTGAGTCCAACTCTCTGGGCCATGCATTTGGGTGGATTGCAGGGCTGAGGCTAGAGTCTGGAAGATGGGGGAGGTGAGGTGTTGAAAAGCTGTTAATCAGGACACCCTCCCTTTTCCTGCTAACCCGGGGGGTGCTGACAAGACACTACTGCCTCGGCTCACCCCACTTCGCCCACTCAGCACTTATCCCCTTGGCGAGAGGCAGCCCTTCCACTCGCTGCTCTGAAGGGGGCAGGGATGCTGAGAAGAGAAGGGCACCCTTCCAAAGCTAACACTGTCAGGATGCATTCCACTGCCCGGGAGGTGAGAATTTTATTTGAACAGGAGTGATAGGGAAGGTAGGGGATGGACGTCTTTCTCCTCCAGAGAGTCTGTGAATAGGTGCCTACCTCCATCCCGCACTGGGGGCATGAGAGGAGCAGGAACCTTGCATTAGACACAAAGGGTACCCAAGCCAAAATAAACATCCATAAAGGGCCCCGCCCTGAGGTCCTTGGCATGCTACAGAATAACCTGTTCCAAGCCATGTGGGCAAGACTAAAGCGATACCCTCCCAAGGTGCAGACCACAGTCCAGCTAGAGGTTAACCCTAGGGAAACCAAATGAGTGGATGTGACACAGCATGGGTTTAGCTGACTGGCAGGTCAGACAGAAACACAGCTAAGAGGCAATTCTATCTCCCTTACGTGATTCCTCCTTGGGGGTTTTAGTCTCAGGGTCCCCTGACCACAAACCTGTCAAGCAGCAGGCGTTAGAAGCAGTAAACAAAAGTCAGGGGCCTCTTAGGGCTGTCAGGATAGTCGTAGGGGGAGGGGCTGGGGATTGAGTTAACAACCCCACCTCTGAGCTGTGGCAGCCACTTATATAGCCAAAATGTCAAACAAAACTATATATGGGGCCGGGCGTGGTGGCTCACGCCTGTAATCCCAGTACCTTGGGAGGCCAAGGCGGGCAGATCACCTGAGGTCAGGAGTTGGAGACCGGCCTGGCTAACATGGCGAAACCCTGTCTCTACTAAAAATACAAAAAAATTTGCAGGGTGTGGTGGTGCATGCCTGTAATCCCAGCTACTCAGGAGGCTGAAACTGGAGAATCGCTTGAACCTGGGAGGTGGAGGTTGCAGTGAGCTGAGATCGTACCACTGCACCCCAGCCTGGGCGACAGAGTGAGACTCCATCTCAAAACAAAACTAAACAAAACAAAAACAAAAAAACTATATATGGTCAATGTGGTCAGAAAACAGCAGTACTTTGGTGTCAGAACCTGGAAGACTGAACAGTGCAGAGCTGGGCAGCAAAGGGGCCAGCTAACACGCGCACGGGGCACTTCTTGGGTGCTGGGAGTGATGGGGTGTGTGTGGAAAACCCAGTCTCAAGGAGCAGCTTGTAGCCTAGCAAGATTCGAAAGACTGGCAGCAATTTAGGATACGGCAGCCTCTACTGCAGCTGCAGAGCTCTGGCTCTGGACTCAGAGGGCCTGGGTTCAGGCCACTAACTAGCTATGTGACCTCCACTAAGTTACTTACCCTCTGCCTCAGTTGCCTTGCAAAATTAGGTTCCCCACAGTGCCTGTCACTTATCATTGTTGGGAAGTCGACATGATGTAGGCCACGGCAGCTCCCGTTACGGCTGTCATGCGGGGCTGGTGTGACTATCCTTGCTACCACCTCCCAAAGTCCTTTCTGTCATCAGTGGATACGAACGTTGAGTTCTTTGTAAAAGTTGAAACTCACTGCCGGGCGCGGTGGTGGCTCACACCCCTAATCCCAGCACTTTGGGAGGCTGAGGCGGGCAGATCACCTGAGGTCAAGAGTTCGAGAACCGCCTGACCAACATGGAGAAACCCCGTCTCTACTAAAAATACAAACTTAGCTGGGTGTGGTGGCACATGCCTGTAATCCCAGCTACTCGGAGGCTGAGGTGGGAGAATCGCTTGAATCCGGGAGGCGGAGGTTGCAGTGAGCCGAGATCATGCCATTGCTCTCCAGCCTGGGCAACAAGAGCAAAACTCCATCAAAAAAAAAAAAAAAAAAAAAAAAAGAAAGAAAAGAAAAAGAAACTGGCTATTAGTGTGCAGGGGTGTGGAATGCCTCTCCTCTGTTAGGAGCTGGCCCCTGGAGTTTCCTGTCTGTAGTGTGGCTGACTGGGATCAACGGCAGGGGTCCAGAAAGGCGAGATCACACAAGCAGCAGAGTCCAAATCACTCAGGGCCACAGCCAGGGCTTTGGCTTAGTCTAAGGGCAAAGGAGGAGATGCTGGCGGGTCTTCTGAGTTTTGAGATCACGATCTCACTGTCAGGATCCTTGACTGCTGGAGCAGTGATCTGATGGGAGCCCTACTAGGACACGTGGCAATCCCCTTTCAGCTCATCTCTTCTTTGGGGCACTGCTTCCAAGAAGCCTTCCCTAATTGCCCCCACTTAGCTCTAATTGCTCTTTTATTGTACTTCCCCCACCCCTGGTGAGCAGAGTAACCTTGGGCAAGTTACATAACCTCCAAAGGTCTGGGCCTTGACTCAGGAGGCTGGAGGCCAGTTAAATAACCACTAAGCTCCCTCCAGCCTCACATTTTATGATTTGCCGCCACGAGAAATGCCCAGAGCGTGAGCCACCCCCTGCCAACCTCCAAGACAGGCTGGAGAAACCAGCCAACAGCTCCTTGGGCGCAGACGCAGGAGGAGCAAAGTCCAGGGCTGGAGAGACTCCCTGGGGAGCAGGGAGGCATCGGATCCTTTCTGCCTGAGGCCCTGGCTGGCCCAGAAAAACATCCTCCTTTCCCAGCCTGGGGTTCAACACAATTTCAACTTTTGCCTCTTATCTGGAAAACTAGTGGGAGGAGAAGCTGGTGCTCAAGATCACAGGAACGGGTGTGTTGGGGCAGGTTAGGAAATCAGGTAGGTCAGTTTAGTGTAAGTAGAAGGAGTCTGCACCCCAAAATACCATCAAGAGCTTTTTTGACTTACAGGCCTTTTTTTTTTTTTTTTTTGAGATGGAGTCTAGCTTTGTCACCCAAGCTGGAGTGTAGAGGCGCGATTTTGGCTCACTGCCACCTCCGCCTCCCAGGTTCAAGCGATTCTCCTGCCTCAGCCTCCTGAGTAGCTGGGAGTACAGGTGCCCACCACCACGTCCAGCTAATTTTTGTATTTTTAGTAGAGAGAGGGTTTCACTGTGTTGGCCAGGCTGGTCTTGAACTCCTGACCTTGTGATCCACCCGCCTAGGCCTCCCGAAGTGGTGGGATTATAAGCATGAGCCACCACGCCCAGCCTATGGGCCATTTTAAAAGGGATTAGAAATAAAGTGAGAATGACCCAGAGAAGAAAGGCCTGGATCTGGGTAGGCCGTGTTGTTAGAGTAATCTGAACTTGGTTCTAGAGACTGTTCTGCCCCCAGCTAATCCTCACCAGGCCTTGGTGTCCCCATCTAGTGAATGGGATGGCATCCATTTGGCTGCCAGACCTCCCAGAGTCAGGCCCACAAAAGTCATAGAAGGGAGGTCTCAGAAGAATGGGTCCGCAGAGACCCATGGTAAGGGCAGGTTGGGATGCACACGAGCACAGTCTGTGTAGCTGCAAGCCTCTTAGAGGACTGGGTGGTGTACCTGGTGCTGCTGGCAACACCCTGCAAATACTTCTGCTCCTTCCCCCTGGAGTGGTGCAGGCTCCAGTCATGCCAAAGGTGCCCCCAGCTAGGGAACTGCCCTTCTCCACTGCAAACAGTGTGGGCCTCCCCGCCAACTGCACTTCTCAGAAGCCTCTGAAAATTAAAGAAGTCTTCACAAGGAAGGGTCAAGGGGATGTTTTTCTCCTGCCCCAGCTCGTCCAACTTGCCCTCTTGGTTTCCACAGAGAGGCAGGGACCAGGGCTGATTCTCTTGCAGCAGTCCTTGAACAGGTCTGGACACACAGTATGTGCTTAGTAAAATATCTGCTGAATGAGGAGCTGGATGGTTTGCTCTGTCTCAAGTTCCTTGAAAGCAAAAACCACGGCTGCCCTCCAGCACCAAGGGCAGACCTGCTCAGTGTACTCTTGCTGACCTCTGCTGCCTGGGCCTTATTTCACAGGGGAAAGGAATTCGGGAAAAGTTGATGGAACAAGGGATGGGGGATAGGGGAAGAAGAAGAGGGGGCTCCTGGAGATAAACAGACTCAGGCAGGGAGAGCAGTTTATTCTGTAAAGTCCCTCCCTCAAAGGGGAGAGGATAACAATAAGCTGGTCTTGAAGGCTGCCTCGAGCTGGAAGCTGCACTGAGTGAGCTTTACAGGCATTTCCTCTTGCGAGGGGGGTATAATTAGTTCCATTTTCAGATGATGCAATGTGCTCAAGGCCTCACAATTTGTAAAGGCAGAGAGGTGGTATTAAATCCCAGGTGTGACTTGAATACCTGTCCTTAACCAGGTTCCACTCCAGCCTGGGCAACAGAGTGAGACTCTGTTTCAAAAAATAATAATAATAAAAATAAAATAATGGCACCCCTACCCCTTCCATGACTTAGAGCCTGTGAGACCAAGGACCAGAGTCTGGGCCTGGGGCACCTGGCTTCATTCACTCTGCTGTGACCTTGCAAGAGGCTTGGCTGCACTGACTAGACTTCCAACCAAAAGGGCCACACAGCTTTTGGCATCCCCCTGAGCTGAGCACAGTGCTGGACAGACGGACACAACAAACTGAGCAAGACTGAAATCCACACACTCACTGAGCATCCTGAGAGCTAGGCCTGGCAACACAGGCCCAGGGCTGGGAAGACATGGCCACTGCCCACGAAGGTTGCAAATGGTCTAGCTGGACCTAACTAGCACTCCAAGCCTTTCTGAATGAATGGACGAGTCCAGAGAGGGAAAATATGGCCAGGGGCACACAGCATAAACCGGAGTACAGGTAAAAGTAGAACACAGGTTAGAATCAGTTTTCTGCTACACAGTAGTTCAGATGAGGGTTCCTCATCCCTAGCCCCAAGCACAGAAGCACTCAGACAAATGGAAGGGGGCTCTGCTGTGTCCTCCCCACCCAGTGTGGCCAACAAGGCCCCTGGCAGCCCTGCAGGACTGGAGACTACACCGTTGAACAAAGGGGGTCCTGCTACCAGCTGCACAGCTTCTCTCCCAGACTCAGGGGGCAAGCATCCCCGCTCATAGCAGGGGCCCAGCTAAGCAGCTGCAGCCAGATTACAGTGGGGCACGGGAGGTGACAACAGCCAGAAGTACACAGCCCTGCCTAAATATTTCAGCAGGAAACCCAAATATTTAGATGGAGGAGAGGAAAAAGAATGCACATTTCAAAGCCAATCAAAGATGAGAGGGGAGGTGGGTGGTGTCTGCCTCGAGTGAGGGCCCAGCTCTGATCCCAGACCCTGGGTAACCATCATCCCAGGAGAATACCCATGAGACCATCTGGACGCAGGAATTCTCCAGAAAATTTTTAACCAAGGCCTGGGACAAGCCAGGACTGAGCAGAGCCCTGCTAGAAGAGAGAAAGAAGGAAACCGTCCCTATTTTTAGGTGTTGACCATCAACTGTTTTAGGTGGTTAATTTGCAGGACACAGAAAACAGTGGGTGACTGACTCCAGTAGGAGAAACTTGATGGGTTTTATCATGTTCCCTTGTCCCCATCTCCAGATTAGGAGCTCACTGCATGATGGGTCCTGCAGGGTGGTGTCAGGGACAGAGTACACAGAGGAACTGGGTACAGGAACAGCAGTTAATACGTAGCCAGTCACCTGTTACATGTGCCAAACACACTAACATGTTAACATAGACCCTATGGGCATGACGGACATACCGTACTATTATCCCATTTTGCAGATGAGATGACTAGCTCAATGAAGTCACACAGCTCAGTATCCTGAACTCTTAGCCCCATGCACCCTAAGACTCTGAGGACACCACATATGCCCTGCACTTTCTCGCCTCTATGCTTTGCTCCCTGCTTTGCCCCACCTTCAAGGTAGCCTCACATAGAAGAGAATAGTTCACAGTGTGAGCTCTGGGTTCAAAACCTCATCCTTCCACTTCCTAGCTACATAGCCTCAGACAAGTTATTCAATCTCTATGGTCCATTCTGTTGCTTCTACTGTGAGGTCGAGCTGATCACAGAATTTACTGCAGAGGGTGGCTGCCATGATTCAGTGAGATGATGCACATCAGTGGCTCCCACAGCCTGTGGCCCCCACAGCCTGTGGCCAAGTAAGTGCTTGTAACTATTGGTTGCCCAAGCCTGTCACTCCCAGCCCCCGACTCCACCTCCACTTATGGACAAGACCGAAGCTTCCAAGTCAACAAGAGGGATTCAATCTCAGTCCTCTATCCAACAGTGTAGACCTAGGCAAGTCACCTGGCCTCTGGTTTCCTGTCCAATGGGAATAGCAATACCTAGCCCACAAAACTGGTTCAAGGAGACACAGGTAACATCCCAGCCCAATGTCTGGCACCTGGTAGGCACTCCACAGAATGCTCACAGGGCTACTGCCCATGCCACTCACCCTCCAAGCCTGCCTTCTTCTAAGCGCAGAAGTAAAAATTCATCTCTCGCCCTGGTGCACACCTGGAGTCCCCAGGTGCACTTACCAACATCAATCTGGTAGCAGCTCCTTACTATTCTTCCTCCAGGTTAGGGGCCCCCTGAGGGCAGGGGCTGTGTTTTGTTTGGAGCCAGGTCTTCCACAGGCCAAGGAGTTTGGCTACAGGCCTCAGAAAACAGAAAATGAATCCCCCCAGCCCCTTCAACATTTGCCCATCTCTCCAGCCTCTTCCATCTACAACCCACCACTGAGCACTTTGGACTGTATTTCCTCTCATTTCACCACTGCGGCCCAATTATCTTTCCTCAGCTGCACTGATCTCCAGAGGGTTAAAGACTCTCCAATATCTGAGGTTTCATCAAGCACAGAAAGGATAGCCAGTAGGGAGGGCCCGTTCTGTGTTTCCAACTCCACTGTATCCAGGTCTCTGAGGTTCAGAGATTGGGATAACTGCTCACCAGAAGCCTAGAGGCCTTAGGCAGCTGAACAGAGCTACAACTGGAGCACACCACCCCCACTTCTACATAAAGGGATAGCGAAGATGCAATCTGGGAAGGTCACCAAACGGGAGACGGAATGTCTTTGGCTGGGCCAGGGACCCAGACCTGGACCTAAGGGGCTCGTAGTAGGAAAAGAACTAGAGTGTGAAGGTCAGTGGGTTTTTCTGGGGGCTGTAGGCAATATGAGCTTTCTGGGAAAACCCACACTACATCACATCAGCAGGAGAAAGGAAGGAGGGGGTGTCCTTATCAGAACACCCACAGAGTGAAGGGATCAGCCCACAGAAATGTCGTTATTTTAGAGTAGAATGTTCCACTTCTTTTAAGCTGTAAATGGCTGTGGAGGAAACTTTCTGAAATGTTGTTCCCTCCCCTACTTGAAAATTGCAAAAATTTGATGGAGTTCAAATTCCTTGGCAACCCAGAAGAGCTTAGTCATGTGACTCTCACCTCCCTGGCCTGTGGCTACAGCCTGTTGGGTCCATCCTGCAGAACACCTCCCCAAGGGCTATGGGCAAGAGACAGCCACCATCCCCATCCCTTTTCTAGTTCTTTAGAAGTTTGGTTGATACACACCCAGAAGTAGGAGCACTGCATCACTCAGTAGTTCTATTTTTAATTGAGGAAACTCCATACTATTTTTCACAGTGGTTGTACCACTGTACAAAGCAAAAGAAATACTATATGACTCCACTTAGGAGACATCTAAAGTAGTTAAGTTCACAGAAACAGAAAGGAGAATGGTGGTTCCCAGGGGCTGGGTAGAGAGGGAGAAGAATTGTTGTTGAAGGGGGTATAATTTCAGTTTTGCAAAATGAAAAAGCTCTGGAGATCTGTTTCATAATGGTAAATATACTTAACACTACTGAGCTGGGCTTTTAAACGTGGCTAAAATGGTAAATTATATGTTTCTGTGTTTTTTGCGTTTAAAAAATTCAGTTGACGTTCTCTCTGTTCTAGGAAGACCTTCCTGATTCTTTGTAATACCAATTAGATTCCCACCACACCTGTGCAGGGACCGCTCCATTGCAGCATAGGAATATCTGGGCATAGCAGAAATGGCAGCTAACACTTAGTGAGCATTTACGATGTGCCATACACTATTCTAAGCAAACTATGGTGTGGCTTCAGAGGCCACTCCCACAACCATCAGACATACTGCTTGGTTGGTGATTCCTTCAGCAACACCACCAAGGCCCCGCAGTGGCAGCTGGACAAAGATCCCTACTGAGGGCAGCACATCCTCTCTCTATGTACAGCCATACTTGGGAAGAACTGAACAGGCAAGGGTTCCTCTGCGTTATTCCAGAGGTCCCTGGGGACTCAATGAAATCTCAAAGAGATTCGCTTCCATCTTCTCCACTCCCTACAAGGAATATTGGAAGGAGGCAAACCTATTTCATGTGCTTTCCTATGGTCTCCTACCTCACTTCTCTGTACCACCCCAGTTCTGGCCAACTGGTTCTTGCAGCACCATGCAAATACAGCATCCCAATTTGGACAAAGACTGTCTTGGAGGCTCCACTCAGGGGCCTGGCTCCTCTGCTCCCCAAAACCTTGCACTTCTCTCCCTCCTCCCACCACCACCAACCACACACACAGTTCAGAGGCTGAGCCCAATCTGCCAGCAAACAGCCAAGTTCAAGATGAAAGCCTTTGGCCCGAGGTCAGGGCCAGCCAAGCACAGCATCCAAAACCGGGGGATTTTGTTTCTTCTAAACGCCAGACTATAAATAGGGCAAAACCCCAGGAAAATATTTAAAAGCAACAATCATCACCTCCTTTGCATCCCCCACCCCCACTGGAAACTTTCAACACTTGCTAATTTCTACCCTCAATAATTCTCTATTACTGTGCCATCTGTAATCATCCTAAGGGTTCTAGTCAAACGCTCAAAGCAATGTAATAAACATTTACTTTCACTGTTAAAAAACTCTAACCAGAGCAGTTAACTAAGGCAGACTAAGGCTTTTTTTTTTTTTTGGCTACCCTCAACTTTTGAGTGGAACATAAATAAGAAACAAGCCATTAGGAAGGGACCTCTTCAATTTCCTCTCAAAAAACCAGCTTATCCACTTTCCACTTCTGCAGTCCTAGCCAGTAAGAACTCAAGCTCGGACCCAAGGCTGTGGAGGCCTCCAAGATCCTCCATAACCAAAAGAGCTATTGTGTTCCTTTTACTTACAAAGGCGGTTAAGTGGACCAGTGCATTTCACAATTTCCAACAAGGCCTGAGACAAAGAGGGTGTTTATATTAACCCTCAACTTTCCAAAAAATTCAATGTACCCCATTCTAAGCATTTTGGCCACATGTAATTTTGTCATATATTTCATGGTTTTATTTTTCAAATCTGGGGAGCAGGATTGGTGTTAAAAGAGTGCCAGAACCTCAAAATTGGAACTAGCCTTACTACTTTGGACTGGAGTGTGTATAGACCAGTCCAAAGGGTCCAGAAAATGAAAGGAGGTACATATGGAAAACCTTAGAACACAAGAAAGCACTTTGGAGCTTAGGAAGGAAGGAGGCCAGTGGGATCCAAGAGGCTTCCGGGAACAGGTCAGCTATATGAGCAGTCAAGCAAAACCTGGACTTTGGTCTGGGATGCTAGACAGAGGGCAGGACCTAGGGCAACCCTGCTCCACCCTCAGGAGACAAGGGACTCTCTAGAGCCACAGCAAGAAACCTGCAGTCTGCCTTCCCCAGGCTAGGAGAAAGGGCCACTCTCCATCTTCTGTTAGGAGTCTCTTCTCCCTTCCTTTACCAGTTAGGTTTTTTTTTTTCTTTAATCTTTTTTTTCTTTTTTTGAGACAAGCTCTTGCTCTGTTGCCCAGGCTGGAGTGCAGTGGCGCAATCCAGGCTAACTGCAGCTTTGACCTCCCAGGTTCCCAGCTGTTCTTTCTAATCCAAGACCCCACTCTGGCTTGAGGTCATCTCCTGAGAGCCCTCCCTGACCCCTCAGGCTGGACCAGACCCTCGTTAAGCGACCTCCTGAAAACCTCTTCTGTAGCCCACACCCACTGTCTTGTTCCCAGTGGGTTTATGTATCCTTTTCTCCAGCAGCTCGGAGTGTAGCCTAATTCTTTGTATCCTGAGAGTCTTGCCCAGTGTCTGGCACATGGTGGATACTTAATAAATGCTTGCTAATTTCCATGTACTTTGAAACATGAAACTTAGATGTGAAAACTGACTCCGCTCTATGTGATCCCAGACAAGTTACACTGGCTTTTCCCCTAATTTTCCTCATTTATGAGGTGGCCTGCAAGATTAAATTAAAATAAGAATGTATATAAAGTGCTTATTCAAAGTGGTCTGGTGCACGGTGGGCTCTCAAATCCTTCCTGTTTCTGATCACTGCCCACCAGAGGCAGAAGGTTGAGAAGGGCTGTCCTTCCTCCCCTTCAATCACACCCCCACTGTTTTTGGTGGGACAGGGGTTGGGGACTTCCAAAATGAGAAGCGCAGAGGGGTGGACTGATGTATTACTTCAGTAACAGAGGTGCTGGGTCAGCCAGGCAACAACACAGGAGACGCCTGTATGCCATTACCTGTGCTAGGGGAAATAGAAAATAGAATTTTCCAGCAGATCAGGGTCCAGCTGAACCAATTTCCTAAGCTCAGTTACAGAGCAACAATCTTCACAGGCCCAAGAGGGAGGTGCAAGCTCCTGGGGCAGACTGCCTGGTCATTGCCCCTCCCCGTCCCGCCCCATAGGCTGTGCCTCCTGTGGTGTCCCTGTGGCCATTCTATCTTCTCTGGGCTTCAGCTTGCTTACTTGAATACATACTGTAAAGAGTACCTGAAATAAGGCAGGTAGGTAAAGCTGCCTTCCTCAATAAATGCTAAGGTCAGGAGACCTGTTCACTTTTTATAGACATCTTGCCTAATGTTTCTACTCTATTGGAGCCTCACCAAACACTCATTTTGCAGATGAGGAAAGGAAGGCAAAGTTAAGTTACATGGCTTGATGGGTAAATGGCCGAGCCAGATGGCAAAACCAGCCTGTGCCCTCTCTCATAAAATGAGGATAATAGCACCCACAATGCCCAACACAGAGTAGGTGTGCTGTAAATGTTAACTTCCCTTGTGTGAGTCTGCAATTTAGGAAGAGGTTGGGAGAATGAGTCACCAAAGATCTTGCTTGAGAGCAAGGGTTCAAGATGGTTCTGAAGACAGGAAAGAGGACGATCACGTGGTCCCAGGCTGGCGGGTCACTGAGCACTTGAAAGTCAGCCTGCACCTCACTTCAACCACAGCGGAGGGAAGGAAGTATCTGACAATTCGGGGGGTATTTCTAAAGAAAGTTGACTTAACTCCCTTTCTCACACATTTGAAAGAGCACACACAACTTTCAGGGTAAGAGAAACCCCAACTCAGACTGCACCCCATCTCTTCCAACAATCTTTGTCCCACCCCTGGTTGTACCCCAGGAATTCCTAGCTAGGGGCTCCTTCATGATTCCAAGGTGATTCAGAACCAGCTAAAACACAGAGCGTCAGGTGGAAAATGCCCAAGCAGCCAGATGGGAAAGAAGATTTTTGAGTTTTCATTTTTCCTTAAACCAATATCCTGAGGCCTGAGGCAGTACCCCAAGTCACAAGAAAGCAGAGCAAGGCAGATTTCTGCAGATTAAAACTGATGTCAGCAAATGCTTCTACTTGTCCATTTTCATTTCTTGGGGTTTTTCCTATGACGGGAAGGGACTCGCCCAGTTGGGGTTGGTTTGGGAGTTTCTTTGGCCGGGGATGAGGACAGGGCTGTCCTTGTTCAAGAACTTATCTATAATAGCCTCCAAAGCAGACTGGCTTGATGCCCAAGTCCTTTTTCTAAAAATTACCTGCCCATTACTTTTTTTTGGTAGGGGGGTAAATGTTGACAGATTTAACAGGACTGCTAAATAAGAGGCATTTTGTTTGTTCAAATACCTTAAGAAGCCGTCTAGCCTCCAAAGCTATGACCACCAGCTGCACCCGGCTGCCTAACCCCTGGACCCCGCCCCCCCCGCCGTATGCCCCGCCAGCCTTTCCCTTTGCCTTGTGTTTTGAAGTTTATTTTCCCACATTTAGCCTTGAATTCTTTCCTTCCTTCCCCTGCAGTGTTGGAGCAACAGCTTAGAGGGAAACACTTCGAGGGCAGCTCAAGGCTTTATCATCCTTGCCTGCCCTCTTCCCCCTCTAAACAAAGCCCTGGAACAAACTAAACAAAAACTTGTTCTCTAGAGGAATTGTTTCCTCAAGGGAAATCATAAAGCAACCCCCTCCCCACAACACACCCCCCAGGGTAGACGCCCATCAGAAGGAAGCCATGTAGACTCTTCATGCCAGGACTCTTGCTGTTAGGAGGTAAACCAACCAACCATCTACTGAAGCTTATCCTCCCCACCATCACCTCCCATCTGCCTCTACCCGGGAAACTGCTACAGGGCAAGAGACTCTCCACTAAAATCCAACACTAAGCCTGCTAGACTAAACCTCCCCTTCTACAGGACCCCTTGGAGGACAAGTCTCCCCACACACGGCTGCCAGCAAATACGTATATGCTTATCTGTGTGATGTCCATCAATCTGGGGACAAGATTTTGATGTTTTCCAAATGCTTCCAACCTAACAGTCCGTGGCAGAAATAAGGAATGAGGATGGGCTCATTCCCGTTTCTCACATGGGGAAACGGAGGCTGGAAAATGAGCGACGACTAGATAGGCATAAAGTATTGAGGTGCTGCTGTAGACTAAACGTTGCTTCTCATCAGACCTCCTTTCTGGCATCTTTCACCCTGAGAGCAAGGTAACACCCTGGACAATCTACCCCTACTCCCTACCTGCTGCAATCTAGAACTTTCACCCAGGTCCTGGTCATTCCACTGGGGGAGCAGGCCAAGAAGAGTTGATGGTTGAAGCTGAGCCCTCGAGAAACTGGGGTAGAGGGCCTCGGTCCCCAAATGGGCCCCAAGGTCTCAGCCAGGATAGGCAGCCCGTTTATCCAAAGTGAGGTCAATGCCACCCATCGGGCTGTGCACCAGAAAATAAGCGGTTCCCAATGTCAGCACGGAGGGAAGTCCCCCACCCACCCCAATTCCGCACACACTCTCCTCCCCCATCATAAAGGGACTACGCGGGTATTATTCGTTTGTGCAACCTGCTACTTTCACAAAGTTTTACTCCAAGCCCTTGAAGGATGTCTCCGCGAGATAAGCCTTCCCGGAAGCCTGAGCGCGTCCCCAGCATTCCAGGCACCAGCCCTCATCCCGTGGGTTCGGGCCCCACAGAGCCTCCAGCTCCTCTCCGGAACTCTGCTGGGGGCGGAAGATTTTGCCCAGGCTCGGGCTGAGGGACCCTCCCGCCACTCTGCCGGGTTCACGTTCCTTAAGAAAAGCCTGGCAGGCGTGGCACTGGCCCTGGAGCGGGGAGGTGGAGACACGAGGGGATGGCACCAGGCTTGGCTCCCAGACTCCGGGAGCGTCTCCAGGGAAAGATAAACGCCTTTATCCGTCCCACAGCCTCTTCCCAAGGAGGGAGGTACCGTCACACCCACACTGAAACACCGTGGAGCCTAGTTCACCCGGGAATCAACTCCAATTTGTCTCCGGCCAAACTAAGTTCCAAAGAGTCTCCGCGCCTGGGGGACCCCTGTGTCCCTCGGGTGAGCGACAGATCCTCGAAGCCTGACCCATGATGAGACACGCTCTCTCATCACCCCCTGGACCTTCCACAGGGACTGAGGGTCACCCAAAGCTGTGAAGGGGTCTTCCTTTCAGCGCCCCCTAAAGCTCAAGCCAGCTTCAGATGTATATGGGGGTACAGGCGGCGACTGACCTCTAGGATCTTGTCCAGGCCCTCCTGACCCAGGCACGGGAACTCCTTGAGCAGATGCAGCTTCTGTGTGTAGTAGTTTTTCTTGGCCTCCTTCCAGTGTGGCTCCTCCAGCACTTCGAAGATCGCCGCCCCGATGGCCAGGTAGAAGATGATGGCCGAGGTGAGCAGAGGGCCCCGGTCCACCATGGCTCCCGAGCGGCCGCCTCCTAGAGAAAGCCTCTCCTAGCCCCAGCTGCTACCAGTCCGCCCGCCCTCCAGCCTCTGAAAACAGCTGTTTGAATTTGGAGCTCCGCATGCGCAGTGCCCGGTACTCACCCCCCGCAAGCACCGCTCCCCGGACAGAGTTGCTTGGCCAAGTTGGCCCACGGAGTGCGGGGAGCTGCGTGGGGCCCCACTCACGCGGCCCGGGGTGGGCGAACACCAGCGGGGCTGAAAGGGCGCCCTGGACCGCGGATGCGTAAGGAGCGGGAAGAACACAGGACTTGACTCTGGGCAGACACGTGGGCCGCTTCTCCACGCGTCGCTCCTCCGCGCGCCACTAGCAGTATGCGCCGCGCCCGCCTCCGCACGCCTCTTTAACCAGCGCCCGGCGCGCTCTGCCCCCTTGCTCCGGGCTCCGACCGGGGAGGAGCCCAGGCGGGCCCCGCCCCTTCCCCGCACAAGCAGCCCGGCGAGCGCAGGAGTGAGCGCGAGGTGAGCGCTAGAAGAGGCTTGGCGCTCCCCGCGCTCCCAGGGTCAGCCGCCAGGGGAGGCTGCGCCGCCCGCCCAGACCTGCACGCCCTGCGGTGCCCGAGGGGTTGCGGTCTCAGGGACTCGTGTTTGTTATTAGGACTGGCGTGTTAACTAAAATGATTGTGACTGAGGTCAGGAGTTTATTGCTTTTGTTATTTTTATTGTAATTCCATTTTCATTTACTGATGTTTCTTCCAAAAAAGTCTAATGCTCAGTCTCTCCGTGTCTCTCTTCCACACACTTTCTTGTAAGCCTGAGGAAGGGGGTTAGAACGGGGCTGAAGAAGCTGTAGGGAATCAGAGGACATCAGGAACTAATCCAGCCACCCACGCGTGATTCCTCCCCCTCACCCCGTTCTCACCTACCCGGGTGAGAACCCTGCATCTGGAAGGAGTGGGCAGCTCAATTCGTGGCACCCCTGTGCGCCCCCCCAATACACAGTATCTCTACGGGAAACACTTGGCCTCTTTTCTTTTTTTCTTTTCTCTTTTCTTTTCTCTTCTCCTTTCCTCTCCTTTCCTCTTTTCTTTCAGACGGAGTCTCACTCTGTCGCCAGGCTGGAGTGCAGTGGCACTATCTCGGCTCACTGCAACCCCCGCCTCCCGAGTTCAAGCAGTTCTTCTGCCTCAGCCTCTCAAGAAGCTGGGACTACAGGCGCACGCCATCACGCCCAGCTAATTTTTGTATTTTTAGTAGAGACGGGGTTTCACCGTGTTGGCCAGGCTGGTCTCAATTCCTGACCTCAGGTGATCCGCCCGCCTCAGCCTCCCAAAGTGCTGGGATTACAGGCGTGAGCCACCGCGCCCGGCCCACTTTCATACATATGCTCCAGCTGATTTAAAATTCCACCCCCGCCACCTTATCTCCCTCGTTGGCTTTATGTCCTTCCTAGTACTAAATTCCCTCTGCTATATTATATAACTTTATTTATTGTTTACTCTGTATTGTGCCCTCTCCCCGCCACACACACACAGACACACACACACACACACACACACACACACACACACGGAAATGTCTGCTGGGGAGATGGAGAATCTGTCTTGTGTAATGATGTATCCACAGTGCTTGTTACATACATAGCAGACACTCAATAACCATGTGTGCAATGAAGGAGTGAATGAATTTGTTAAAAACAGGTGCCCAGGATGTTTCTAACTCGCCTTGCTGCCATTCTCTGAGCTCTTGTAAACCCCAGGAAGTACTGAATCCCTTCCATGCATCATAAGCAGGCCCTGTCATTCGACCCACTTTGCAGTGAGGAAAAAAGCTCAGTGGGTTAGTTTGTTCAGTCTTTCAACCAGCACCAGTCAGAAGTTGGAGGGGGAACCTCCTTTCAGTGCTCTGTACCAGGGGCTGGCCCTGCCCTTCTCTGGCCTCTGTAGGGGCAGGTACTGGAGTGGCCAGAGTCCCTGAGCACTGTCCCCTGGCCAAGGCCTTTTCTTTCCATCGAGAAGAAGGGGAGTCATTTCTCACCTCCTACCCACCCTGTACCCAGGCTGTGGCCTGAACCCCAAGGTGTCAAGAGACACTTTACTTGGGGAGGGGGGTATCTGTACTATCTCCAAATCTGGCTGGAATGGAGGGGTTAGGGATACAGTTGGAAGCATTGATCTGATTTTGCTGATGTTTCTGTCTCTCCTTATGGCAACATGAGCGTGTCCAGAGAAGAAGACCAGAGCAGGAAGCTGGGGAGCCCCAGATTTCCTGATACTGCATCCCTGAGGTGTGCAGTGCCAGTCCCCTCAGGACCCCCCTGGCCAAGGATCATCCTGGACAAGGCCCTGGGGGTGCTTCTCTGTAGACAACCCACTCCCAGCACCAGGCCTCTCACCCAACCCAACATATCCATCTTCTCTAAGCCTTGCTGACCTCCTGCCTACCCTGTCCCCCAGGCTGTGGCCTGAACCCTAGCTCTGCAGTCTCATTCTCCAGCCCTCCAGCTGGGATGGAAACCAAGCATGGGTTCCGGATCCCCCCTCTCTGGATGGAGTTCACCCTGTTTGTGAAGAGTTCAGGGCTGCAGTGTGAACGCTTCAGTGAGCATGGGGTGGGGGCAGTTTGAGAGGCCACAGGCCCTCTCTTTGTTTGGAAAATTCCCTACCATTCCTCTCCCACCTCCGGTCTGTGTTCTCTTCCTAAGAAAATAAAGGGCCTCTTCCTATTTCGGTCTCACAGCCTCATGAAAATGCTGAACACTTTGAGATGAATTGATTTTTATTCGAGGCCTCTGTATGTTGTAGTTTCTTTGTCCTTCCACTCTGTTTCTGCATTTCCTGTCCCCTTCTTCCTTCTTGCTCTCCATGTGGTGCTGACTGACTCCTCATCCTCTCCTTCTGTCGCCGCATCCTTTGCTTTCCTGTATTTTTCCAAAGCTCCTTCCCCAGCTCTTCATTCTCCCTCCTCCTGCCTCTCTCCTTTGTCTCCATCCCAGTTGAATGTGCTTCCCCTCCCCCAACTTCCCCTCCCCTCCCCATCTCCCCACTCCCCTCTCCAACTCCCCTGCCCCAGCCAGATAGTTGGATCAACTTGACCTTCTGTAGATCAGGGGCACACACCTGCTCTCTGCACAGCAGCCAGTGGGGGCTTTTATAAAATGTAAACTGTGCTGAAACTATCGAATATTTAGACAACACGAGCCTTAAGATTGGAAAAGGGAAAAGTGGGTAAATGGGAATGAGGTGATGTGAGATATATATTTTCCTACAGGGCTGATAAATAAATCCATTCCAATAGCATACGTGTAGTTCTTAGTATTATGATTATTGATCAGGGTTGATAATAATTTCAGAGTGCAACCTTTTGGAAGGCAATCAGCTCTGAGGAATGTAAACCAACAATAAAATTCTAGGCCCCTCCCAAGCAAGCAAATGGACCCTTCCTCTTGACCAAGGGCATTCTCAAGTAAACACAAAACACTAGTTCAGGCCATGATGGAATGGGTGGTTGGACATGGCTCCTTTTTTTTTTTTTGAGAGGGCGTCGCACTCTGTCACCCAGGCTGGAGTGCAGTGGCACAATCTCAACCCACTGCAACCTCTGCCTCCTGGGTTCAAGCAATTCTCATGTCTCGGCCTCCCAAGTAGCTGGGACTACAGGCATGAGCCACCACGCCCGGCTAATTTTTTGTATATTTAATAGAGATGGGGTTTCACCATGCTGGCCAGGCTGGCCTCAAACTCCTGACATCAACTGATCTGCCCACCTTGGCCTCCCATAGCACTGGGATTACAGGTGTGATCCAAAGCGCCCAGCCGACATGCCTCCTTATAACTTCCTCCCTTTGGAATTCAGGCACAGCTGACCAGCATTAATATTAAAACAGAGACCTTAAGGCACAACCTGGCCAACATGGTGAAACCCTGTCTCTACTAAAACTACAAAAATTAGCTGGGCGTAGTGGCTTATGTCTGTAATCGCAGCTACTCAGCAGGCTGAGGCATTAGAATTGCTTGAACCCGGGAGGCAGAGGTTGCAGTGAGCCGAGATGGCACCATTGCACTCCAGCCTGGATGATAGAGACTCCATCTCAATAAAAAAAAAAAACAAAAACCCAAAAAACAGAGACCTTAAGACTGACAGTACAGACTCTTTGTAGCAATAAGAATCATGACAGCAGGCCCTGAGAGAAATCGAAGTATTTTACCCCAAAATATATTCATTTGGCCTATTTTGAAATGCTCCTGCAGGAGCGCTCCCTGCGCTCCCGGGGTCGTCTGGCACCTTTGTAAGTTGGATAACGAACATTTATAATCTATTCTCTCTGAAGCCTGCTACCTGAAGGCTTCACCTGCATAATAAGAACCTTGTCTTTACAACCCCTTATCTTAACCCAGACATTTCCTCCTACGGATTTCAGGTCTTTAGATAAACTCAACCAGCTACCAATCAGAAAATCTTCGAATTCACCTATAACCTAAAATGTATAAAAACAAGCTGTACTCTGATAACGCTGGACACATGTTCTCAAGATCTCCTGGGGCTGTGTCATGGGCCATGGTCACTCATATTTGGCTCAGAATAAATCTCTTCAAATACTCTACAGAGTTTGACTCTTCATCCACAGGATGGAGTTGAGCTTCACCTTGACAGCAACAAATAATGAAACTTCTGCAGGTCTCATCTCCAGAGATTGGCTGAGCCATCAGTTGTTTTGGCCAAGGTCATGCTTCCAGGATCTCTCCATAAAAGGTTCACACCCACCTTTGTTTCTTCCTTATTTCAATTAGGTAAAGGGATTATCCTCTTGGTAAAATGAACACTTGGTAATCCAACACAAATGCTGTTTTTATTTCTGTTTTGTAACATTTTTGTTTACATTGTTTTATATTCTGTTTAAGAATTTTAGGCCGGGCGCGGTGGCTCACGCCTGTAATCCCAGCACCTTGGGAGGCCGAGGCGGGCGGATCACGAGGTCAGGAGATCGAGACCATCCTGGCTAACATGGTGAAACCCCGTCTCTACTAAAAATACAAAAAATTAGCCGGGCGTGGTGGCGGGCGCCTGTAGTCCCAGCTACTCGGGAGGCTGAGGCAGGAGAATGGCAGGAACCCGGGAGGCGGAGCTTGCAGTGAGCCGAGATAGTGCCACTGCAGTCTGGCCTGGGCGAAAGAGTGAGACTTCGTCTCAAAAAAAAAAAAAAAAAAAAGAATTTCAGAGGAAAATAGTCACCCTCTGCAAATCGGATCTGATCAAAGGAGTTATATAAAAAGCCATTAAGAGCGTAAAGTGATTCAATATCATCATTACTTGAAAACCTTATTTCCATAAATAAAAAGCTCTGTAGCTGTCAACTGAAAAGGTCAACAGGTTCTATTTTTATTTTTGTTCTTGTCATATTGCTTAAAAGACAGATGATATGAAATGCCTTATAAAATCACTTACATTATGAAAGATTATCAATTATTTTATAAACTTGCCCTATTTCCAATGGATCATTTGGAAACTTGGGGAAATATCTGTTAAATTTTCTTTTTTTTTCTTTTTGTTTTTTGTTTTCTTTCTGTTGTTGTTTTGTTTTGTTTGAGACACAGTCTCCCTCTGTCGCCCGGGCTGGAGTGCACTAGTGAGATTCAGCTGACTGCAACCTCTGCCTCCTGGGTTCAAGTGATTCTCGTGCCACAGCCTCCTAAGTAGCTGGGACTACAGGCATGCGCCACCACGCCTGGCTAATTTTTGTATTTTCAGTGGAGACAGGCTTTCACCATGTTGACCAGGCTGGTCTTAATTCCTGACCTCAGGTGATCCACCCACCTAAGTCTCCTAAAGTGCTGGGATTACAGACGTGAGCCACTGTGTCCACCGACTTGTTTTCAGAACCTCTGAAAGAAATATATCTTAAATTTTCATGTCTACAAATTCTCCATTTACTCAATTAGAAAGGTTTCTGAGTGGTAAATTTAATGTACATGATAAGGCAAGCTTCACGTTTTATACTAGGAGAAACATCACTGAACAAAATAAATCACAGAGCAGAGCAACAAGGATGTTTTTAAAAAATAGTGAAAATGGTATATGCATACAACGAAGTATTATTCAGTCTTTTTTTTTTTTTTGAGATGGAGTCTCATGAGGTGGCATGATCTCAGCTCAATGCAACCTCCACCTCCCGGGTTCAAGTGATTCTTCTGCCTCAGACTCCTGAGTAGCCGGTATTACAGGCACACGACACCACGCCCAGCTAATTTTTGTATTTTTAGTAGAGATGGGTTTCACCATGTTGGCCAGCCTGGTCTCCAACTCCTGACCTCAAGTGATTCGCCTGCCTTGGCCTCCCAAAATTCTGGGATTACAGGCATGAGCCACCACAACCGGCCTACTCAGTCTTAAGAAAAAAAAAGTGATCCCGTTGCATGCTGCAACATAGATGAACCTTGAGGACATTATACTAAATGAAATAAGCTGGTCACAAAAAGATAAATACTACATGATTCCACTTATCTGCGGTATCTGAAGAAGTCAAACTGTTAGAAACAGAAAGTAGAATGAATGGTGGTGGCCATGGTGGGAGCGGGAGGGGAAAGGGGAGTTGTTCAATGGGCATAAAATTTCAGTTTTGCAAATTGAAAATGTTCTAAAGAGTTACTGCACAACAGTGTGCATACTGATAATATTACTGTACTGTACGCTCAAAATAGCTAAGGGGGTAAATTTTATTATATACTTTTTACCACAATTAAAAGAATAGTGAAATGTAGAATGTGTAAATTCAATGTACGATATTTGAGGTTGCAAGAATTAGCCGGGCATTGAGGAGAGAGATGTGGCTAAGTGGCGATAATTAAGTTAGGTAAATGTTGCCCTGGCAGGGTTTCAGTCACTCTTAATAGCAAAGCTACATATCCTTTGCTCTGAAAGCCCATTATCGAGAAACGTGTCCTTGTAGCTTAAGAGCAGAGCTCAAGCACTAATTCTGAATTATTTACGTTTGAAGATTTCAGATAAGTCTCTGTTGTCATTTCAAAGACTTTTTCTTAAAAAGCGAAATGGTAATATCAGAAATTTATTGCGATTTGCCAACGTCTAAAATTTCTATGGCCAGGAAAAATAATTTAGTAACAAAAGAGGCCCTCATTCTGAACCAATTTAGAGGTCATCCAAAGCTATTCCTTAAACTGGGTCATTTTTAGAGTGACACGGCAGGGTGCGATTTATGGTACCTACCCCTAAACCTTTCTCCCCAACAATCATTGATTCCTGAAATTCCATCATGTGAGAGCCATTTCTCGGTGTTAAACATTGCCCTCTCGCTAAGACCTCTTTTCAGACCGAGAAAGGACTATTGCATTAAGATCTAACATTTTACTTCTGTGGATCCTAGCCTTTATTTGTTTTGGTCACTACTTTGAGAATCTATGACTGTTTCCTCAGAGAAAATGCATCATGCACATACCCACCCAGACTTCTATACAAGTTCTGATGGCTCACAGGAAACCCAACACACACACCACACACACACACTCCACACCTCCACCTCATCCTCCCCTAGGTTGTTCTGGGCTGGAAGACTCTACAGGCACCTTGGGCAGGGAGGTTTGGGGTTATAGCACAGCGCTGATTGATGAGGGAGATAAAAGAGGAAAAGCCAAGTGGAAAGGGTAAGCAAATTGAAGCAACTTAAAAAATTTTGCAATAATAATAAGGTGCTTTTGCCGTGTTCACTATGTGCTAGATATTTAATACACACTACATAAGATAGTGCAGATAAATAAAGCATTTCATCATTTTCATTATCTCATTTAATGGTTGCAATGACACCATGGGGGATGATCAGCCCATTTTACAGATGAGGAAACTGAGTTTCAGAGAGGTGAAGTAACTTGCTCAAGGTACCCAGGGTGACCCGTGCCCAGAGTCCACGGCTGTCCTCACTACCTGAGCATGCTTCCCTCCCCTCATATATATGAGGTCACCACTCCCCTCATATATGAGGTCACCACTCCCCTCTCCCATGGCCTCCTCCAGCTTCCCTGAAGTCTTCTGGTTTCCTTCTGTGCTGAGAATCCTCCACCTGCTGGCCCACCCTCTCCCACCCATTGTGGGGTGGCTGGGCATGCCCAGCAGCCCTTTGGGAATACCTCCCTTGTCTTTCTGTCCTGTGGTGAGCAGCTTCCTGGGTTGCTTGGGGTAGCTCTTTTGGAGATTGCAACCTCTCCCTGCTGGTCTCTTCCAGCTCAGTTCCTTTGCTGGTCACCCTTAATAAAGACAGGATCTTTGAGGATAAGAAGAAATGGTCAGTGGGGACAATTGCACTTGGCATGTAGGGATGACAATGCCATGCTGACCCTGCCAATGTCTTTGGGCAACCATTTACAATGCCTCATATTCATACTTTTTTTTTTTTTTTAATGTGATAGAGTCTTGCTCTGTTGCCCAGGCTGGAGTGCAGTGGTGCGATCTCAGCTCACTGCAACCTCTGCCTCCCGGGTTCAAGTGATTCTCTTGCCTCAACCTCCTGAGTAGCTGGGATTACAGTTGTGAGCCATCATGCCCGGTTAATTTTTGTATTTTTAATAGAGACAGGGTTTCGCCATGTTGGCCAGGCTGGTCTCCAACTCCTGACCTCAAGTGATCTGCCCACTTTGGCCTCCCAAAGTGCTGGGATTGCAGGCGTGAGCCACTGTGCCTGGCCAGCACTGCCTTTTAAAACAAATGTAGACAACAAACCAAAGTACTATTAGCAGTACCCGAGACTCTCTCACCAACAGATATCACAGTTCTTTTCCTATCCCATGAACATGGTGGCAGATAGTTCAAAATTTTGTCTCAAAATTATGTCAGTTAGGAGACCCACCGCTGTAACTTATCATATGAGGTGTTTATTAAAAAGTGCATATGTCTTTGGAGGCTGAGGCACTAGAATCAGTTGAACCCGGGAGACAGAGGTTGCAGTGAGCCAAGATAGTGCTACTGCACTCCAGCCTGGGGGACAGAGAGATATTCTGTCTCAAAAAAAAAAGCTCATATATTACTATTTGCAAATTTTATTTTATTTATTTTGAGATGCAGTTTCGCTCTTGTTGCCCAGGCTGGAGTGCAATGGTGCGATCTCGACTCACCGCAACCTCCACCTCCCGGGTTCAAGCAATTCCTCCTGCCTCAGCCTCCCGAGTAGCTGGGATGACAGGTGCCCGCCACTTGCCCAGCTAATTTTTGTATTTTTAGTAGAGATGGGGTTTCACCACATTGGCCAGGCTGGTCTCAGACTCCTGACCTCAAGTGATTGGCCCACCTTGGCCTCCCAAAGTGTTGGGATTATAGGCATGAGCCACCACACCCGGTCACAAATTTTATTTTTAAGAAATATATTGATCATTGTTTTTTAACATACTTGATTGCCTTTATAATACATTATATACATATGTGTATACATATGTATAGTACATTATATACATATGTGAGTACATATATACGTGTGTGTGTGTATATATATATATATATTTTTTTTTGAGGCAGCATCTCACTTTGTCGCCCAGGCTGGAGTGCAGGAGTATTATATCAGCTCACTGTAACCTCCCCCTCCCAGGTACAAGCAATTCTCGTGCCTCAGCCTCCCGAGTAGCTGGGACTACAGGCAACCACTACCATGCCTGGCTAATTTTTTTTTGTAATTTTAGTAGAGATGGGGTTTTGTCATCTTGGCCAGGCTGGTCTCGAACTTTTGGCCTCAACTGATCTGCCCACCTCAGCCTCCCAAAGCACTGGGATTACAGGCGTGAGCCACCGCACCCAGCTCAGTATATTTTATTTTATACATTTAAAACATCACCCTAGGGGCTAGGCATGGTGGCCATGCCTGTAATCCCAGCAGTTTAGGAGGCTGAGGAGGGCAGATCACTTGAGGTCAGGAGTTGGAGACCAGCCTGGTCAACATGGAGAAAGCCCTTCTCTACTAAAAATACAAAAATTACTCGGTGTGGTGGCGCATGCCTGTAATCCCAGCTACTTGGGAGGCTGAGTCACAAAAACCGCTTGAACCCGGGAAGTGGAGGTTGCAGTGAACCGAGATCGTGTCACTGCCTTCCAGCCTGGGTGACAGTGAGGCTCCATCTCAAAAATAAAATAAAACATCATCATAGGAAGAAGTCCACAGGCTTCACCAGGCTACCAGAGGGGTGCACGCAACAAAAATAAGCTTATGCATTCTGCCCAGGTTTTAAGTAGGCAAGTAATCTGATTGTTGTAGCACTTCCAAGAATTCACAAAGGCAGCTCGTCCTTCAGGAGGTGGTAGCAATAGTTCAGGGGCGAGATGACGGGGACCAGAAGGAAGGTAGGAGCAGTAGCAGTGGGAAGCAGGGACGATTCAGGAGATGTTAGGGGAGTTAGCAGCTTTGTGATCTAGGGCCCTGCCCCTGTCTTCAGAGCCCTGCTACTTTATGCTGCTGTCTGCAGAACCTGCTGCATTCTGGAGTTGGCACCAATACTAATCTGCCTTTCCTACCCCATTGCCTGAACACTTTGCTCCCACATGGAGCCCCTCCCCCAGCCTGCCTCCCCTGACCTCCCTTGCCGCCTGGCTGCATTAAGCAGCTCCAGCAGGCCTCATACAGACCCACTGTTTAATGCCTATGGCATCCTCATCTGGCCTGGATCTGGCTGCTCCTGAGGGACACCAAGATCCCAGAGACAATTGGCCACTTGTCCACTGAATGGGAGAGGGGCCTGAGGATTGGTTGGGAGGCGGGTGGGGAAGGGAGGAGGATGAGGAGAATGCCAAGGGGAAGGAGCAACCAGGATTCCTGGGATTTCTGCCTCCCGAGCCAATGTCCAAGAAGGAGCTGGGCAATAAACAGAACTTGAACACACACGGGACTTTGGCCATGCAGTCCTAAGACGTGTTCTGGAGTGACAGCTCACAAGGCACTGGGGATCCACTGGCTTGGAGTCCCCTGTGTTATTATGGGGCCCATGACACTTAAGTTACTATTGATCTAACGTTATGAGCGCCTTCCTCCTCAAACCAGCCACCTTAATGTTATCCTTCTGTCAGGGACCCAAGCTGGCCCAGCCTGGAAAAAAACCACTGATTCATGTCCAGCTGAAGGACATTACTGAAGGTGAAGATATTGGGGTGGATGGTCTTCCTCTTCCCTCCCACTGTTTTTTACTAGTCTGGGCAAGGAAGGGACCAGTTATAAAGTGATACCATGATCTGAGTCACTGTTACTGCCTGCTTCTTCAATGCCAGGCATTGAGCTCAGCACTTTATAATGTTACTGCATTTAACCTCACGACTAGCCTCTATGCAGGCCTTGTAATCATCCGCATTTTGCATGTGAGGAAACAGGTTCAGAGGGGGTAAGTAGCTTGCCCTACCTAGTGTGCATGGAAGCCAGAACTGAGACCCAGGCTGGTTTGATGGCACTTAGACAGGGTGAGGCCCCAGGGAACTTTACTCCTCAAGCACCCAACCCATACCCCTCCGGAGCCAGGCTTTTACCTGCTGGGGCATGACAGAGCTGGCCCTGCTGCTGATTCTAAAACTATAAAACCTAAGGCACAGGAAAGCCCAGATGAGGTCCTCTTCATTTGCCAAGACTGACTTCCTATACAGGGTGGAGGACTGTCAATGCTCAGAGGTGGTAGAGAGAAAGGGCCTATGGACCACGGCTGCCTCTTTCTCCACCAGGGGAGGAAGTCTTCCCTGGAGGAACAGGAAGATGTTGTACCCACCTGAGCCTCCAACCTGCTCTCCCATCTCCAGCTGGTGCCAGAGTGCTATAAGCCCCTGACAGACTCACATCCTAGGCAGTGGCTGTCAGTGGCTGGCAACATCCCCAGAGGAGGGACAAGGCAGACTTTATGCACTCCCAAAAGGAAGTATTCAGTGCCACCCTTGCCAACAGTTGAACTTGAACCCCACCGAGCCTCTAGACCCAACAGCCCATTCCTAGAAAATTCAGGGGCCAGAGGAGTACGTTAAACAACACCACAGGAATGTAATCAACAAAATGGAGGTCAAACAACCTGGTTTCTTGTTTTTGTTTTTGGTTTGGGTTTTTTTGTTTGTTTGTTTTTGTTTTTGTTTTTTTGAGATGGCATCTCACTCTGTCTACAGGCTGGAGTGCAGTGGCATGATCTCGGCTCACTGCAACCTCTACCTCCCAGGTTCTAGTGTTTCTCCTGCCTCAGCCTCCCGAGTAGCTCACACCACGACACCCAGCTAATTTTTGTATTTTTAGTAGAGACAAGGTTTCACTTTAACAAATATATAACAGGAAAAAAAAGAAAAAAGAGGAGGGAAGGGAGAAAGATTGTGCAGAAAACTATAGATGATGGCTGGACACAGTGGCTCACACCTGTAATCCTAGCATTTTGGGAAGCCGAGGCAAGTGGATCACGAGGTCAAGAGTTCAAGACCAGTCTGGCCAACATGGTGAAAGGTGATCTCGGCTCACTGCAACCTCCGCCTCCCAGGTTCAAGCAATTCTCCTGCCTCAGCCTCCTGAGTAGCTGGGATTACAGGCTCATGCCACCACTCCTTGCTAATTTTTGTATTTTTAGTAGAGATGGGGTTTCACCATGTTGGTCAGACTGGTCTTGAACTCCTGACCTCGTGATCCGCACGCCTCTGCCTCCCAAAGTGCTGGGATTACAGATACGAGCCACCTCACCTGGCCTAATTTTTTATTTGTAGAGACAGGGTCTCACTGTGTTGCCCAGTATTGTGGAGTTTTTTAAAAATTGATTTTAGAGATTCAATAAAATGCTTGTCAAGTCTGTGTTTAGGATAAAGTCCTAAATTTGTACTATGGCTTCCAAATCCAACCCCTGCCATCTTTGTGGCCACATCTCCAGCCCTCCCCTCAGTACCCCCACCGCCTCTGCTCCCGCCCCACAGCTCTTCATGCCAGGGCCACATTATGACCTTCTTGGACCTCAGGCACTTTTGCCTTCACAGGTCCCTTTCTCTATAAATTATAGTTTATAATGTATAAACTATAATTATAGTTTATAAGTGTGTTACTATAAAGACGAGTACATCATTATTATATATTAAAGCATTTTCTTTTATTTAAAAGTTCATTCTTTTCCTTGTGAAATTCAAAGATTTTCATGGGCTCCTTTTGTTACGGTAGGCCCGGACATGTATCTGCTGTCTCCCCAGACACTCTCCCATCTACCCCCTTCAGCTTAGTAAGCTCCACTCCCCCATGCAGAAGCCTTCCCTGACTTCCCCAAGGGCCCTGACCCCAGCATATGCCCTCCTGACCCTTCCTCCCTTGTGCTTCATGAGAAATATCACAGGTAAGAATCACATATTAATGTGGGTGATTATTTGCTTGACATCTGTCTTCTCCACTGAGTTGTCCGTCTCTGCACCCCCAGCATTTAGCCCAGGCCTGGCATAATTTGCTGACTGTAGTTAGCAACAAGGTGTTGTATGCTAGAAAATTGCAAAGAGAGTAGATTGAAGTGTTCTCACCACAAATAAATGACAAGCATATGAAGTAATGCCTATGTTAATTAGCTTGACTTAGCCATTCCACTATATACATTTTTCAAAGCATCATGTTGTATGCCATAAATATGTACAATTATATTTGTCGGTTAAAAATAAAAAAAGCAAGCCAGGTGCGGTTGCTCACACCTGTAATCCCAGCACTTTGGGAGGCCAAGGCAGGTGGATCACCTGAGGTCAGGAGTTCGAGACCAGCCTGCCCAACATGGTGAAACCCCGTCTCTACTAAAAATACAAAAATTAGCCAGGCATGGTGGCAGGCACCTGTAATCCCAGCTACTTGGGAGGCTGAGAGCAGGAGAATTGCTTGAACCCAGGAGGTGGAGGTTACAGTGAGCCGAGATCGCGCCACTGCACTCCAGCCTGAGCGACAGAGCACGACTCCATTTCAAAAAATGAAAAATAAGTAAAAACCAAACACTGCAGAGAAGCATTCTTTCTAGACAGGTACTAAAAGAAAGACCCTACTGACTATAAGTTCTTTGAAGCATGGTCTATGTCTAGCTTGCTCTCCGTAGTATCCCATCAACATCGTTGACACAATGTTGACTGACTGAATGGTGATCCTGGGGGCCTGGAGATGGAGGCTGGGGACAGCAGGGAGAGCTGGAAGGAGATTGCTGCCTTGCCCTGGTGACAGACAGAGGAAGGCACTTCATAGTCAGCATGAGGTGAGGAGTTAGGGTCCTTTTAGGGGTAGGATTACCAGGCCTCAGAGAGAAAGAATTCGTCTTATCTGGACAACCGGGCAGATTGCAAAGTAAGGAATAAGGCAAGGAGAGGAGAGTGGGCAGCAAAGATAATGAGCTCATCTAGGGCTTTTTCAGTGTGTGGTGTTCTTAGCACACCTGGGTGAAGAAGCCTAAAGGGCAGTGTGGACGAGGGGTCAGGAATTCAGGAATCTAAAAGGGCGGATTTGGGTGTCTCAGCACCCGGATGGTGGTTGTCCTCTCCCAAGTGGATCAAATTGCCCTGCTTCTGCTCCCAGGCTGGAAAACCAAGATGATAGCAGCTATGGCTCTCTTCAGAGCTCTTAGAGAGAAAGAGGAAACTTCACTGAGACAAGGATGTGACCTGATCCCAGAGGTGAGACAGAAACTGGAGAGAACTGGACTAACCCTCTAAACCGGGGACTGGAACTGAAAGAGCCATCAGTTACATGTACTGAATCACAGTCCAAGCTGAAGTTTAAGAAAACAAGCACACAGGAACACATACAGAGGCAGACTGAGCCAGAATCAGACTGTTCTGTTTAGTTAGAAGCACTGGTTTGGACCTACTGGATCCACCTTCAGCCCATGCCTAGACTGGAACCACTTCTCATTCCGGGTGCGTCCTTGCTCCGAAATGGGCCTATGAGTCACTGGGAAAGAGGATTCGATTAACAAAGATTCAGTCAGACTACAGCTGTGGCCAAAAACAGGGTGCGCCTGCCAGGACCTTCCCCTTAGGCAGCCGGGTGGCCATGCACCCGGTTCATTCCTGCTGCCTGCCGCTGTGTCCCCAAGCTCGCCATCAGGGGCATGACTTTGGGTGGAGCCATGGCAGCCTCCAAGCTTCTCATTTCCAAATACAAATGTCCCCTTCATAGCAGCACATTCCAGTGGCTAAGAACTTGTTGCAATTTTGTTTTTCTTTCTTTTAAAATTTACTTTAATTTATTTGAATGTCCCAGTCTGCTGCCCAGGCTGGAGTACAGTAACACGATCATAGCTGACTGCAGCCTCAAACTCCTGGGCTCTGGCGATTCCTTGCCTCAGCTTCCCTAGTAGCTGGGAATACAAATGTGAGCCACCATGCCTTGCTTCAATATTTAATATTATATTCAATATTTAATATTACATTTACGATATTGTACAACCATCACCACTATTTCCAAAACAGCCTCCGGCATAGCTGAGACCACAGGCATGTGCCACCACACCTGGCTGCAAATTTGTTCTTTATTCCCTTTTTATCTTGTGGGTTAACTAGAATCAGGACCCCGAGAGAAAGGGGTTTTAATGAGGGAAGGGAAGGACAAATGGAGTTGTGTAATTTGGTCTGATACAGGGCTTGGGGTATATCTCGAAGGCTGTAGGTATAGGGTGGAGTGAGGAGGGGTACACCATGGGAGGGGTCTACATAAAATGAGCTGTCCTGTCCCAGCTGTGTGGAGAACAGACACGAAAAGGAGTCCAGGTGGGGCTGATTCTTCAAGAAACTGACATCTGGCTGGATGCAGTGGCTCATGCCTGTAATCCCAGCACTTTGGGAGGCCGAGGCGGGCGGATCACCTGAGGTGAGAAGTTCAAGACCAGCCTGGCCAACACGGTGAAACCCCGTCTCTACTAAAAATACAAAAATTAGCCAGGCGTGGTGGTGCACACCTGTAATCCCAGCTACTCGGGAGGCTGAGGCAGGAGAATCCCTTGAACCCGGAGGTGGAGGTTGCAGTGAGCCCAGGTCGTACTAATGCACCCGCCTGAGTGACAGAGCAAGGCTTCACTCAAAATAAATAAATAAATAAATAAATAAACAAACAAAAATTTAAAAAATGAGAAGCACACATCCCCTCACATCCTGTGTGCCTCCAGGGATTGTTCTCAGGGTTGATATATATTCCATGGTTTTTCCCCAACTGTATAGAAGATTTCTTCTAGGCAGGGCCTTTCTTTTTTTCTTTCTTTGTCCTTTTTTAATGACGGAGTCTCACTCTGTTGCCCAGGCTGGAGTGCAGTGGCATGATCTCAACTCACTCCAACCTTCGCCTCCCAGATTCAAGCAATTCTTCTGCCTCAGCCTCCCGAATAGGTGGGATTACAGGCGTGCACCACCATGCCTGGCTAATTCTTGTACTTATAGTAGAGACAGGGTTTCACCATATTGGCCAGGGTGGTCTCGAACTCCTGACCTCAAGTGATCTGCCCGCCTCGGCCTCCCAAAGTGCTGGGAGGATTACAGGTATGAGCCACTGTGCCCAGCCAGGGTCTTTCTTTATACTTCTGTATCCTTCAGATTGGCAACACACTGGACACATACTCTGTGCTTAAATAAGACACGCCGATTGGTGGCTGAGGGAGGAAAGCCTAGCTAGAAGTTAAGCATTCAACAGGCATACCAGTCAATTTCAACAGTCTTTAGTAACAACCACAGCATCTGCAAACAACAAAGAGCTCCACAAAACAGCTATAGTCTCTACAAATGACTTGAGACTCTGCAAACACCTGCTAGTTCTGCAAACAGGTGCGTATTTTATAACAATTACAATTTTAAAGTGTAATTTAAAAATTTTTATTTACTTTTTTTTTTTTTGAGATGGAGTCTAGCTTTGTAGCCAGACTGGAGTGCAGTGGTGCGATCTTGGCTCACTGCAACCTCTGCCTCTGGGGTTCAAGCAATTCTCCTGCCTCAGCCTCCAGAGTGGCTGGGACTACAGTTGCACACCACCATGCCCAGTTATTTTTGTATTTTTAGTAGAGACAGGGTTTCACCATGTTGGCCAGGATGGTCTCGATCTCTTGACCTTGTGATCCGCCTGTCTCGGCTTCCCAAAGTGCTGGGATTACAGGCGTGAGCCACGTGCCCGGCCTTAAAATTTTTTTTTAAATTACAAACTAGAGGCTGTGAAAATCGGGATATGCTCTGCAAATAGCTGCAGGATCTGTGAACAGCTGAAGGCTTGCAAAAAGTGACAAGATCTGGCCGGGCACAGTGGCTCACACCTGTTATCCCAGCACTTTGGGAGGCTGAGACCGGCGGATCATTTGAGGCCAGGAGTTCGAGACCAGCCTGGCCAACATGGTGAAACCCCATCTCTGCTGAAACACAAAAATTAGCCAGCCATGTGGGTGCACGCCTGTAGTCCCAGCTACTTGGGAGGATGAAGTGGGGTGATTGCTTGAGCCCAGGAGGTGGAGGTTGCAGTGAGCCAAGATGGCACCACTGCACTCCAGCCTGGGTGACAGAGTGAGACTCCATCTTAAAATAAATAAATAAATAAATAAATAAATAAATAAATAAATAAATAAATCTGTACTCACCTGCAGCCTGCAAGCAACTGCAGATTCCACAAATAGCCATAGGCTCTGCAAAAAGATGGACAATTAAATAAAATACTATAACTACAAGCCCAAACCTTAGAACACTATTAGAGCTTTTCAAAACTGATTGGCGTCTACTCTTTCCACAAGAAATAATATCTTAGGATAAACATGGGAAGGGATGGAGAAACCCCAGTAAATTTGATATATACAAGAGGTTAGGGGCTCTGGTTGGGTTGGAAAGTGTTGAGTTAATTCAACAATCATTGATGGAACCTTTTTTTTTTTCTTTTTTTGAGACGGAGTCTTGTGCTGTTGCCCAGGCTGGAGTACAGTGGCACGATCTCGGCTCACTGCAAGCTCCGCCTCCCAGGTTCACGCCATTCTCCTGCCTCAGCCTCCCGAGTAGCTGGGACTACAGGCGCCCGCCACCACGCCGGGCTAATTTTTGTATTTTTAGTAGAGACAGGGTTTCACTGTGTCAGCCAGGATGGTCTTGATCTCCTGACCTCGTGATCTGCCCACCTCGGCCTCCCAAAGTGCTGGGATTATAGGCGTGAGCCACTGTGCCCGGTGATGGAACCATTTTATGTGCTAAAAATTTGTGCCAGGCACAATGGAAATGTGGAGAACCATGTTCTCGTTGCTCACGGCAATTCAAACAGTCCCTGGGCCCCTGCTGATGGGATTGGGAATACCTGCATGCAGCTCAGATTTCTTTCTTTCTGTGTCATGATTACTATGTACTTGGTTCATGCTGCTGGTTATCGATGGGAGCAATAAAAACCTATCATAATCTACCTGAATACTGCAAATAAAGATGATTGACAACTCCGCTGAAGGTTGCTGGCATCAGGGCTGGGACAGTCTTCTCTGTGAGGACAGATGCACTCTAGGGCAAAGAATGGACCAGGACTGGGGGCAGGACTCCATGCCTGGCACTGCCCCAGAACACGATCCCCACATGCTGTTGTATGTCTTTGAGGGCCCAAGAAGCATGAGAATGATGCTGAAACATTTGCTCAGTCAAAGCAGGCTTCTGGCAAGAAGAGATGAGCACTGAACATATCCACCAGCTGAGGGCTGGGGAGAAAGATGGCTGTTGAGATGAGAGGAAGGAGTGATTCTGGGGGAATGTTGAAGCCAATGCAGACATTCTCTGGCCATGTGGCCTTGGGAAGATAATTTAGCTTTCTGAGTTTCAGTTTCATTTTCTATGGATAATGGGCATAATAAAAGTGCCTACCTCATAGGATGGTTGTGAGGATTAAATGAGTTCATATAAGTAATGTGCTCAGAGCAGTGATGGCATGCAGTTAGCTCTGTCTCCTCTAGTTAGTTAGAGGACAATGATGACGGTGGTGGTGACGATGCTGATGCTGATGATGGTAATAGAGATTATGTCACTTTCCTAGAACTGCCCTAACAAAGTTCCACAAACTGGATGGCTTAAACAACAGAAATTTATTGTCTCGGCCAGGCGTGGTGGCTCACGCCTGTAATCCCATCACTTTGGGAGGCCAAGGCAGGCAGATTACCTGAGGTCAGGAGTTTGAGACCAGCCTGGCCAACATGGCAAAACCCTGTCTCTACTAAAAATGCAAGAATTAGCCAGGTGTGGTGCGGGTGACTGTAATCCCAGCTACTTGGGAGGCTGAGGCAGGAGAATCGTTTGAACCTGGGAGGAGGAGGTTGCAGTGAGCTGAGATTGCACTACTGCACTCCAGCCTGGGCAACAAAGCAAGACTTTGTCTCCAAAAAAAGAAAAAAAAATTATTGTCTCACAGTTCTGGAGGCTAGACATCCGAGATCAAGTTGTCAGAAGGGTTGATTTCTTCTGATGATTATGAGGAAGAATCTGTTTGATGCCTCTCTCCCTGCTTCTGGTAATTTGCTGGCAATCTTTGGCTTGTAGACTGCTATGGTTTGAATGTTCCCTCCAAAACTCATATTGAAACTTAATCCCCAATGTGGCAGTGTTGAGTGGTGAGGCCTTTAAGAGGTGATTGGGTCATGAAGGCTCTGTCCTCATAATTTGTGGATTAATGGATTAAGGGGCTAATGGGTTATTATGGGAGGGGACTGGTGGCTTTATAAGAAGAGGAAGAGAGACCTGTCAACTTAAAAATGACAAATCTATAAATGTAGAAAGAAGAGCTCTCAATCTTTTTTTTTTTTCCTGAGACAGAATCTCCCTCTGTCGCCCAGGCTGGAGTGCAGTGGCGTGATCTTGGCTCACTGCAACCTCCACCTCCCAGGTTCAAGCAATTCTCTTGCCTCAGCCTCCCAAGTAGCTGGGACTGCAGGCGTGCGCCACGACACCCAGCTATTTTTTATATCTTTAGTAGAGACGAGTTTTGCCATGTTGGCCAGGCTGGTCTCGAACTCCTGACTTCAAGTGAGGATGGTAATAGAGATTATGTCACTTTCCTAGAACTGCCCTAACAAAGTTCCACAAACTGGATGGCTTAAACAACAGAAATTTATTGTCTCGGCCAGGTGCGGTGGCTCACGCCTGTAATCCCATCACTTTGGGAGGCCAAGGCAGGCAGATTACCTGAGGTCAGGAGTTTGAGACCAGCCTGGCCAACATGGCGAAACCCTGTCTCTACTAAAAATGCAAGAATTAGCCAGGTGTGGTGGCTTGGTCTCTCAAAGTGCTGGGATTACAGGCATAAGCCTGGCCAGAAGAGCTCTCAATCTTATAAAGGGTTATGGTTTGCAAGGTGGCCATTCTGACAGGCTGAGAAGTGCAGCCTCTGGCAGAGTACATTAGCAGGCACTTGGAGGTTGTGGAGGGTGGGACAGGGATTTCTACTGAATGGGTTGGCCAAGTATACATATTCAACAGGTTGTAGGAGGAGCTATAAATATTCATGAAAGGTGGATGCACACATGAACAAATATGCATATTACATGTATCTTATGTTCGCTTTTGGGTGGAGGCTTAACATTTAAATATATTACAATTAGGCCCTATATGTCAAAAGGTGAAGCAGGAACACAAAGACAATTCAAGTGTGCAGCCTCTGTAAACCAGGCAGAACCAGTCCATGGTTGGTGGTCTTACCTGGAGAGTTACTGAAATCAGTCTCTTGTCCGATCAAAAGTGTAGTTATGGCTGGTGGAACAGGAGGCCAGTTAGTGTCTGGCAGTAGATGGTCTGCAAGAGGCCAGTTAGTTGGTGTCTGGCAGTAGATGGTCGGCAATTGTTTCAGTGTTGCTTATCTCCAGGCCAGGGCTTGTTTAGCTGCTAGAGAAAAAGGAAAACCTTGTGGCAGCTAGAACACAGTTTATTATTTAAGTATAGGGGTTGTGACTTAATTCATACCAGGCATGGCCTTAGGTCCTGTTCATACTCTGGTATCTTATTGCTATAGAGTCCATTCCATCAGGCTTACGATCTCTGTTTTGACATTAATGCTGGTCAGTTGTGTCTAAACCACAAAAGAGAGGGGGTATAACAGGGCATATCTGACCTCCTGTTCTATCATGACTGGGAACTCAGTTTTTAAGGTTTCTCTGGGGTCCTCTTGGCCAAGGGTGTCAGCTTAGTTGGTTGGGAGGCTTAGGACTTTATTTTTAGTTCTCAGACCTGAGCCAGAAGGTCAGCATGCTCAGCAATCTTGCCATGCAATGACCTGCACTGCCTCAGGATCCCGCAGAGAGTCCCCTCTAGCAAGAAGGATATCACCAGTGCAGCCCCTCAACCTTAGACTTTTCAGCCTCCATAACTGTAAGAAATACATTCCTTTTCTTTATAAATTCCCCAGTTTCAAGTATTCTGTTATAAGCAACAGAAAGCCGACTAAGACACAGACCCATCACCTTGATCTCTGCCTTCATGATCATATGGCATTCTCCCTGTATGTGTCTCTCTTTGTGTCCAAATTTCCCTTGTTTTATGAGGACAGAAGTCATACTGAATTAGGGCCCACTCTCATGACCTCATCTTCACTTGATTCTGCAAAGACCCTATTTCCAAATACAGGTCACATTCTGAGGTACTGGGAGTTGGGACTTAAACATCTTTTGGAGGGACACAATTCAACCAATAATAGTGATGATGATGGTGGTGATGGTGATGATGATGTTGATGCTGGTGATATTGGAGGAGAGGGAGAAGAAAGACACTATTTGAGATAGAATTTCATACTTTACTTTGAATCCTCTTATTTCCAAGGTGGAAGACCCTCAGGGACCTTCTACCTGGAATGCTCCCAGTAGCACTATCATTTTTCAGTTTGTTACCCCTCCTTTCCCTCCTCCAAGTTGAGCTTCAATGTTACATCCTCAGAGAGGCCATCTATGACCACCCCATCTAAAGTGGCTTCCTACATTCTTCTGTCTACAGCCCCTACACAGTCCTCTTCATAACCACAATACACATCAATTTGTTGGTTTACAGGTGTGATATCTGTCCTTTCCATTAGACTCTGCCATGAAGGTAAGGATCTTGTCTGTTTTGCTCACCAAAGTGTATCCAGCCATTAGCACTGTGGGTGGCATAGGGTAGAGGCTTAATACATATCTGTTAAATTAATGAATGAGAGAATTAACAAGAAAACAAATGAGACTACAAGTGCCTTGTGAGTAGGCAATACTCATGTCTTTCCTTTTTCTTGCCTCTGTCTGCCTGAAAGCGGGCTCCTCCACCCTGCCATGACTGGGTGACTTTGGGCTTGTGGTTCCCTATTCTCTGTTTTGAGCCCCCGCTCCAAATCTAAGACAGAGGTTCACATGGTGTGGGAAGATCAGCCAGGAAGGCAGGAAGAAGTTGTTTCAGCCAGGAGTGCTGTATCGATATTCCCAAGGCTTGGAGCAAGCAAAGCATGAGGCTATGTTTTTTTATACGTCTCTGTATAAACAGACAGCAGGGGAGCACTCAACTGTGACAGACGATAAGACATAATGTGTCATAAGTCAGCTTTCATCCCAGCTGAGCCCGTGTTTAGTATTTTCTCAGGTGCGGCTCTTCCCTTGCCCCAGCATAGATTACATCATCACCTGTTGCCCTGGGGGAGAAGGGGTTAATCTGGAGGATGGAAAATAAATAAGCACACAGTCCATGGCAACACTGCCACTCCCACACTCAGAACACCCTCTCGGAGCAATGACCCCGTGCTACAAAACGTATTACAACAATCTCCTCTTTACCTTCTATGCAGTTTGCAAAGCATTTGGGTACACTGCTTTATTATTTTCCTAATAATTTATTTTGAAATCTTTTAAAATTTACAGAAACATTGCCAGAACAGTACAAAGAATTCCCTTATCCCCCTCACCCTGTTTCTTGAACATTTCATCACATCTGCTTCATCATCCTCTCTTTTATATACACCAAGTCATCTTTTTCTTTTTCTTTGCAATTTATTGATGGTGTTATTTTCTTTTTTTATTTCTTCTAAAAAGAACAAAAAACAAAAACAGGATATATGTGCAGAATGTGCAAGTTTGTTACATAGGTATTGACCCATCCTCTAAGTTCCCTCCCCTCACCTACCACCCCCCAGCAGGGACTGGTGTGTGTCATTCCCCTCTCTGTGTCCATGTATTCTCAATATTCAACTGCCACTTATGAGTGAGAACATGCGGTGTTTGGTTTTCTGTTCCTGTATTAGTTTGCTGAGGATGATGGTTCCTGTGTCAGTTTGCTGATCAGATGGTTGTAGATGTGTGGTGTTATTTCTGAGGTCTCTGTTCTGCTCTATTGGTCTATGTGTCTGTTTTGGTACAAGTGCCATGCTGTTTTGGTTATTGTAGACTTGTAGTACAGTTTGAAGTTAGGTAGCGTGATGCCTCCAGCTTAGTTCTTTTTGCTTAGGATTGTCTTGGCTATATGGGATCTTCTTTGATTCCATATGAAATTTAAAATAGTTTTTTTCTGGTTCTGTGAAGAATGCCAATGGTAGTTTGATGGGAATAGCACTGAATCTATAAATTACTTTGGGCAGTATGGCCATTTTCACGATATTGATTCTTCCTATCCATGAGGATGGAATGTTTTCCCGTTTGTTTGTGTCCTCTCTTATTTCCTTGAGCAGTAGTTTGTAGTTCTCCTTGAAAAGGTCCTGCACATTACTTGCTAGCTGCATTCCTAGGTATTTTATTCTCTTTGTAGAGATTGCAAATGGGAGTTCATTCATGATTTAGCTCTCTGTTTGCCTATTGTTGGTGTAAAGGAATGCTTGTGATTTTTGCACATTGATTTTGTATCCTGAGACTTTGCCGAAGTTGCTTATCAGTTCAAGAAGTTTTGGGGCTGAGATGATGGGTTTTTCTAAATATAAAATCTTGTTGTCTGCAAACTTTGTTGTCTTTCTTGCAAAATCTTGTTGTCTTCCTTGCAAAAGAGAGGAAGACAACTTGACTTCCTCGCTTCCTATTTGAATACGCTTTATTTCTTTCTCTTGCCTGATTGTCCTGGCCAGAACTTCCAATACTATGTTGAATAGCAGTGCTGAGAGAGAGCATCCTTGTTTTGTACCTGTTTTCAAAGGGAATGCTTCTAGCTTTTGCCCATTCAATATGATACTGGTTGTGGGTTTGCCATAAATAGTTCTTATTATTTTGAGGTATGTTCCATCAATACCTAGTTTATTGAGAGTTTTTAACATGAAGGGATATTGAATTTTATCAAAGGCCTTTTCTGTGTCCATTGAGATAATCATGTGGTTTTTGTCTTTAGCTCTATTTATGTGATAGATTACGTTTATTGATTTGCGTATGTTGAACCAGCCTTGCACCCTGATTCTGGAACATTTCACCACATCTACTTTATCATCCTCTCTTTTTATATACGCCCATTCATCTTTTTCTTTTCTTTTTTTTTTTTGTCTGAGGCAGTGCCTTACTCTATCACCCAGGCTGGAGTGCATTGGTGCAATTGTAGCTTACTGCAATCTTGAACTCCTGGGCTCAAGTGATATTCCAGCCTCAGCCTCCTGAGTAGCCGAGACTATAGGCATGTGCCACCATGACTGAATAATTTTTAAAATTCTTTGTGTGTGTGTATGGGGGTGGTTTTCACGATGTTGCCCAGGCTGGTCTTGAACCCCTGGCCTCAACAAATCTTCCTGCTTCCATTTCCCTATGGGCTGGAAGTACAGGCATGAGCCACTGCGCTTGGCCTTTCCATTCATCTTTTTCTGAATTTGAGATGCAGACATGATGCCCATCAATATAAGAATAATCACCTACCTAAATTCTTCATCAGCTCTTCAAATTAGGGAATTGACCTTGGCACAGGAAACCATTCAATCTACAGATCCTGTTCAAGTGTTGCACATTGTCCTAAGAATGTCCATTTTACGGGGGGTGGTGGGGGAGGGGAGAAGTCCAGGAGGGAATCCAGGACCATGCATTACATTTAGTTGTCATGTGTCACCCATCTTCTTCAATCTACAACAGTTTCTTCGTCTTTCCCTGCATTTTGTATCCTTAGCAGTCTTAAAAAGGTCAGGCCTTTTATTCCATTGGATGACCTTCAACTTGAGTTCCTTTGGTGTTTCCTCATGACCAGACGCAGGCCATACATGCAGTTTTGACAATAAATACCACAGAAATGTTTCTGGACCTTTGTCCCTTGGTCAAGTTGGTGTCTTCCAGGCTTCTCCACCAGAGTCCCCATCTCCCTTTTGTAATTAATAAGTATTTTGTGGAGAGATAATGTGAGATTATGCCAATATGCCAATCCTCTTCAAACCTCTGTGCACCAGCTTTGACATCTGTTGACAACTCCCATCTGAATCAAACACCAGTATGGTGGTTGCCAGTGGTGATTTTTCTATTTCTATAGTTCCTTCTACCATTTAGTAGTTGGCATTCTACTATAAGAAAAAACCTTCCTTTCTCTCCCAGTTGTTTGTTTGTTTATATCAGGATGGACTCATGGATTCCTATTTTACGTAGGTGGTTGAAATCTGTTAATATTATTGTTTATTTTGGTGGTCAAATTGTCCCAGAATGGGCCAAACCGACCCCCTTCAAGCTGGCCCCTTGTGTCCTTTGACTTGTCCCCATCATTCTTGGAGCGTTTTCTTACTTTCTGGCATGATAAAATGTTCCAGGCTCTTTTGCACTTTCCTTGCTTCAGCCCTGGAATAGGGAGCCCTGGTTCCTTTTTGTGAAGAGTGATGTTTAGAAACCAAGATCTGAGAGCTTGGTGTGCTTGTGGTTATTGGGGTGACATTACTTCTAGGCCCTCTCAAAGATTAGAGCTAGGATACACACACATACACACATACATACACAACCAATTTCCATCATTTGCTAATTCAGTGGCAACACGAATTGGCAAATACTGACACATTGCTCCTAGGACAAGTACAGGGTTAGGTTCCATGAGCCTCTCTGGTCACAACATTTTCATCAAACAACCAATACAGAACCTCATTTTATGTGTGTTTCGGTTTGAAGACAGCTCATTTAATATACATGGTTGATTCATGAACATCGAACTCATGGCCACCAGCACTATAACTTCTACTGGAACAAAGCTTATCTACCATGTATATTCTTTCACCACGAACACATCACAGCCTTCTTGTGCTTAGGCAATCTAAACAGTTCTGCAGCAGTGTAGTTGAGGTCTATTTTCAACAGCAAAAGCACCAAGGAAAAGTACAAAAATGAAAAAATATGACACCAAATAGACCACAAAAAGGACACTTGTTTACAGTAAAGCACTGAAATGAGAAGGCAGAGTGTCGCCTTGTTCAACCTCAGCTGGGGCCACATGTACACCAGGCAACTCATATTTTCCCCTGCTTTGTACATGTGCAAGAATGACTGCAAAAGTGCCATGGGTATTGATTTTGCAGTTACAGATAAATTTTAGCAACAGGGCAAATTTATATATACAGAATCCCTGAATAATGAAGATCAATTGGCCGGGCACAGTGGCTCATGCCTGTAATCTCAGAACTTTGGGAGGCTGAAGCGGGCAGATCACCTGAGGTCAGGAGTTTGAGACCAGCCTGGCCAACACGGTGAAACCCTGTCTCTACTAAAAATACAAAAACTAGCTGGGCGTGGTAGTGCATGCCTGTAATCCCAGCTACTCGGGAAGCTGAGGCAGAAGAATCACTTGAACTTGGGAGGTGGAGGTTGCAGTGAGCTGAGATCATGCCACGGCACTTCAGTCTGGGCAGCAGAGTGAGACTCTGTCTTAAAAAAAAAAAGATTAACTATACATAGATACACATACATTATACATACACAACACACAGATATCTATAGCTATTTTAAAGTCTAAGTATAATTTAAAATCATGAGTTCGGCTGGGCGCAGTGGCTCAAGCCTGTAATCCCAGCACTTTGGGAGGCCGAGGTGGGCAGATCACGAGGTCAAGAGATTGAGACCACTCTTGGGCAACATGGTGAAACCCTGTCTCTACTAAAAACACAAAAATTAGCTGGGCATGGTGGTGTGCGCCCGTAGTCCCAGCTACTCGGGAGGCTGAGGCAGGAGAATGGCTTGAACCCGGGAGGCGGAGGTTGCAGTGAGCTGAGATCATGCCACTGCCCTCCAGCCTGGCGACAGAGCGAGACTTCGTCTCAAAAATAAAAAACAAAAAAGAATTATTAAAAAAAAAAGTTTGTGCCAATACTTCTGATTCCAGTCCCAAACCTCAAAGTTTTTTCCAGCCTTCCTCCTTTCCCAGTAACCATCATTGCTCCCAGGACAGTGAGTAAAGCGGCCCTCTGACAGTGGGAAACTTAGCTCCCATCATCCTCAATATAGTTACTTATTTGCTCCCCTCTGCCTGCAGCCTCTGGGCTGTGTCTTCAACAGTGCTTCTGGGTGGCCCCTATCCTACTACCCTCCCTGCCTCACTTCCTGGACTGCCTGTTGTGCTGACACTTGCAGCTAAGAGATGAAGGGGCCAGGGAGGGGGAGGAAGGGAAGCTCAGGTACACTGTTAATCTCATACTGGGCTTAGTTAGTCAGGGTATGTATTCTTTACCCATTTTATAGATGAGGCTCAAAGCGGTTGAGCATCTTGCCTGACAATGACAGTGAGTAACCCCAAGAGCAGAGGGAATCAGATGTGTTGGGTCTTTGAGCAGTGCTTCTCAATCCAGTCAGCACATTAGAATCCACTGGGGAGCTTTTCAGAAAGATTAATGCTCAAGCCTCACTTCCCAGGAAATTAGAAGGAAATCTCTGGAGTTGGGATGCTGGCAGTGTGTTTTTTAAAAGCTCTCTGGGGGCATCTCAGTGTGTAGCCAGGGTTGAGAGCCATTGCTTTTTTTTTTTTTTTTTTTTTTTTTTGAAGAGTCTTACTCTGTCACCAGGCTGTAGTGCAGCGGTGTGATCTCGGCTCACTGCAACCTCCAACTCCCTGGTTCAAGTGATTCTCCTGCCTCAGCCTCCTGAGTAGCTGGCATTACAGGCACGCACCACCATGCCCAGCTAATTTTTGTATTTTTGGTGGAGACGGGGTTTCACCTTATTGCCCAGGATGGTCTTGATCTCCTGACCTCGTGATCCACCCGTGACCTTGTGACTCACCTCCACCTCCCAAAGTTCTGGGATTACAGGCGTGAGCCACTGCACCCTGCGAGAGCCACTGCTTTAGGGCCACATAACTTCAGATCAAATCTCCACTGTTCGGCCTATGAGCTGTGCCATCTTGAGTAAACCTCTACCCCTGGATGAGCCTCAGTTTATCCATCTGTAAAATGGAATTAATATTACCTACCTCAAGTGTTGAATCTTTGCCTGCAGTACTATTTTTTTTTTTTTTGAGACAGAGTCTCACTCTGTCTTGCAGGCTGGAGTGCAATGGCACAATCTTGGCTCACTGCAACCTCCGCCTCCCAAGTTCAAGCGATTTTCCTGCCTCCGCCTCCCGAGTAGCTTGGATTACAAGTGCCTGCCACCATGCCTGGCTAATTTTTTGTATTTTTAGTAGAGGTGGGGTTTTGCCATGTTGGCCAAGCTGGTCTCGAACTCCTGACTTCAGGTGATCCACCCACCTTGGTCTCCCAAAGTGCCGGGATTACAGGTGTGAGCCACCATGTTCGGCCACCTGCAGTAATTTTGTATCATGAATATCATTGACCTCTCTCTCACTCATCCAGCAAACTCTTGATTCTTATGACTCTCCCCTTACTCTCCACCTGGTCCAGGGGAGGCCATCAGACTCCCGCCTTCTGGGGTTCTTGTCACTCCCACACAACCTTCCATCACCATGCTTTTCCTTCTCCTCTTGCACCACATTTTCCCAGACTTTTTTCAAATGTTACCCCCTTCAAGAGGCCTTCCTAAATTGGCTGAGCCCTCACTATCTCCTGCTCCTGAGCCACATTAAAAAAAAAAAAAAATAGAGACAGGGTCTTGCTGTGTCACTCAGGATGGAGTACAGTAGCACAATCATAGCTCACTGCAGCCTTGAACTCCTGGCTCCAGTGATCCTCCCACCTCAGCTTCCCTAGTAGCTAGGACTACCTTGCCAGCACAAGCCACCTCACCTGGCTTCAATATTTAATATTATAGTCCATATTTAAATCAATATCAAATATTCAGTATTTAATATTATAGTCATAATATTGTATAACCATCATGATTATTTCCAAAAATTTCCATCATCCCAAACAGAAACTCTGTATTCACTAAGCAATAACTCCCATTGCCCCGGAAACCTCCTAACTACTTTCTATCTGTGTTAACTTGACTATTCCAGATATTTCATATGAGTGGAATCATACGGTATTTGTCTTTTCCTCTCTGATTTCCTCCACTTAGCATGTTTTCAAGGTTCACCTGAGTTGTGGCATGTATCACAACATTATTCCTTTTTATGGCTGAATGATATTCTATAATATTTATACACCACGTTTTGTTTATCCATTTACTTGTCTGTGGACACGTGGGTTGCTTCCACCTCTCGGCTATTGTGAATCATGCTGCTATGAATATCCGTGAGCAAATGTATGAGTTTCTGCTTTGGGCTATGCTTTTAAAGATAGTCCTGGCTGGGCACAGTGGCTCACGCCTGTAATCCCAGCACTTTGGGAGGCCGAGGCGGGTGGATCTCCTGAGGTCAGGAGTTCGAGACCAGCCTGGCCAACATGGTGAAACCCTATCTCTACTAAAAAAATACAAAAAGTTATCCGGGCGTGGTGGCAGGTGCCTGTAATCCCAGCTACTTGAGAGGCTGAGGCAGGAGAATGGCGCGAACCCAGGAGGCGGAGCTTGTAGTGAGCTGAGATCGTGTCACCGCACTCCAGCCTGGGTGACAGAGCAAGACTCCGTCTCGGAAAAAAAAAAAAAAAGATAGTCCTAAATTGAGTTACTCTGGTTTTAGATGATTTTTTGTTTAAATTAGATGTTCCAAGCCAAAGGCTTTATCTTCTATGTCGCTCATGCCCCTGAATGCTGTCGCTGCCCAGCATCCAGCGGGCCCCTGTGATTGTTCAGTAAATGACACTGACTGACATAATTTGGAGTACACCATTTAGGCAGTGAGGGAACGTTGATGTGTTCATCACAAGTCATGTCCAGAGTCATCTCTGACAACCAGGTCTTTTGCAGCCCTGTTTCTGGGTTGAGGGAGCTCAGCGGGAGGTGGAAAAAGGCAATCTGAAGCCCCAGGATTAGCATCTCCACCCAATTTTTTTCTTACTTTTCTTTTCTAAAACAGTGTCTTACTCTGTTGCCCAGGACTGCAGTAGTGCAATCAGGAATCACTGCAGCCTTGAACCCCTGGGCTCAAGCAATCTTCCCTCCTCACTGTCCTGAGTAGCTGGACTACAGACATGCACCACCATGCCTAGCTAATGTATTTTTTATTCTGTGGAGATGGGTAGCTAGAACCACAGACACGCACCATCATATCCTGCTAATTTTTAAATCTTTTGTGGAGATGAGGTCTCTCGATGCTGCCCAGGAAGTCTCAAACTCCTGGCCTCAAGAGATCCTCTCACCTTAGGCTTTTGAAGTGCTGGGATTATAGGCATGAGCCTCTGCACCTGCCCACCTCCCTCTCCCAATCCTGATTTAACTTCTCAGTAAAAGAGAGATATTCTAGGTTTTTTTAATCAAGGCTCTTACCTTGAAACTTGAGCTCTGTCTAGTCTGGTCTTAAGTTGGCCATCTTCTCAATGCCCTCTGCATCTTCTCACCTGTTAAGCTGGGCCACATCTTGGTAATTGTTCCTGTAGTGCTCCCTTCCCAGAATTCCCTTTCTCCCCTTCTCCTCTCTGGCTATCTGCTACTCATTCATCAAGGCTTCCTCCAGGAAGCCTTCCTGGACTCTGTATTCTGCATAGCTACAGCATTTTGTACTTATTCTATTTTCAGCATAGGTTTATAGTTGCTGGTTCATTTCCTGGCTCCCCTGGCCCCCACCTACCACCCCATACTGGGCATTACAAAGGTCTTTCTTAGTCTAATCTGTAGTCCACTGCCCAGCATTCAGCAGGTTGTTGATATCTGTGGGATAAATGAATATGAATGTGAGAGATCTCTGCATTTGATGTCTAGCTGTTTTATTTCATTTATTTTTAGTCAAGGTCATACATTCACATGATTCCAGAATAAGTCGCTCTCTCGCCCCTTCCTTAGCTACCTGCATCTCCTCTTTCACTCTGCTCTGCCTCTTCCCTCACTTCACAATACATCTTGAAGATAGTTCTTTCTTTGCATAAAGATTATTCCAGTTCTTTTATACAGCTGTATAACGTTCCACGGCTTGGAAATGCCAGCATTTCTTGAGCCAGTGATCTGCTGGTGGATATTCAGGTTGTTTCCAGCTATTTGCTAGTATCAGTGAGGCTTCCATCAATAACCTGGTACATATATCATTTTGTGTATATGTGATCTGTAGGATAAGTTCTCTCAGTGAATCTCTGGGTCGAAGAGGAGGTAAACTTGTAAATTTGGATGTGCTGGGTAATTGCTCTCCACAGAGGTTGCTAATTGCTGTTTAAGGATCTGGTTATTTGGAATGCTTGCCTACAGGACATTTGTCTGGAGACAGTTGAGTGACTCACAGGAAACCTGTGGTCCAGGATGTCCACAAGCAGCTTACAGGGTTGTCAGCAGCATCATTCTCACTATGACCACTGTCATCATCACCAAGAGCCCTTAAAAATATAGTCAGCAGCAGACAATCTGCCAGGCTTTACAGTAAACAGAATGATTCCTGTCCTCAGGGAGCTTCTAGTCCAAGATGGCAATTGAAGCTCCCGGCAACACATCCAAGTGTAAGGGAGGAAGAAGGAGTATGGGAAACAGGGCAAGAGGATGCCTGCAAGCTCTGTCAGGATGCTTTAATGAATTTTCCCTGAAGCCCCCTCCATTCCCTGACCCACTGGCCACCATGCTCTTCCTCAAGACAGGGAGCCTGGGGAATGGCCTATTTGTTTTAAGCTGAGTATGTTGTCACTTCCAACAATACAACAGTGTCAAAAGGAAAGAAGACAAGACGAGGAGGGTAGAGGTGAGCTAGCAACCGCAGCTTCAGCATAGGGCTAAAGTTCTGTTGGCCCCCAAAGGAACTGGCTCAAATCCAGAGTGGACAGAAGACTTGGATTAACATTCCACCTGTGTAATACCCTACCCAGCTTCCAAATAGGGCTGGTGATGAAGCTGATGGTGATGAAGTGGGTGCTGCTGGTTTAAGGCAAGTGTTCCCAGTTGATAGCAACCCCATTTAGGAAACCCAGTGGCCTTTGTTGAGGACAGAGCCAGTGTTGGACATTGTTGGTCCTACTTGGATGCCCATTTCAATGAGTCAGTCGCACTGATTCTTACCACCTTCCACTTGTCACGCTAGATGCCATTGTTGACCTTCAGGAATCAATGGTTCCATGCCCAAAGAAGGAATCTGAGGTACAATGGGAAGGCAGAGACCTACGGAGTGGGCCTGGCAGGAGGTGGCAAAGGGATGTGTGTTCGGGGGAGTGTGGTGGTGGAAAGGAACGGGGTCAGATAGCTGCACACCCAGAAGAGTTTGGACCTTATAAAGGACTCAGGAAAGCCCCAATCCCATGCCCAGTCCCAACTGGCTGACCTTAATTAGGATGAAGGTGGGGAGAGAGGCTCTTGAATTCCTGGGGAGGACTCCTCCCCCTTGCTTGGAATGGCTCAGAGAAGGACTCTTGAGGCAGGGGGCTTGCTAGCCTACCCAGGCAGCCCCTTCCTGGCCTCTGAGGAACACAACAGAGGTGGGGGTGACTATGCATTTCTGGGGTTAAAGTCTCCATCTCCGCACTTCTTGCACTTAATACCATGCCCCACAACAATAATTGCTTCTTACTGCCATCCCCAATGCTTAAACATTTACCAGAGCCCTGGCGGTCAAGGTGGTTTTCCAGGGGCTTTGGCCCCATCAGGCACTGATGATTGCTGAGCGTCACTCAGTAGTCCATAGAGCAGAATTGCTGATGTTGACTTCAGTGCCCTCTGCCCAGCCCTCTCTCCCAGTCTACTGCTAGGCCCCCACCCCCACAACCCTTCAGCCTTGACCTACCTCCCAGACTCCATCCACCTCTGCTCTGAGCCACTTTTATCATAAAAGCCCCAGGTTTGTCCTCAGAATACAATAGGGATGGGGAGGTCTGAATGACAGGGTATGGAGAGCCGCAGATCTGGGTGTGACCCTAAGCAAGGACTGGAAACTTCTCTGGGCCTCAATGTCCTTGTCTGTCAAGTGGGAAGAACTAGATGGAAAGATAGATGGTGCTATAGATAGATAGATAGATGCTAGATGTTTTGCAAGGCTCATGTGAGATCACAAGTATTTATAAATCGTTGAAGACATAGGGAATATTTATAAGAAAATGTTTAACTTTTGCCTGGTTTTCTTCAGGGATCAGCATTTGGGCAGCTCCAGACACTAAGGGTAAATATCACTGGCTGTTGAATCTTGGAAGCCAAGAATATCAGAGCTTAGTGTTTCTCAGTTTTTAAAAAGTTGCTGATAATTTTAATGCTAATGTATAAAGTTGGGAATTGTAATGTATTGTTAAAGCTTATATTAATATTATAGAGTTCATATTAATTAAACATCTATAATGTATAAAGACTAATTTTGAGTTTTTCAAATATAACATCTACTTATTACTTAAGGAAAAACATGATTTGTTGGACCAATTCAAAATGACAGCTATATCATATTTAGATTAGGGATTGAATGTATTTATTACAAGAGTGGATTGAGGCCAGGCACAGTGGCTCATGCCTGTAATCCTAGCGCTTTGGGAGGCGAAAGCAGGAGGATCTATTCAGGCCAGGAGTTTGAGACCAGCCTGAGCATCATAGCAAGACCCCATTTCTATTTAAAGAAAAAAAAAAAGGCGATGTGATGGTGTGCCTGTAGCCCTAGCTACTCAGGAGGCTGAGGCTGGAGGATTGCTTGAGCCCAGGAGTTGGAGGTTGCAGTGAGCTATGATTGTGCCACTGCACTCCAGTTCCAGGTGACAAGGGTGAAACCCTGTCTCTAAAGAAAATAATAATAATAATAAAAGAGTGGATTGATACTATTTGACGTATTAGAACATCAAGAATTGGCAAAAACTATTTCAGGATGTGATATGTGGAATACTTGCATGTCACATCAAGAAAACCAGCTGGTTCATTGTCATACATTTCAAGTCTGGCTTCCACATAATGGGAGAGAAGGTTTCAGGCTGCTTTTTCTAAGTATGTCTCCACTCTTAACACATTGTGGCTGTATATTTCCAATAAAGGCAAAGCTTAATTGGAAAAAATCAGCCCTTTCTTATTTCATTTTAACATTATTTTTAAGAACCCAAGATGCCTTGGCATGCTTTAAAACAATTTTGATCAGATAAATAGAAATTATGGACCTATAATGATCCCGTTGAAGCAAGTTGCGAAACTCTTCCTTGGGTTGTTATACTTGTATTTGTCCTAACTTCCCGTTCCTAACCAACCGCCTATTTCTGTCTCTTGTGGGTAGACAGAAAATAATAAATGACAATATCTAAAAATGATTTAAAGTTTCTTAATGATCAAAAAACACACATCAACTGTTGCATGTAGTTGAGTAGGAAAGCTGTCGGTAAATCTGAGTCACCAGGACCAAGGCAGACACTCTCAGTAACCACTCACTTTTGCTCTAGAGGGAAGCTTTTCAGACCTGTTTAATTTGCTTTTGAATAGCTAACAGGGTTAGGTGGTTTCAAATGCAAAAACCACAAGAGCAAAGTAGAATTGCTGGGTCAAAGTGAATGCTCATTTAGAATTTCTGCAATGGTTGCCAAACTGTTCTCCAGAGGGTTTGTTCCAATTTACATGCTCAGCAGAAAGATCTGAGTGCTGCTTCAACAAATCTTTGCCAACTCAGTGTACTGACAGACATTTGATCTTTGCCAATCTGATAGGTGAACATGGTAAGTCAGTGCTAGTTTAAATATGCAATTCTCTTATTGCAGGTGAGGTTGGGCATCTTTTCAAGTGTATAAAAGTCACCTGAGGCCAGCGCGGTGGCTCACGCCTGTAATCCCAGCACTTTGGGAGGCCGAGGTGGGTGGATCACGAGGTCAGGAGATCGAGACCATCCTGGCTAACACGGTGAAACCCCGTCTCTACTAAAAATACAAAAAATTAGCCGGGCATGGTGGCGGGCGCCTGTAGTCCCAGCTGCTTGGGAGGCTGAGGCAGGAGAATGGCGTGAACCCGGGAGGCGGAGCTTGCAGTGAGCCGAGATCGCACCACTGCACTCCAGCTGGGGCCACAGAGCGAGACTCCGTCTCAAAAAAAAAAAAAAAAGTCACTTGAATTTCTTTTTTCTGTGAATTGTCTGTTCATGTCTCTGGCTCATTTTTTTCTATTGAGGGTTCTAGGTCTTTTCCTTATTGATTTGTAGGAGCTTTTTATATATGAGAGAAATTGACTGTATATTTATGATATTAGTCACAAATACTTTTCTAAGTTTGTTGTTTGTCTTTTGGTTTTGTTGATAATATTTTTTTGCCACGTAGAAATTAAAAAAAATGTGTTTGGAGCTGAATTGATCAAGCTTCTATTTTATGGCTTCCAGGTTTAATGCCATACTTAGAAAGGCCTTCAGGGTGAGAAAAGTAATTATAGTCATGGGCCACATGACAGCATTTAGATCAACAATGGAGCAGATATATGATGGTGGTCCCATAAGATTATAATGGAGCTGAAACGTTCCTATCACCTAGTGATTTCGTAGCTGTCTTAACATTATAGCATGGTGCGTTACTCACAAGTTTGTGGTGATGCTGCTGTAAACAGACCTGCATTGCCAATCATGTGAAAGTATAGCACATGCAGGCCAGGCGCGGTGGCTCACGCATGTAATCCCAGCACTTTGGGAGGCTGAGGCGGGCGGATCACAAGGCCAGGACTTCGAGACCAGCCTGGCCAACATGGTGAAACCCCGTCTCTACTAAAAATACAAAAAAACTGGCTGGGCGTGGTGGTGCACACCTATAATCCCAGCTATTAGGGAGGCTGAGGCAGGAGAATCACTGGAACTTGGGGGAGGTGGAGGTTTCAGTGAGCCAAGATCATGCCATTGCACTCCAGCCCAGGCAACAGTGTGAGACTCCGTCTCAAAAAAAAAAGGAAAGAAAGTATAGCACATGCAACTATTTACAGTGCATCATACTTCATAACGATAATAAATGACTATTATTACTTGTTTATGCATTTATTATCCTATACTTTTTAAACCATTCTTTTCTTTTAAAAATTATTTATTTATTTATGTATTTTAAGAGATGGGGTCTTACTATGTTGTCCAGGCTGGATTTGAATTCCTGAACTCAAGTGATCCTCCCACCTCAGCCTCTTGAGTAGCTAGAACTGCAGGCACAGACCACCATGCCTGGCTTTTTGCTGTTATTTTAGAGTGTGCTTCTTCTCCTTATACCCACACACACACACACACATATATATATATGATATATATGTAAAAGTTAATGTGTAAAACAGCCTCAGGCAGGTCTTTCAAGATGTATTCCTGAAGAAGGTATTGTTACAGTAGATGACAGCTCCGGGCTGTTATTGCCTCTGAAGACCTTCCAGTGGGACAAGAGGTGGAGGTAGAAGAGGATGATATTGATCATCCTGACCGTGTGAGACCTAGGCTAATGTGTATGTTTGTGTCTTTAGTTTTTAACAAATAGTTTAAAAAGTTAAAGGAAAACTTTTATGTATGTATTTATTTATTTATTTTTGAGACAGGGTCTCGCTCTCTCACCCAGGCTGGAGTGCAGTGGTGCGATCTTGGCTCACTGCAACCTCCGCCTCCCGGGTTCAAGAGATTCTCATGTCTCAGCCTCCCGAGTAGCTGGGATTACAGGTGCCCACCACCACGCCCGGCTTACTTTTTTTGTATTTTTAGTAGAGACGGGGTTTCGCCATGCCGGCCAGGCTGGTCTCGAACTGCTGACTTCAAGTGATTCACCTGCCTTGGCCTCCCCAAGTGCTGGGATTACAGGCATGAGCCACCACTTCCAGCTGAAAAATTTTTAAATAGAAAAACAGCTTATGGAATAATAATATAAAGTTAGAAAATATTTTTGTATAGCTGTAATGTGTTTGTTTTAAGCTAAGTATTATTACAAAAGAGTTAAAAAGTTAAAAAAATTAAAAGTTTTTAAAGTAAAAAAGTTACAGTAAGTTAAGGGTAATTTATTGTGAAAGAAAGTTTTTAAAATAAATTTAGTGTAGCCTAAGTGTACAGTGTTTATAAAGTCTACAGTAGTATACAGTAAGTAATGCTCTAGGCCTTCACACTCACTCACCACTTACTCACTTACTCACCCAGAGCAACTTCCAGTCCTGCAAGCTGCATGCATGGTAAGTGCCCTAGACAGGTGTTTCATCTAAAAAAATCTTTTATACTGTATTTTTATTGCACTGTTTCTATGTTTAGATACACCAGTGCTTACCATTGTGTTACAATTGCCTACAGTATTTATTCAGTACAGCAATATGCTGTAAAGGTTTATAGCCTAGAAGCAACAGGCTATGCCATACAGCCGGGGTGTATAGCAGGCTATTCCATCTAGGTTTGTGTAACACTACATGATATGTTCACATAGTGACGAAATGGCCTAAAGATGAATTTCTCAGAACCTATCCCTGTTACATGACTGTATTTAATATATTAAAATTTTAAGAAACTGAAGTGGAAATGGACCCTATCATCTCCTTTAACTTGAAGCTCCTGGATAGGAAGACCTTGGAAGACCCTGGGTTTCCAAAAGACTTTGGTTGGTTTAAACTTATTTTCTTTTGGCCTCTCTGAGCCTGCATTCCTTCCTTCTGGGTATGGAGCAGGATTCTCTCTGGAATGGGGCTTTTATGACCTGTGGTCAAACAAGATAGGTCAGATAATGTCTTTATGACAAGTTTTTACACAGAAAGGTGGAAGGAAAGTGAGAGTAATATTTGTCAGTATTATGACTGGCTTTGGGGAAAAGGGGTTCTGGTTTCTATGACTCGCCTTGGGGAAGAGGGATTCTGGTTTCTACACCCAACCCCGGGTTGCGGGGAGAATGGGACTGAGAGGCAGACGGGCAGAGAAAAACATTTTGAACTAGAGTGGTTCAACCACTGCTTTGAACCAGAGTGCAGACTGAGACCCAGAGAGAGAAGGGCCACCCAGACCACCCACCTTCCCTCTGGGCCATCACTTTCTCTTCTCAAGGCAGCCCCAGGTGGAGTGGAAGCTCAAAACGGGCTACATTTCTGGGTACTGCACCCACTCCCTGACTGCTGCAAAAGACCAGGGAGAGGCTTCTCTTGGCTGCAAGAAGAAGCCAGATTCTCCTGGGAGCAGGGACTGTGCTCTGAGCCTCTGGGGGAAGGAGGTCAGCTAGATGGTGGATGATGGAGGAGCCTTTGAGGCCCCCTCTTCTTACCATTTCTCTAGGTTCAGCCCCTCCTGGAGCTGCTATGTCTCCATCAGAATGCCTGCCCTCAGTGCCCTCCTCCTTCCCATGAGCCCTGTCCTGAGGGCTGCTAACTTCTATTGTCACCTGCACTTTTTTTTTTTGTTTGTTTGAGATGGAGTCTCACTTTGTTGCCAGGCTGAAGCGCAGTGGTGCAATCTCAGCTCACAGCAACTTCCACCTCCCGGGTTCACACCATTCTCCTGCTTCAGCCTCCTGAGTAGTTGGGACCACAGGCACGCGCCACCACGCCTGGCTAATTTTTGTATCTTTAGTAGAGATGGAGTTTCACCATGTTGGCCAGGATGGTCTCGATCTCTCGACCTCGTGATCCACCCACCTTGGCCTCCCAAAGTGCTGGGATTACAGCCATGAGCCACCACGCATGGCCTGTCACCTGCACTTCTAAGAAGCAGTGCTCCTGTCTGCAAAGAGCTGGACTTACAGAGAAACTAAGCACGTTCCAGCTGTAGAGTCTGGCCCTCACCTGCATGGTCCTCCCATGGTCACATGTTTTTGGAAATGTGTGCATTTTGGATTATTTTTCTAAGAGTTATCCCTCAAATTGTTTGAGCTACCAACCCCACAGTCTACCACTGATCTCCAGTTAAGTAACTAAAATGGTGGGATTTCAGGCAAGCTAAAGGAAACGCTTCAGTTGGGAGAGGGGCCTGGCCCACAGTATGTGCTTTGGCAAATGGAAGAATGATTGAGTGGGTGAGTGAATGACTGGCCCCACCTCCGCCAGGTGTTAGGCTGCTACTGAGAACTGATCCTCAGCGCTTGGCAGTGACACTCTTCTTACTGCCATCTCTCTTCTCGGCCCTGCTCGAGGATGTGGCATTGAGGGAGGCAGATACAGCCAGATGGTGCTGGCTCTCTCCTCCAGGCCCAGCTCAGCAGTCACTTCCTTTTGGCCCCAGTTAGAGGTGCAGGTGGCCCCTCGTCATGGGGTGGCGGGTGGGGGGTGGGCAGGGGGTGGGCCAGGGACCCTTCTTTTTATCCCTCTAGACCTGGCCTGCCTGGGACCTGAGGTGGTGGTGGGGTGTCCTTGAGTGAGGAATATCCAACATTCTTAGGATCAGGGTGGTGTGTGTGTGAGGGGGGGGAATGGGATGGTGGATGTTTCTAGAAGGAACATAGAAGGGGACCAGTGCCCACAGCTTACCTATCCTCACCCCTTGCCTCCCCTGCCCTAACCATTAGGGTGGTGTCCTGCCTCTTTCCTTTCCTCTGTCACCCATACCCTGTAAACCCTTCCTAACTAGCAAGTCTTTCATCTTTCCGGATTATCTGCAGAGGATCTGGACGGCACCTTAGTTCCCCGTCTCCTTGGAATGTGTAGAAACTGTTAGCTCTGTGTTTATTCATCCACCCCTATTGTTCTGCCTCCTCTCTGTTCTCTCCAAAGCTCTGTCATTCCTGCTCCCCAACCCATGCTAAGAGCTCCTCCTTGGGGGAGGAATCTATGTAAAGGTTAAGAATGGAGGGGTGGGGTGGGGAGCATCATGCTCAGACAGGGATCTGAGGGTGAGTAGAAACTGGGGGTGCTGTTATAAATAGCCAGAGAAGGTATCTGAAAAGCCTATGGGTTTTTCTCTCCGCCTTCTTCTTTTTTCATTAAAAAAAAAAAATTATTAGGTTACATTTTAACATGCCTCAAAATTCCGAAGGTATAAAAGGCTACAGTAAAATGTATGTCCTCCCAGCCCTGTCCTTTCATCATCCAGTGTAGCTGCCTCTCCTCAAGCCCTCTGACCAGGCCCCCTGCACTGTGTAGGAAACAGGGGAAAGGGATGGATATATGTTTATGGAGACTTAGATTTTCTCTTCTATAAAAACAATGCTGTGGGCCTGGTGCGGTGGCTCATGCCTGTAATCTCAGCGCTTTGGGAGGCCGAGGTGGGTGGATCACCTGAGGTCAGGAGTTTGAGACCAGCCTGGCCAACATGGTGAAACCCCGTCTCTACTACAAATACAAAAATTAGCCGGGCGTGGTGGCAGGTGCCCGTAATCCCAGCTACTCAGGAGGCCGAGGCAGGAGAATCGCTTGAACCCAGGAGGCGGATGTTGCAGTGAGCTGAGATTGTGCCATTGCACTCCAGCCTGGGCAACAGAGTGAGACTTCATCTCCAAAAAACAAAACAAAACAAAACAAAACAAAAAAACAAAGCTGTGCAACCACTTGGGAAACTACTTGCCAATATCTTTAAAGCTGACCAAGTGTATACCCTATGATCCAGCAATTCCTTTCCTAGGTTGCTTTCCAACTGTTGGAGCTCAGAAAACAATACCCCTAAATGTAGGCCTCAGAAGAAGCCTCAGAAGCAAACGTTTTTCCCTGCCCACCCACTTCTCAGTTGCATTCTCCCTGACCAGTGTTGGGTGTAGAAACCAGAATCCCTCTTCCCCAAGGTGAATAATAGAAACCAGAACCCCTTTTCCCCAAAGCCAGCCATAATACCAACAAATATTACTCTCACTTTCCTTCCACCTTTGTGTGTGAAAACTTGTCATAAAGACATTATCTGACCTATCTTGTTTGACCATAGGTCATAGCAGCCCCATTCCAGAGAGAATCCTGCTCCATACACAGAAGGAAGGAATGCAGGCTCAAAGGCCAAGAAGAATCTAGACAGACAGGCCCTGCTGGGTTTCTCCATTCCATCTATGAGCATTAAAGCATACCCTTATTGTCCAACCGTATTTCCACACAGCTGTCCATAAAAACTTTGTTGAACCTAAGTATAAAAATGAATGATGTCCTTTGTATCTTTGGGTCTTCATTCTGAAGGCTGCTGTGTACACCTTAAATAAATGCGTATGCCTTTTCTCCAATTAATCTCCTTTTGTGAGTCCATTTCCATTGAATATTCAGAGGGAGAAAGGCAGGATTTCCCTTGGTTCTAACACAAGAGAAATGTGCATGTCTGCTCACCATAATATTGCTCAAGATGCTCCTAACAGTGCCATGTGTAAGAGTTAAACATTGGAAACAGCCAAAATACCCATCAATGGCAGAATGGATAAGTAAGTTATGGTATACTCTTATAATGGGATATTATACAGCAATGAAAATGAACTGTAACTGCTGTGTGCAACAATGTGAATGTGTCTCACAGACAGCTTGGTGAGTAAAAGGAGTCCAGTTCCAAAAAGGACATTCATGTGGTTCCATGTACATAACATTTAAACACAACAACAACGAATCAATAGTGTTAGGTGTCAGGGTAGCAGTCACTTTGCGGGGTGAGAAGGGGCAGTGGTGGGGGCAGCCAGCACAATGGTCTGTGAAGCCCTGTTGGTTCCTGCTTGGGCTCAGGACCCCAGAGGCCCTGCCTGTCCAGGGCCTATGGGGCCCTAGAGTTGAGGACCCACAGGAAAATGGGGATGGGGCATCCCAAGGCAGAGGGAGGGCATCATGTCTGAGGAACGTGATGAACCCCACGAGGGCTGCAGGGGCTGGACAGTCAGCCCCGCACTTGACCTAAGAAACAGGTGACCAGTGGGGTGGCGAGTAAAGCACAGGATGGATAGAGTCAGCGTCTTCCTGCTGAGTCCAGCAGACACCACCGTGCCTGCTCTGTGCCAGGCACAGATCTAGGTTCTTCAGGGATCTGAGATGAATAAGACTTGGTTACTGCCCTCCTGGAGCTCACAGTCTGGTGGGAGAAAGACGTGGCGGTGGCATATAGATAAATCTTTAGCATGCAACATGATGAAGGCCACTAGGGAGGTATGTGACTGTGTCATAAGAGCCCTGAGAAGGAAGCATTTGACACGAGCTTGGGGGATGACGCTTGAGAGCTGAATCTTGAAGGTCAACCAGGAGGTATGAGATCAGCAAAGGTGCTCTAGGAAGGTGGCACAGCATGTTCAAAGGCTCAGGGGTAGGAATGGACATGGCAGTTTGGGAACTGCATTTTCTCTGGAACATAAAATTTGTGCAAGAAAGTGAAAAAAAGCAAGGCAAGACATTTGAAGAAGACAGGGCCCTGAACCCTGAACACCCACTGAGAAGTTTGGACCAGAACAAATCTTTCTTTCTTTTCCTTTCTCTCTCTCTGTGTCTCTCCATTTCTCTGTCCTTCCCTCTCTTCCTCCCTCCCTCCCTTCCTTCTTCCCTTTCTTCCTTCCTGATTTCCTTTCCCGCCATAAAATCAATGCATACTCAGAGCAATAACTTTATTATTCATTTATGTTTATTATTTGAGCCAGAGTCTTGCTCTGTCACCCAGGCTGGAGTGCAGTGGCATGATCTCGACTCACTACAACCTCTGCCTCCCGGGCTCAAACAATTCTCCTGCCTCAGCTTCCCAAGTAGCTGGAACTACAGGCATGCACCACCACGCTCAGCTAATTTTCTGTATTTTTAGTAGATACGGGTTTTCACCATGTTGGCCAGGCTGGTCTCAAACTTCTGACCTTAGGTGATCCGCCTGCCTTGGCCTCCCAAAAGTGCGGGGATTACAGGCATGAGCCACCATGTCTGGCCTGCAATAACTTTAGAATATACAACCAAGGATGTAAACTGTGAAGACAAGACCTTTGCTAAGTTGCCATCATTTCCCCAGGGCCTGTTTTTGTGCCTGACATTTAATAGATGCTCAAAAACTATTTGTTGAAGACATGGGCACTGTGCTGCACCCTGTGGGTATAACGTGCGCAGCACAGATCGGTGACTGTCCCTCTTGGACTCACTATAATTAACTGGTAACAGTAACCTAGTAAATGCCATGGTAGAGAATTGGGGCAGACACCTAATCTTGGAGTGGGGGTTGGGAATCCAGGGAAGTCTTCCAGAGTGGGCAATGCATATGCTGAACCTGAAGGTCCTAGCAGGAATTAGTTGGGGCAAGAGTGTTCAGGCAGAGGGAAGAGTGCTCAGGCAGGACAGCCTGTGTATGTGTGAGAATATGGGGCTTTGTCTCAAGGACAATGGGGTTTAGGAAAAATAGTGCTGTGATACATTTTGACGCAAAGAGAATGAATCAGAGAGGGAAGGAAGATGGGAGACAGGCAGGCGAGAGAACATTAACACCAAGGGACAGAGAGGGGATCATGGTCCATCCAGGCTAGGGCAGAGGCCATGGGGACAGGTAAAGAACCAGATTTGTGGAGTCTTCCGGTCTTGGAGACTGATGGGCTGAGGGGAGAAGAAGATAAAGGGGACAATAGGATTCCCAGATCCTAGGCATTGGGGAACAGGTGAGTGGGATCATTATGTAAAGAACTATGCAAATGTTACCGCCACTTCTCTTTTTTTTTTTTGAGATGGAGTCTCGCTCTGTCACCCAGGCTGGAGAGCACTGGCATGATCTCTGCTCACTACAATCTCCACCTCTCAGATTCAAGCGATTCTTCTGCCTCAACCTCCTGAGTAACTGGGACTACAGGCGTGAGCCACCACATCTGGTTAATTTTTGTATTTTTAGTAGAGACGGGGTTTCACCATATTGGCCAGGCTGGTCTCGAACTCCTGACCTCGTGATCCGCCTGCCTCGGCCTCCCAAAGTGCTGGGATTACAGGTGTGAGCCACCTCGCCCAGCCCCCCCACCCTTTTTTTTTTTTTTTAATTGAGACAGAGTCTTACTCTGTCACCCAGGCTAGAGTGCAGTGGTGCAATTTTGGCTCACTGCAGCCACCGCCTCCAGGTTCAAGCGATTCTCATGCCTCAGCCTCTCATGTAGCTGGGAATACAGGTGCGTGCCACCAAGCCTGGCTCATGTTTTGTTTTTTTTTAGTAGAGATAGGGTTTCACCATGTTGGTCAGGCTGGTCTCAGACTCCTGGCCTAAAGTGATCTGCCTGCCTTGGCCTCCCAAAGTGCTGGGATTACAGGCATGAGCCACCCTGCTCGGCCAGCTACTTCTTATTCAAATGCACAGTTTGCATGTGGCTCACAGCCAGTGGTGACCGATCAACCAGTGAAAGGGGTGGGCCTGTGCTGGTACCCAGCAGGCTCTCATGCCCCTGCCCTCCCCCGCCAGCCTACTCCTCCCAGTCTGAACCCCACCCTGCCAGCCCTGGTTCTTGGTCTTGGGGCTTTCTTCATTGCCTCCTCCCTTCACTCCCTGGTTCTCAGGGAAGCAGAAAGTTTTCCTTGCTGGCCAGAGCCCAGCCGCCCAGCCCAGGATTGCATGAGCCCTCCTCGCTCATTCTGGCTTCTTACTCATTTGTGCATGGAAATGCCCTGCCAGACTCGGCTTGACCACACTGACCTGCTTTCCCAGTTACAAGCTTCCCTCTTTGGTTCTCTCATCTTTCTTCTGAAGCTGCAGCTTCTTTGAAAATCTCCCCAATCCTTCCAGAGCCCCTTTGCCTCACCATGCACCCACACGAGGACATAACAGAGCCAAAGGTCTGGCCGACACATCCCGACACACCCTCACTCTGACACACAGACACCAAGGCACATTCACAAATAAGCACAGGGAGATGTGTAGATAGGAAGCTCAAGAGCACAGGGCCTGGGTCTGATTCTTTCAGTATTATATCCCTGAAGCCTGTCACTCAGGAGATGCTCAATAAGTATTTGTTGAATGAAAGAATGGGGTAGATGCAGGGATGAGCCATGCAGACCTCCCTGCAAGAAAGGATGATTGCCTGGCGTGAGGTGTGGTGTGCTGACAGTTCTAGCTGTTGGCCCCTTCAGGGACTACAGGGCTGGGACTAGGGTGAGAAGTGTAGCACCTAGGGCACAGAATCTAAGGATGTGGGCCAGGCGCCGTGGCTCATGCCTATAATCCCAGCCCTTTGGGAGGCTGAGGTGGGTGGATCACTTGGGATCAGGAGTTTGAGACCAGCCTGGCCAACATGGTGAAACCCTGTCTCTACTAAAATTACAAAAAATTAGCTGGGCATGGTGGGGGGCGCCTGTAATCTCAGCTACTCGGGAGTCTGAAGCAGGAGAATCACTTGAGCCTGGAAAGTGAAGGTTGCAGCGAGCTGAGATCATGCCATTACACTCCAGCCTGGGTGACAAGAATGAAACTCCATCTCAAAAAAAAAAAAAAGAATCTAAGGATGTGCTCACCTGCAGGAGTGTGCAAGCACCTCCTTACATGCTACGCCCTGGCTGCCTCACTGGCCTTGACTCAGGTGGCTAAGCACAGTAGTGGCTCTAGCACCTGGCCATTACCAACTCAAGGTTCCTCTAATGGGCAGTCTTTGCTCAGGAGTTCCCCACTGGGCTGGTGGATAGGGGTCAGATCTGCTTCACGGTCTCATGGTCTCTGCCCAATCCTGCTCTTGCCTGCTTCCTTTCCTCGGACTCACTCCCCAGCAAACCTTTCCTCATCTCTGCAGGTTCTTCCCAGATAACCTGACCTGTGACATTTCATGGACAGGTACATCCAGATTACAAAGAACCACACACACACAGACACACACACCCCTGTGAGTGCCCGAGGGCAGGGTCTGAGCCGTACCTTTATGTAAAGCTCAGTCCTGAACATATATCAGATGCTCAAGAACTCACCAATGAGTGACTGAATGGGACAGAGATCCCCAAGATAACTGACCACCTGGTGGGAGGCCAGTGACTGGATATGCTGACCTTGCTAGATGTTTCCAAATTGGGGTTCCCAGGGCATCCTTGAAGGCAGTGACAGAGGTGATAGAGCTGTTTGCAAGATTTAAATAGTCTCGTGGGATGTGTGCTTTTAGCTGAGAAAAGGCCACTCAGGTAAACTAAGAGGTGAGATCTTGTGCTTTTTGTGGGAATTATGTCAGGATAGTGCACTACTATGGAGCTATCTTGGGATGAGCAAAAGTTCCATCTGGCACTGACATATTAAAATGTTTTTCACTGGGCATCATGGAGACAGTGGAGAGGAATGGGAAGGTCCCATTCCTTTCCCATGGGAAAGTCCCATGGCTTTGGACTCCCCTGCCAGGTGTCATTAGGCAAATCAGCCTACATCTCTGAGTCTCAGTTTCCCCATCCGTAAAGTGGGATCTAGGAGTGTCCTCTGATGGGGCTGTAAAGACAATAATCTAAAGAACCCAGTATAGTGCCTTGCCCTGAGTGATTGGCAGCTACTGTTATTATCAGTTAGCATCTTTAGTTTGCACATTAAGACATTTTGACCCATGGAGTATAAGTGCCTTCAGGCTAGCTTGGCAGGGATTAGCTGAACTACCCCGAATGGACCAGGTCCAGACAGACGCTGTTAATTTTGAGAATAAGAGAAGGCTCCAACTCTGAGGCCACAGCAGACGGGCATGAAGTTGACGAAGTTCCTCTAGATTAAGGGACAGGTTGGAAGAGTAGGATTTGCAGAGAATCCTCAAGTTCCCAGCTTGGTGGGTGGTGGCAGGGAGGTGGAAGGACTGTCTGCACTTGTGGAATTAGGGTTTGGTCCATGTCCCAGGGATGTTCATGTATATCAGCCTGAAAGGTCAATACATGCAAATGATCTGATACCAGGATCCACCAGGAAGATGCACAGACCAGCCTTTCTATGGGTGCCCAAGGGGCTTTTAAGAAAGAAGACTGGTGGCTCACGCCTGTAATCCCAGAACTTTGGGAGGCCGAGGCAAGTGAGTCACCTGAGGTCAGGAGTTCGAGGCCAGCCTAGCCAACATGGTGAAACCCCATCTATAGTAAAAATACAAAATTAGCTGGGCATGATGGTACATGCCTGTAATCCCAGCTACTTGGGAGGCTGAGGCGGGAGAATCGCTTGAACCTGGGAGGCGGAGGTTGCAGTGAGCCGACATCATGCCATTTCACTCCAGCCTGGGCTACAGGGCGAAACTCCATCTCAAAAAAAAAAAACAAGAAAAAAAAAAAAAAAGAAAAGAAAACTGTTCCCTACACCCCTATGAGTCAGGGAGCTGCATATGAAGACTTTACACAGGCCATCTGGTCTCCTGGGAAATATACAGGTATGTTTCCGGTACGAAGACAGAGAGAAAGTGTGCCAAAGTGTTAACCAATAATTTATTCACTTAGGGAGTGGAATAATGAGCATTTCAAATTTTCTGCTTTACATTTTTGTTTGTTTTGTCTTCTGCAAATTTGCTTCTATGGCTTGATCATGTAGGTTGAGAGAGGGTGGAGTGGGCCAAGTCAACAAAAATGAAGACAGATAAAGAAAAAAAAAGACTGGATTATCCTCTGAGCCCAGTTAACCTGGGGGATGAGGCTCTAGACTCTGCACTTTGGTATAATGAACAAGAATCCTCACTGCCAGCTTATGGTTTCTAGTAAACAAGGAAGAGTCACTGCAAGCCTCCTCTCCAGGTGGGGGCAGGGATGGCCCATGAAGCCTGAATGAAGATCTCCTATTCTTATTTATTTTCCTCTTCCCTTCTGTACAAGGAAGGGAATATGGAGGTGAGACTCCCATTTCCCGCCAGGACAGCTCTCAGTGGAGTTGGAGGCTCAGAGAGAGCCCATAGGATAGGTCTCTCCTGTCTTACCCCAGGCCCAGCTCCTCACTCTGGGGAGGAAGGGTTTGGACACAGGGCCTTCAGATCATATAGTAAAGTTTGTGTTTGGCACCCTCACCTCTCTTTCCTGAGCTCTCTTCCTACTTCCATGCAAACCTCCTTGTCCCCCATTTAATTTAATGTTAAATGGGGGACAAACCTGTCCCCTAGGAAGTTTAATGTTCCTCCTGGCCCCCAGCCTTACATATTCCCAACTTGTCTCTTTCTCATCTCCAACCTCTCTTCCCACTTTTACATTTCCCTCACTGCCCTGTTCTGCGCTCTCTGTCAAGCATGCTGGCCACTAATTCATACTACAGTGTAAAGGGCCACCACTCTATAGTAACATTCATAAACAAGATACTTAGACAAGCAGTTTTGGCAATGGAAGTCAGTTAGAGGCACTATGATATGGTTTGGCTCTGTGTCCCCACCCAAATCTCATCTCGAATTGTAATCCCCATAATCCGCATGTGTCAAGAGTGGGACCTGGTGGGAGGTGATTGGATCATGGAGGCAGTGTCCACCATGCTGTTTTTGTGATAGTGAGTGAGTTCCCACGAGATCTGATAGTTTTATGTGTTTGACAGTTCCTCCTACTCTCTCTCTCTCTCGGCTGCTACCATGTAAGATCGTGCCTGCTTCCCCTACTGCCGTGATTGTAGCTTCCTGAGACCTCCCCAGCCATGCAGAACTGTGAGTTAATTAAACCTCTTTTCTCTATAAATTACCCAATTTCAGGCAGTTCTTTATAGCGGTGTGAAAATGGACTAATACAAGCCAGAACACAGTGCTGGAATCAGAAGGTCTGTCTTGAGTCTTGCATTTGCCTCTAAATCATTGGTTGACCTTGAACAAGTCATACCACCTTTCTGGGCTTCAATTTCCTAACCAGTGGAAATATAGAAGTTGTTTTTAAATTTTTTTTAAAGATTTAAGAGATTCTGTCACAAGATTCTGTCCCCATTATCTCATCTGATTCTCACACGAATCCTGCGGTTACATGGGCAGGAACCCTATTATTCTATTTGTCTTTCAAAATTGGGCTCAGATAAGCCTCTCTCCTGTACACCATTTCTTGACCCTCCCCACAAGTTAATCATTCTATCCTGGGGGTGGCCTCTGAAGCTGGCAATAGCTCTTGTGGTTCTACTCAACCCCCTCAATTTGCATCCAGGGCTGTGACCCCTTATTGTCCATTCGGGTGTCCAGGGCCTGGCACAAATAGGGCCTCGATGGCCATTGTAGGAAATGTTGAAGGACACCAACTCATATTGATGGGGCAGACTGCCATCCAGATCCTGACCTCCACCGTGTTAGCCTGTCTTCCACCGTGTTAGCTAGCCCACCCTGCTGGCCTCGAAACTCAGTAGGTAGGTGTGTCTTGATCATGGTCTCTAATCATAGTATTGAGAAGGAAAGATCAAAGGGTGGAGCCCTGAGCACCCTCAGTAGAGGCTGTTGCCCTCAGGACATCACACAGATGGTTCAAACACAGAAGAACTTCCAAATTACCTGCTCTGCCTGGGGCTGAATGTCATCATCTTATAAGTGCCTGTCCCAGGGCTGGCACCCAGTGGATGCTTCTCTGATGCCAAATGCTAGTTCTCATCTCTATTCTTTCCCTACCAGGTGAATCAGGCAGAGGGGAGATCCTAAGTAGGTTTCTTTTTCTTTTTCTTTTTTCTTTTTTTTTTGACACAGAGTCTCAGTCTGTCACCCAGGCTAGAGTGCAGTGGTGCGATCTCAGCCTCGGCTTACTGCAGTCTTCACCTCCTGAGTTCAAGTGATTCTCCTGCCTCAGCCTCCTGAGTACCTGGGACTATAGGCACGTGCCACCATGTCTGACTACTTTTTGTACTTTTAGTGGAGGTGGTGTTTCACCATGTTGGTCAGGCTAGTCTCAAACTCCTGACCTCAAGTGATCCATCCACCTCGGCCTCCCAAAGTGTTGGGATTACAGGTGTGAGCCACCACACCCGACCTAAGTGGGTTTCAATATGCACTGTTTATGGCTAAGCAGAGGGTCCTGGCACCACCTATTTCCCCAGCACCTGTAGCATTTTGTAACTTATCCAGAGGGCTTGTTTCTCGTGCCCGAAGTTCAGGTGGCCTTCTCCTTGGGAGCACTTTCGAGGGTGGAGGGTGTGGCAGCAGCTGGGTCACTGGCAGTGCGGTGAGGGAAAACAAGGGTCTGGAGCTGGGCAGTTCCGACTCCACCACACGCTGGCTGTGCCAGCTGGGCAGGTCTCTGCCCCTTTCAGGCCCCAATGCCTTTCTCCTGAAAGATGGGGATAATAACAGTAGCTACCTCATTGGGTTCATAAGAGGACTAGGTGATAAAATGTTTGTGAAGTGCCAGGTAGAGTAACCTAGAATCATAATTTTTATGATTATCTCCAAACACCGTTGCCATCAGCAGTAGGAAACACTGCTGCCATTGGCAGTAGGAAAAACTGGGCAGGACCCCTCCTGAGCAGCCCATGCCAGGACCTCAGGCTACAGTGACCCCAGGAGTTGCCTTGGCAGGAGAAGGGTATCCAGGCAGCTGTGCTCTCACCACTGGCTGGGGCTGGAATGTTCCGAGTGCTTGCATAAGAACCAGGATGGGGATCCAGGTAGCTCAGTGTTTGCAAAGCATAGCTTTCCCTGGGCCACAGAAGCTACCAGCCCTCATGGTGATGAAATGTGCCCACTGTGGGTGGAGCAGGTCAGCCACTGCCATGGCTGCCTTGCCCGCCTCGCCCCACTGGAGTAGCACAGAACAGTATGTCTTGCTCTGGGTTTCAGCCTGGCCCAAAGCCCAGGGTCCAGGTACAAGGGTGGAGGGTCAGGCAGAGGGAGTGAGGCAGCAGACCCCGGCATGAGCATTCGCTCTGCTGCTGGCAAGCAGGGTGGCCTTGGCCGGTCCTTCCCCTCAAAAGAGCTTGTTTTCAAGTGATTTCTAAGCCCCCTTTAGCTTGGAGAAGTTTCGTCCTCTCACACTCCTAGGGAAAGGCAGCCAGGTCAGTGTCCCGTAGCATTTCATGGCCCCCAATCTCTGGTTCTGCCAAGAAAACTAAAAGTTTGGGTTCTGGTTTTCCTTCTTCCTTCCTTCATTCAGGTTTTCCTAAGGGCTGAGCACATTCTGTTGCAGGAAGCACCTGTTCTTGAGGCTTCAGGGTCCAAGTGAGAAGAAAAGACAAAAGACCCCACATACCCCAAGTCAGTCAGGTGACAGCAAGTACCCAGAAGGGCTGAGACAGAGGGTGTGAGGACAGCTCTGAGGAGGACATCAGGGGCTGCCAGAGAGCGGGGTGTGGCACGCAGGAGGGAAGAGAGGGCGTTCCAGGTGGGAGCCTGCAAGAGCCCAAACCGGATGTGGTTGAGTCAGGAAGGGCAGGAGTCAGAGGCTTGGACAGCAAATCACTGGCCCTGAGATCACCCCAGGCTTTCACCACTGTGCATTGGCCCCTGCATGGATCTAGGGCCAGCCCTGCTGCAGGGGCTCCCTGGGGACTGGGCGTCCCCTGGCCCAGACCCACCCCATTGCCTCTGTCCGTACAGGAGCTGCCTGTGACCAGCTGAGAGCAGCAACCTCTGGGGACAAGGCTATGTGGCTGCCAAGGCTGTGGCAGTAGCTGACTCTCACTCATCACTCTCCCTTTCAGTTTTCTTTCCGGGTTCACTTCAGGAGCTGTGATTTTCCTACGGCTGAGTCACCCAGGGAAGGGCAATAATAAAGGGTGATTAACAGTGTTTCAGTTCCTAGGATTTCCCATCTCAGTTTATATGAATTTGGAGCAAAGCCACAGAAGTACAGGTGGTGAGGGAGGCAAGGGCCTTTGCAGGGACCTAAGGAGACCACTCCCCTCAGACTAGGGTTCCCTGAGGAGAGGGCTGCGTCTCCCCTCAGACTGGGGCTCCCTGAGGACGGGGCTGCGTCTCCCCTCAGACTAGGGTTCCCTGAGGAGAGGGCTGCGTCTCCCCTCAGACTGGGGCTCCCTGAGGACGGGGCTGCGTCTCCCCTCAGACTAGGGTTCCCTGAGGAGAGGGCTGCGTCTCCCCTCAGACTAGGGTTCCCTGAGGAGAGGGCTGCGTCTCCCCTCAGACTGGGGCTCCCTGAGGACGGGGCTGCGTCTCCCCTCAGACTAGGGCCCTGAGGACGGGGCTGTATCTTCGTTCTATCCCTTCTACTGGGGCTTCCTGAGGAGTGGGTACAGCTCTCTTTCTTCTGTACCAGGTCCACTGTAGCCATGGGCCATTGGGTACCTCTGCAGAGGTCCTATTGGGCCCACGGACTAGAGCAGAGCAGATGGCCTGGGTCCGCCTGGTAGGGTCTCTCCTCACACCAGGAAAAGATGACGACACAGAAAGTCCCTCATTTCTCCCCCGTGCTTGTGCTTGCTCTTCGTTCCTTTCTCCTTCTCTCAGTCAGACCACAAAGGGCTACAGCCCTTTCCTGCATCTCTCACTGCCCCTCCCACTACCTGTCCACTCCCACCCAGCCCTTTGGTCACTGTTCTGACCCAGAGCCACCCTGGTACTCATTGACCAGGGGGCAAAGGTGCCAGAACTGGGCACTGCCAGCAAAACCAGAGCCCAAGTCAACTGTGCAAGGAGGGGCTTCTCTCCTGTCTCCTCTCCACTGCTGGCTGACTAAAGTCCACCTGGACTCTCCTTGGCTGCAATCCCCAATGGGAGCTGCCGGCTAGAGAGAACTGACTTGCGCTGCCATGGCAGGATAGGTGACAGGAACGACCTGCTGGGAGCCTAGACCAGCTCCAGGAGAGGTCACCTTCCACCAGTGAAAGACACTACCAACACTTCCACCACCTCTCAGTGCTGTGGGTGACCGGGAGCTGCTCCTTGAGGTGACACCTGTGTGGCCTGGGGGCCCCTTCCACACACTGCTGTTCGTTCCCAGCAGCAGATCCTGTTGCAGAGCCATCCTCGGGACTGCGGGTGTTAACGAAGCCTGTGATCTTCCTCAGACTTTTCCACCAGAGAGGCACCTGAAGGAGCCACACCACATTCCCCTGAAGGCTTGTGTGTGGGCGTGGGCTTGGCTCAAAACAGCCAACCCAGAGCACCAGTGGGATCGCAAGTCTTCCGTTTATTGAATATCCACACAGGCATCTTACATTCTACTTCATCATACTGTTTAATGTGAAAATAATATTTTCCTCACATTCTTTGAGCCAAATTGCTGCTCTAGGAAGGTGGGGCACATTCATCCTGTGGCTTTCCTGCCCTGGGCACAATGGTGCTAGTGCTGGGTGCCCAGAGCAGGTGGCCCAGGGGCCCAGGTAACTTCAGATTTGGTCCCAATGCAGACGCATCTCCCCACTCAGGTGTGCAAGAAGCGTCTCTATCCTTCCTGGCCTCACCTTTCCTGGTGATTCCTGTGGAAGGCAGATTGGGTCACCTGTTCACCCAGGGGGTGCTCTCTGGCTGCAGGATGCCCTGCAGCTCCTCCTCCCCACTGCCCTCCAGCCTGCTAGGCCTCTACTCCCGCATCATTGGCTGAGAAGTCCCTTTGTCAGAGGCTACTGAGCTCTGCTCCTGGGGAGAGAACAGACGGGAATCCTGCTCACGGATGAAGGCCCTAGTGAAGCTGTGGACAGTTGGGAGTGCATGTCTCATCCCATTCCAGGAGGTCTTGTCCTGCCATGGCCCGCCTTTGCAGGCATGCAGTGGGCTGTGCTGGCTCCTGGCAGTGGCTGTGGCCTCCTGGCCAGAATCTGGGCAAACCCTGAGAAGGAGGTGCTGTGAGCACCTGGGGGAAGCTTCCCTTTCCCTCCTCCATACCCAATACATCAACAAGACCCAATATTTCTGCTTCTCAAATGCTTCTTGAATCCATTTCACTTTATTCAAGGTAGGCTTTATACAAATCTTATCACATTATTTTGCTTAAAACCCTTCCTTCCATGACTTCACACCAGACTCCTCATATAAAGTTTAACTGGTTTGCCAATCTCACCCTCCTCGTCTCTCAGCTCTGTCTCAATGCTGACTTCTTCTTTTTTTCCTTTAGCAGCTTTGCACATGCTGTTCCCTCCCTGCATGGAGCACTAAGCATCTACCCTGACGTCCCTCTGTCCCTCATTGCCCTACCTGTCTCTTCCACATCTGGCCACTTTCTCCTTCCTCCTCCCTTCCCAGCTTCCCAATTCCTCAGGCCAGGGTGGCTCTCAGAGCACTTTTCCACCTGGTTGGTGTTACTTGCTAGATGTTAACTGAGGTCCTTATTTCCTCAGGAGGACCATGACAAAGCAGAAAGCAGAAAAGTCACTGGACTTTGTGTCCTGAATCCTAAGCCCTTAGGGGAACTGAAAGGTTTAAGTCATTAAAAAAAAAAAGGGGAGACATTAGAAAAAAAAAAAGTAAACTGGACCATTCCCCACTCTTGTGGTAGCTTGTATTTTTCAAACGTGGCCATGGCCATAGTTTCTTTTCCACATGCTCTTCCAGAACCTTTCCAATCAAGAGTTGGATATTTCCTCATCCCATTGAAACTGAGTGGGATCTTGAGACGACTAGGTGGACAGAATGTGGCGCAAGCCTAATCTTCCCAGGGTAGGTCATTGCAGCAGTTCAGCTTCTCTCTCTCTTTCTGTCCATACTCACCCTTGAAAACCAGCCGCCGTGTTGTCAGGAAGCCAAGGCCACATGGGGAGGCCACCTGTACATATTCTAAGTTTTCAGCCAACAGCCAGGCATGTGAGTGAATCTTCAGATGATCTTGCTGCAGCCTTCCAGCTTCCCCAGCGGATGCCCAGCAGAACAGAAGTGTCCCCGCTGAGCCCTGCCTGAATTGTGAATTTTTTTGTTACATATCCACAGTAACTGAATCCCACCCTGCTCCCCATCCCTTCCTTGACTTGATAAATACTTTTCCTGGACTAGAAGAAAGGAGGTGATGGCAGAAAAGGAGTAGGCAGCATTGACAACAGATATATTCTCCTTCTACCTCATTTGAGGCAGCACTTGAAATAAAGATGGCATTATTAGAAAATAAAGAACATTATATTATGGCCAGGTGCAGTGGCTCATGCCTACAATCCCAGCACTTTGGGAGGCCGAGGTGGGCAGATCACCTGAGGACTGGAATTCAAGACCAGCCTGGCCAATATGGCGAAATCCTGTCTTTACTGAAAATACAAAAATTAGCTGGGTGTGGTGACCAGCACCTGTAATCCCAGCTACTCAGGTGGCTAAGGCAGGAGAATCACTTAAATCCGGGAGGCGGAGGGTGCAGTGAGCAGAGATCGCGCCATTGCCCTCCAGCCTGGGCGACAGAGTGAGACTCTGTCTCAAAAAAAAAAAAAAAAAAGAATAAAGAACATTATATTTTTCCTTTCACACACAGAACTGGGATTGCCTGTTGATGTGTTTGTGTCCGTGGCCCCATATCTGTATCCTCAATAGGCCCTGCCTGTCATTGTCTTGGTCCCTGTGACAACTCAGCTTAGAATAAGGCCTGTTATAGAGGAGATGCTTGATAAATATATGGCGATTAATGAATGAATCAATGATCAACGATTGAAGAGTGAATGAGTGAAACCCGAAGCCCTGTCATCATGAACTTTTTATAAAGATCTTGGTCATTGATTCAAAGAATACTCTCCTAAGTCAGACCGAGAGACTCTTTTTATAAATAAGGACACTGAAGTCCAGGGAGGGCAGGGATTGGCCCAAGGCCTCATGTCCAGCCAGTGGCAGAGCTGATCTAGAACTTGTCCAGGTGCCCAGCTCATGCTCTGCCCATCCATTCCTCACTGGCCCTGACTGCTGGGCCAGTCGGGCCCTGGAAAGGCTGGACTGGGTGGCAGTTGTTATCGCGTCTTTTTGTTGTTTTTGTTTTTGTTTTTGAGAGAGTCTTGCTCTGTCGCCCAGGCTGGAGTGCAATGGTGCGATCTCAGCTCACTGCAACCTCCATCTCCTGGGTTCAAGTGATTCTCCTGCCTCAGTCTTCCAAGTAGCTAGGATTACAGGTGCCTGCCACCATGCCTGGCTAAGTTTTGTATTTTTAGAAGAAATGGGGTTTTGCCATACTGGCCAGGTTGGTCTTGAACTCCTGGCCTCAAGTGATCCACCCACCTTGGCCCCCACAAAGTGCTGGGATTACATGTGTGAGCCACTGTGCATGGCCAGTTGTTGTGTCTTTGCTGTCATTATCTGCCCAGGAGTCTACTGGCTGGGCTGGTCCTGGCCTCTCAGGGGCAAAGGGACAGAGGCAGACAGGGAGCCCTTGTAGGTTGGGGATGGGACCAGGAGGAGGTGTTGTGAAAGAGGACCTGGCATGCAGGTCATCCATAAATATTGGTTGAGTTGAATTGAAATAAACACCCAAATAGATATATAATGACAAGCTTGCATGGTAAGTGCCATGAGATTTCAGGGAGATGTGAGGACCTACGAAGCGGGTTATGGCCTCTTTCTGGGAAGCCCTGTAAGGAGATGGCCTGGAGCTGAGCTCTACTGGAGAGGAGAGTGGGTGTGTGGGATGGGGTGAGTGGAGGCTCTGCCCATGTTCTAGGCAGTGTCTGAGGAACCAGGAGAGCTGATACCTACTGCAGAGAGGGGAGAGCAGAGTATGGTGGTGACAGAGAAGCCAAGGCAGGCAAGGTAGGTGGAGAAGCCAAGGCAGGCAAGGTGGCCTGGAGGCCATGTTTGGGGTTTTGCACATTGTCCTGGGAGCAATGGGAAATTATTGAGGCATTTTTGGCAGAGGCAGGACAGATCAGTTCTGTCTTTTTAGAAGGCTTCTGTGACAGCTGCGTGGAGAATGGATGGGAGGGGGCTCTTGTGAGATGGAGAAAATGGTAGTGTGAAACTGCGTGGTGGCAGTGAAGCTGGGGAGAAGCGGCCAGAACTTAGAGGTCAAACAATAGGATTTTGCACTGAATTGGCAGTGAGGGGTTGGGAGAAAGAGGTCAAGCATTCATTCATTTACCAGTCACAAAACAGCTCCTGGGTGCCCACCACACGCCAGAGACAGTCAGGAGCTAGCAAAGTCCCATCCTCCTGAAGTTTATCTTCTAGTGGGTTTTGTTTTTTTAAAAATGGGCTTATTGAGATATAATATACATACCACACAGTTTACCCATTTAAATTGTACAAGTCAATGGTTCTTAGTATAATTCATAGATATGCGCCAACTTCAACACAGTCTATTTTAGAACACTTTCTTTTTTCTTGAGACAGGTTCTCCCTCTGTTTCCCAGGCCAGAGGGTAGTGGTAAGATCACGGCTCACTGCAGCCTCAACCTCCTGGGCTCAAGAGATCCTCCTGCCTTAGCCTTCTGAGTACCTAGAAACACAGGTGTGTGCCACCATGCTCCATTAATATTTTTCTATTTTTGTAGAGATGGGGCCTCAACATGTTGCCCATGCTGGTCTTGAAATCCTGGACTCAAGCTCTACTCCTCCATCAGCCTCCCAAAGTGCTGGGATTACAGGCATGAGCAACTACTCCTGGCCACTTTCTTCACCTCAAGAAGAAACCCTGGACCAGGCGTGGTGGCTCACGCCTGTAATCCCAGCACTTTGGGAGGCTGAGGCGGGCGGATCACCTGAGGTCAGGAGTTTGAGACCAGCCTGACCAACATAGAGAAACCCCGTCTCTACTAAAAATACAAAAATACCAGGTGTGGTGGCGCATGCCTGTAATCCCAGCTACTCGGGAGGCTAAGGCAGGAGAATTGCTTGAACCCGGGAGGCGGAGGTTGCGGTGAGTTGAGATCATGCCATTGCACTACAGCCTGAGCTCGAAACTCCATCTCAAAAAAAAAAAAAAAAAAAAAAGAAGAAGAAGAAACCCTGTATCCTTTAGTTATCACTTCCTTTTTTTTTTTTTTTTTTTTAAGACAGGGTCTCACTCTGTCACCCAGGCTGGAGTGCAATGGTGCAATCTCAGCTCACTGCAACCTCTGCCTCCAGATTTCAAGGGTTCAAGCGATTCTCGTGCCTCAGCCTCCCTAGTAGTTGGGATTACAGGCAGGTGCCCGCCACTACACCCGGCTAATTTTTGTAGTTTTAGTAGAAATGGGGTTTCACCATGTTGGCCAGGCTGGTCTTGAACTCCTGACCTTAGGTGATCCACCCACCTTGGCCTCCCAAAGTCCTGGGATTACAGGCATGAGCCACCGTGCCCGGCCTTGTTATCACTTCCTATTCCACCCCTCTTTCCCCACCGCCAGCCCTAAGCAACTACTAATCTACTTTTACCCTCTATAGATTTCCCTGTCTGGGCCTGTTTTGGAGGTAAGATCATGTTTATGACCTGGGGCATTGTGGTAGAAACTCCTGATTTCTCCCACTATTCAATCTTTTACCTTTTCATAACATAATCTCACTATTTAGATGGGCACTTTGTCACCTGCTAAGAGATTACATTTCCCAGTTTCCATTGAAGGGAGATGTGACTGTGCTACCAAGTTCTAACCAATGAAATGTAAGAAACTGTTCCACTGGCTGTTTAATAAAGAAATCTCCTTAAAATGGTGTGGAGTGTGGCGTGTGTTCTTCTCCCCTTTTTCCTTCTTCCTTTCTGACTGAATGCAGACCAGATGGCTGGAGCTCAAGCAGCCATCTTGAACCACGAGATGATGCAGAAGGGGATGATGCTGACTGCTTAGCTCTAGGAACTCAAAGGAGAAATCTGATTCAGAGATAACAATTTGAGAGACACCGAACTGTAGTTAGTCGTTGAAATCTTGGCAGGGTACTTCATGACTTAGGGAGCAAACAGAGAATGAGAAAAGAAGATGGCCTAAGGCTGAGCCTTGAGGAAAATCAAGGTTTACAGAAGAGATGAGCTGGCAATGGAAATTCCAGTTAAGGGCTCCAGCCTCCACCGGCCATATTATAGGGTCTTTAGTGTCTTCCTCTGCAACTCCCTTATCTGTAACTATCAAGATTCTTAGAGATTTACTCAGCCCTGAAGGGCTAAGTCCTGAGTTTCAGCACCAGGGAGAACTAGAGCTATATAACCCAAATATGTCCACAAATCTCAAGGCCACAGGTCACTATTATAAATTGGTACTGCACGTTCCTCTCCCTGAATATCTCAAAGGATTTATGCAAATTGATCCGCCTCTTCCCCTAAGCGCTGAACAATGGATGCTTCGTTGCCCAACATTTGAGTATCTAAATGCTCTCCAGAAGTGACTCTTTGCCGGACAAAGAGGGACAGTTGTCCTCCATTTCAGGAAGGAAGGAAAAAACCAAGACGGGAAAGAAGGAGACAGAAAGGAAGACAGCAAAGAAAAAACGAAATAAGGAAAGAGGGAAAAAATACAGACAGATTATCGTGCTATACCTGAAAAGGTGTGGCCAGGTAGGCAGGAGGAAACCCAGGAGACCCGCAGCCACACAGATGCCAAGCTGCTGAGAGGGGCAAGTAAGGTGAGGTTGGAAAGTGTCTCCCGGACTTTGTAACATGGAGGTCTGCCCTCGCAGAGATGTTTTGGGGTCAGACTCGGCGCTGGAGTGGGTGAGGAGTGTGGCCAGACGAGGAAGCAGGGTTAAAGGCTGTCTTTGGAGGCACTGCCAGGTGGTGTGAACACCCAGAGCTTCCAAGTCAGGCTGGAGGCTGGCTTGAATGCTGGCCCCAACATCACCATCTCACTGAAATGAGTTAACATTTCCGGGCACACGGTAGGTGTTGAGAAAGCAGTAGTTTCATTTTTATCCCTGTTTCCCACTAAGGGTACCCATGGGCAGTTCCATTCTGTGGGTGTTGGTTACTGTAGGCCAAAATGAAATGTCCAGTGGCACTATGTCTTTCTATCTTCCTCTAGCAGGTCAGTCCAGAAATGTCCTTGTGGCTATGGGAGAGAGGGAAAAAGAGAGAGAGAGAGATTGAGAATAAACAAGTCAATTTCACAAATACTTTCAAGCCCAATTGGCTAAAGCAAATCCCATGGCCAAGCCCATACAGCCTGAGTGAGAAGTCACATGACAAAGGGCAGGGATCCTGGGAGGGATGAAGAACTGGGGCTTTCTTTAGTCTACCATGGCAAACTACTGTAGGGGCTAAGGGAAAGTTCCCCTTGGCCTGCTGAAGGTTTGCTGAAAAATCAACTCATAAAAGGGGGATTAATTGGAGAAAAGGCATACAAATTTACTTACCATATATACCCAGGAGCCTTCAGAATGAAGACCCAGTCTCCCAATGGGGTACAGAAGCTTGTGTACCATCTTGAGTTTACAGAGAGAATGGAGGCTTGGATCCTGGCAAAACATGTTTATGGTAGTGGGGAGAAGAGGAATTCTGGTAAGGGGGAATAAGTGGTTGCTAGGGAGAGTTCAATGGTCTTGAAGAACATACAAGGGTCTAGGACAAGGGCCCGAAGAGCAGACAAGGGCTTCTGACAAAAGCCTATCCAGATTTGTTGACAGACTTTGGTCTTCCTTCTTGAGAAATGGGTTCAGTTAATGAAAACTCAGGAAGGGACTGGAGGTAATTGTTTCCTTCTTTGGGAGGTCCAGACTTTAGGCAGACAAAGAACTTCAGAGAATCACATTTACATTCCAACAACAGGAAGAAAGAAGGGCTGAAATGGGATGGATGCCCCTCCCTTTAAGGACAATCCCCAGTGGTTGTACACACAACTGCTGACTACATCCTGTGGTAAATGCTGTGCCCATTCTCACTTCCTTACATAGTCATAGCATTTGATAATAGCATTAACTGGTCATAGAGCGGCTCAACTGATGACTGCATTTTACAGCCTCCTGTACAGCTAGATGTGGTCATGTGACTAAGTTCTAGCCGGTAGAGTGTGAATAGATATGATATTTACAGCTACTACTTGTGACCTAAGAGGGAAGAAGTATGATCTTCCTTTCCACTTCCCCCTGTCTGGGATGTGGGTATGATGGCAGGAGTGGCAGCAGCCATCCTACATGAGATGAAGGTCTTATATTGAGAATGAGAGACCAACAAGATACAAGGGCCATACGCTCTTATGCTACATTAGAAACAAATACATTTCTCCTTTACTTAGGCTGCTACTATTTTGGGTGTCTCTGGTTTTAGTAGCCAAACCAATATCCCGTCTAATACACAACCCATCAGTCTGTACTTATCATAAGGCGACACTGCCTCAAGGGTGCCTGGGAAATGTGATCTTTATTCTGGGAAGCCATGTGCCTGGCTGATGACTGGGGGGAACATCATTAATTAGGAAGAGCACATACCTGAGCAAAACCCCAGTCCCAGCCACTGAAGGAATAATAGCAATAGTCACTGTGGGTACTTATGGGGAGCTGGGCACTGTGCTGGCCACTTCACCTCCATGTCCTCATTGAATCTGCACAGCTACTCTGAGGACAAGTATTAGAATGTCAATTTTAAAATTTTAAATTTTTAAAAGACTGGCCAGGTGTGGTGGCTCACGCTGTAATCCCAGCACTCTGGGAGGCCGAGGCGGGCAGATCACCTGAGGTTGGGAGTTCAAGACCAGCCTGGCCAACATGGAGAAACCCCGTCTCTACTAAAAATCAAAAATTAGCCAGACGTGGTGGTACATGTCTGCAATCCCAGCTACTTGGGAGGCTGAGGCAGGAGAATCACTTGAACCCAGGAGGTGGAGGTTGCAGTGAGCCGAGATCACGCCATTGCACTCTAGCCTGGGCAACAGAGAGAAACTCTGTCTCAAAAAAAAAAAAAAAAAAAAAAAAAAAAGGAGGGAGACTGAGGCCCAAGAGTTTAAGAGACTGACCAAGGTCACACAGCTCCTAGGAGTGGAACTGGGATTCAGACAAAGTCTCTCTAGGTCTGTTCATCTCCTAAACCAGTGGTTCTCCAAGCATGCTTCCTGGGCCAGCAGGATCAGCATGAAAACTTGTTAGAAAAGCAAATTATCTTAGAAATCAGATGCTTGGGGTGGGGCCAGCGATGTGCAGTTGAATAAGCCCTCCAGGTCATACAGGTGCACACTCAGTTTGAGAGCCACTGCTCCAAGCCAAACCTAAAAATGGTGCACACTTCACCTCCTCTCTCCCCAGACAAACCCAACAAAGAATAATAATCTAACCATGACCAGATCTAGACCTCAGTTCACCTGCCGGCTCTGCCTTGGAACTTAGCTTAACTTAAACAAGCAGGGTCTCCTCTGGATTGGATGAGACCTCCCTCCTCCCTACTAGGGGTAGGCAGAGAGATCATGGCCCCAGGCCCCAGATGGAGTTCTGGGGTGAAAACAGGAGGTTCACACAGTCTTGGAATCAAGCCCTTTGAGCATCTGATATTTCCGTTGGATGCATGAATTTTGGGTGTCACTCATATTCTCTCTCTCTCTCCTTCTCCCTCCCTCCATTCTCCCAGTCTCAGGACACTACTGCCCAAGGCATAGTTGGTTTCAAGGTAGTGGGAGTTTGTGACATAGGCTTGGGTGGGATGGGGGTCATTTCTTCTTCCTTCCATGGGCAGGAGGTGATGAGATGATGACTCATGTTTATTGATGTCTGAGGCAGACCATTTTCTGAACTCTTTCCATGCATTAACCCCCTTATCCTAGCAACCATGTGTGGGAGGTACTATTACTATTCCCATGTTAGAGGTGGAGAAACCGAGGCACCGACAGGTTAAGCACCTTTCCACAGTCTGTCACACAGCAGTGAGCGGAGCAGCTGAGCGCCGAACATAATGTGGCTCCATTGTCTGTGCTCTTAGCCGCTGAGCTTTTCAGCCTCTAAATAATAGCTAATGAATTCATGGGTTTTTTTTGTTTTCTTTGTTTTTTTTTTGTTTTTGGCCTTTTTTTTACATTCCAGGTACTGTTGTCATTGCTTTACATATTTAAAAAAGTCGGGGAGTGGTATTCTTACCATCACAAGAAGTTAGGAATTTCCAGCAGAGCCTTGGCATTGGTGGATTGAACATTTGTGGTTTGGGTTACTTTTTAGTGGATCGTGTGTGTGTGTGTGTGTGTGTGTGTGTGTGTGTGCGCGTGCCTGCAAGCATCTATCTCACCAGGAGAAGTGGGGAAGGAGAGGCCAGAGGTTGTTGCTCTCCCTGTGGTGTCATGTTCTAAAATGAGCCCGCACATCACACTTGTGGTTCCTGGGGAAAAAAATAAAACAATCTCCACTACCAGTCAAAACAACAATATTTGTACAGCTCCGGTAATAACCTCTGGAACCCTCCTCCCTTCTGGCTTGCAGACAGTGCCTTGCCCTCAGCTCACTCTTACTCCCAGGGTCCCTGCAGCCTTCTTCCCACGAAGCTCATGTTCTTGGGCTCACAGTAGTCTCCTGGTGGTTCAGGGCTCACCTGTCCTGGAAAGTGTTCCAGATGGCTTTGGCCTCCACTTTGGGTAGGACTCAGGACTTGAGAACGCAATGCCACCATGTCATTGCTCTCTCTTCCTTTGACCTGTGTGATGCCAGACTCCATGGTTCTCCTTCTACCCCTGTGATATAGAGTCCTGTGTCTCTTCTTCTTCCTCAAGTTCAGTTGTTTCCTTCTCTTTCTTCCTTTCTTTTCCATTTACCTTTCCCTTTCCTTCCCTTCTCTTCCCTGTCTTAGCACTCCTTCTGTCCCGCCTCATTCCAACTCCTCTGCCTAGCTCTTGAGGTTCTTCTACCTGGCCTACTCTCCCTCCTCCCTACCTGCTGATCAGGGACCAGTTCAGGTCCTCATACCTTGATCCAGAATTTCCTGATGCCTCCAGGCTGACTGTATCACCTCTCCTTCTGACCACCTATGGCTCTCCAGCACTGAGTCAGCCCCACTAGCTCAAGCATTTGAATCACTCTCAACTTACTAGGCATTCATTTAAACATTTATTCTGCACCCACCATTACAAGGCCTGCCTTCTCCTCTGCATGAAAAACTCCTACACATCCTTCAAAGCTCACCCAGATGTATTCCCGTCCTGCCTTGGCTCCCCTCTCCCATAGCCAAGTGGGTGTTCCTGTCTGCCCTCATGCCTCTTGTACGTTACAGGAATGGTTGACATATACGCAGCAGACGCTGACAGTGCCCTGCCTGCTCTGCACCCACCATGCTCATGTACGCTGCAGGTTTCCAATCCGCAAATGCTGGGGAGTTAACACCATCCTACTCCAAGTGATGAGGAATGGGATTTGGGGAATATATGCCCCCGGCTCTCTACCCCTTAGAGGGGACAACTGTAAGCCATGCTCTATGCAGGCTTGCAGAGGTCTCCAGCGGGAAGGAGCGCAACTGCCCACAGTGGTCACCTGCTCATTAATGCTGTCTGCATTGTTTCCCTTTTCTTCTCTTGTTTTAATTCCATGCTTCTTGGAATCATTTCCCAAATAAACTATTTGCAGCCAGATCCTGTCCCAGGATCCACTTGTGGGGAATTCAAATGGAGAAGACAAATCGTATAGAACTTGCACTGCGCCAGACACTAGGTTCTCGATTTACATTAACACATTTAATCCACACAACAGCTTTCCATATAAGGCAGATACCGCTATTAGCATTTCTACTTCATATTTGAGGAAATTGAGGCATAGGGAGGCTAAGTAGGAGGCACAAGTGTCCCGCTTTTCCTGGAAATAAGGGGGTTCCTTGGAGATGGTACTTTCTCAGGACAGTGTGAGGATGAGAGGAAAGATGAAATGAGTTGGTCACCCAAGGTGAAGTGATTTGCCAAAGTCACACAGGAGTGAGTGGCGGGCCTGGGACTGAACCCGGGCCCACCAGCACAACATGGACTGCACTGCTTGGTGGGGCCTTTTACATGAATCTGCTTCCCTACTAGATGGCAGGGATCACATTTTATCCACTTCTGTGTCTCTAAGTTTTGCACTGAGGAATTAGACATTGGGGGTACAGGGAAAAGATGAGTTAAACACAGCCCCTGCACCTAGGGAGCACCTAGTCACATGGGGGAGGCATTGTTTCTGATGCCGTGAAGCCCCCAGTCTGATGGAGGAGTTCCTTGTGGGGAACATGATCTGTCCCTTCCTGCCTGACTTCTCTGCAGGGCTGACAACACAGCTTGGGGGAGCTTCTGTTCCTTCCCTTCTGCCACTGTCCCCACAGGCAAGGGCGACGGGGTCTTCCTGGCCTCCTGCCTGGGTCTCTACCCTCTTGCCATCACTCAGAGCAAGTCACTCCCTAGTCAGGGTGGCTGAATTGATTCTTCCATGACTTTAATTCAGTACTTTGAGCCCCACTCCCCCAGCAGGCTGCAGGGAAACAGTAAAAGATTGATGAACTGGGTGTTGGGATCAGTCCTGTCCTTGCTGGGCACAGATGGCACTTTCCAAGGGCCCGTTGAAGAGCATGTAATGAAGAAACTATGTGTAGAGTGTGGGCAGGTCCACGTGCATGACACGGTATGACTCCCAGGGATCAGCAACAGTGGGGAGTCATTACTACTCTGGGGCTGAAGGGCAAGGGTGATGCTATTACATCACCCAGCTGATGCCACGACCCTGGGAGTGCAGCCACTCCCAAAGCCAGGGCCTGCAGAGAGAGGGCTGATACAACCCTAACTTCTCTCTCCTCCTACCTTCCATCATGGCCCCTCTCAGGCCTGATCAAACTGGAAGTCAAAGACGGAAGGAGCCTGGTGACACAGCGCATGGAGTTCAGGGGTTCAGAGAAAGTCAGAGAGTGGATGGAGAGAGGGAGCCAAGACAGAGTAACAACTAGAGAGTGGTGCTGAGGACTCACGCCCACCCCTCTGCTCTGGCCCCGAGCCCCCAAGCCAAGAGCCTGACCCTTAGAGGCCTCAGCCAGTGGGCTGGTTGGGAGCTGCCCTCTCCAAAACAGAGCTTTGAAAAATATATTCCTTCCATCCCCACATCATTTTCTGCCCCTCCCAAGCCCATTGGAGGCTAAAAGACAGGCAAGTCCAGGGGGACTTCTTGGAGGAAAAGGTACAGTTGGGCTTCATGAGCTTCCTGATGAAAGAGGGTGGAGAAGGAGAAGGTTGAGACCAAGAGGAAGAAAAAAAGGAGGGGCACAAGTATTTTTGAGCCCTATTAAGTATAAGGTAGGACATGGATGCTTTCTCATCTGTTACCAACTCCCCCACCTCCCTTCCTCCACACTTATCAAAACAATCCCGAGGTTGTTCTCAGGATTTTCATTTTATGGATGGAGAGACTGAGGCTCAGAGAGGTTATGTGACTTCTCAGATGTCACACAGCAAGGGATAGAGTCAGAATATAGACATACAACTGCCTGAGTCCAGGAAATAATACATGAGGGCCTATAAAGTTGTGGAAAGGTTGGAGTGTGAGCAAAAGCTGAACAGGGTCCCAAACCCATGGGGAAGCAGGGGGCAGAGGGTTTTGTCTGTGGCTCTTGGGAGGGGTCTGGATGGTTTTGCATTCATGCTTCTGGACGATGTGCTGGTGGGGTGTGGGGAGCAGGTCACAGGGTGGGAAGTACCCAACCCTGGTTGCTTTTCCTACCGCCAGGCTATGAGCTGATATGGGTCCCCAGACAGGTTGAGAGAGGTTTTGTGATTGGAGTGGGGCAGGGACTGAAAATCTTGGGGAAAGTCCCTAGGGATGGGATGAGAAGGCCTTGGGGGAAGGGTGGGACTGTCTCCTTGGCCCCAAGGGATGATTTTAGCTGGGGATGAGTTTTGGCTGGCAAGGGGCAAAGGAGGGTCGGGAGATGCAGGATCCAGCCCTGTCTCCTGGGGAGTGGGAGAGAGCATCAGTGAGGCTGGAGGCTGGGACCAGCACTGTGTGTGGGTGGTTGGGGGACAGACAGTGGAATGGGAGGCCTGGGGATGGCAGTGTGGGTGGAGACCAGCACTGTGTGTGGTTTAGGGAGGGTGGAGGAAGGGGGGTCAGTGGGGCCTACTTCAGGGCAGCACACTCCAGGCCTGGAGCCCAGGGGCGTGGCTGGGTGAGGTAAGGGCCGATGGAACTGGAGATGGGAGTCTTCAGCATAGCTGTCGTCCCTGATGTGAAGGTCCTCTGGCTTCCAAGGAGTCAAGTCCTTCTTTGTCTGGTCTGGCTCCTCAAGTGAATGGATACCATTCCTCCAGCCAGGGCTTCAGCATCGGCGAGGCCATGAGGGAGGGGCTCAGGGCCTGGGGAATTTTGTGCAGATTTTCTCTTCTCTGCCTCCACATCCTGTGAGTGTGTGTGTGTATGTAACTGAGAGGGAGAGAGACAGATACAGAGACAAGAGAAAGAGAGACTTCCTTCCTTGGATCCAAATGCTTAACATGGGCCCAGGAGGATTGACATGGGTGGGGTTGGAAACTGCCCTTCTGAAACATGTTTATTAGAACAATCCAGTCCAAGGCGGAGGGAGTAGAAGTAGTAAGATACAGACTCCCTGATGCCAGCCCCCTTTTACAGGTGAGGAAACTGAGGCACAGAAAGGGGAGTGGCTGGTTGAGATCACACAGGGCTTAAAGGAAGAGTGTCCCTGCCTCTCAGGCCAGGGGAATTTATCCCTTGCAGAGGGCCAGCGGCAACTCCTGTGACCACCCACAGGAACAGGTGGCTACCTTTGGCCTTAACATCCACTGAGGACCTTGTTTCCCCGAGATAAAACAGCATTACAAATAATAGTTCTTTTCTTATGGAGTCGATGGGAGGAGTAAATAACTTACTACAAGTAAAGAGCTTAGAACAGTGCCTAGCACATAATAAGCATTTAATAAATGCTAACAATAAATAATAATAACAATAATAAATAATGATGATAAGGATAAAATATGCTGCTGTTTTAAAGGGGATAACCCAGCGATGTTGAGTCTGATCTTGCCTCACCGGTCAGAGAGGGTGGGGAGAGGTGGCCCGGGGCCAGAGGTCTGCCTGCTCCTGGCATGGTGGGACCCGCGGTGGGCAGTCCCTGGGCCCTGCATTTGCACACTGGGCACTCACTTCCCAGTCTCTGCCTCGAGGCTCCCTGTGGGTCATGCATGTCCACTTGCCTTATCCTGGCCAGCAGAGCAATAGTATCAGCCTGGGAGCCCCCCAAGGGCAGGGCCCCATCCTGCGTCACCGCTTGCTCAGCCCTCCCGCCTGGCCAGCCCTGAGAGGGGGTCAGCCAAGGCGCTGCCTGCCTCATAGCCGCCGGCCCCCAGAGCGTCTGCTTTCCTCCTGTTCTTGTTCACTCAGCCTGGCTGGGAACGATGATGACAGCTGACACGCATGTGGCACCTCCTCAAGGCTGACATATACACTTCTCAGTCCTTTGTGCGCACAGTCACTCATTTCGTTCCTGCAGATCGAAGCTGCTCTTGTCTCCATTTTGCAGAGGAAATAAATTGCAGATGCAAGATTTGCCCAGGGTCACAGAGCTGGCAAGCTGTGGAACCAGGATTTCAACACAGGCAGGCTGGCTCCAAACTCAGCACCCTTAAGGGTCACGCTCTGAGGGCACCCCTTTCTCTCCTCCTCCAGGCTTTGGGTGGCCTGGCTGAGGTGGAAAATAGCAATGAGTTCCTTACTGCAGAAAGCGCACCAGCTTTCTTGGGCTGTCTCCATCATGTTGTCATCACTCCTACCTTCCCTCCCTCGTGCTTGTGGCCTCACTGTCCATTCTGTTCTGTGGCCTCACTGTCCATTCTGTTCTGTGGTTTCTGAACTGAGGTCTAATACTCTGTTTTTGTATTTCCCACATCCAGACCTCTCCAGGTGGCTCCCAACATGGCTTCTTAACACCCCTGTCCCTACCCTATTCACTTTTGTCCCCTCCCCACTCCCCCTCCCACCTCCTGAGTGTAGACTTCAGAGTTTCAGCTATTCTTTTCATTGGCTGAGAAGGAGATAAAGAACTGGCCAAGAATGAGCCTTCCTCTGGGCACTCCAGCAGCCCAGGTTGGTTCCTTCTGGGGCAAGCATTTCTGAGTATGAGGGGTGTGGGCATGGGAGTGAAGGCTTCGTGGGAGAGCACAGTGGGGCCAGGCATGAGGACAAAGAGGTCCGAGGTGAGCTCGGGTTGGGACCACAGTGCCTAACCCAACACACTGGCCTGCTCCTTGCTCCCAGGAGGAAGTTTTGAATGCTAGGTCCTCTTTCTGGAGTGTGTTAAGTACAAAGCATGCCACTTCCACACTTCAGCAATCTCTTCCTCCCCTCCATTTTCCTCTGTCCAGCCCCCTACACCTTCAGAGAGCCACCAGGTAAACTCTGTAAAGATTTGCTGATAAATCTCAGGGCTGATACAGCCAGCAGGCAGCTGGTCTCAGTCCAGCGGCTGAACCTTACTCTATGGCTCATTCACACCGCAGAAAAGCCAGGGGCAAGCCAATGGGGGCCTCGGGAAGTGGGCGTGGGCCCTGTTGTTTACTCTCTCGTGCTGCTCCTGGGTCTGGCCTTGGTCCACGCAGGGCCAGGATGGATGGCGCAAGGGAGATGGTGTAACAGCCTTTACTCCTTCGTTGGCCAAAGGGCTGACCCTGACCCAGTTCCAAGATGGTCACAGGGAGAGGCCACATGGAACTCCCTGGGTCCCTGGGATACCACCTGCAAGATGGGTGGAGGGAACGGAATCACAGGTGCCCACGGAGGCCAAGAGCCCAGCTGCCCCAGGTGAACCTAGGTGTTAGCTGGTACTGCCAGGAGCTCTGGCTGGGCTTATATGTATGTATGGTGGAAACCACTGTGTTATGTGCTATCTTAGTAGCAACCTTCACTGACACTCTGCAAACAGAAGTAGCCTTTGCAAACTCTACCTGGCTTTGCAAACCGTTGATGGGGCCTTCAAACGCAGTGGGGCAGGGTAAGGCAGGAGGAGCCCATTGGCTTGCTCCTGGCTTTTCTGTGGTGTGAATGAGCCATAGAGTAAGGATTCAGCAGCTGGACTGAGACCAGCCGCCTGCTGGCTGCATCAGCCCCGAGAGTTATCAGCAAATCTTTACAGAGTTTACCTGGTGGCTCTCTGAAGGTGTAGGGGGCTCGCAGTCCAGCGTTCAATCCGTTCTTGCCACCAGCCCTGGACAAACTCACACGGGGAGAGGGTAGTTTCTCTCTGTGTAGGTTCCAGTCTCAGATGCTGCCTTTGTCTCTGGGCATACTCAGAATTAGGTTTGGTTATGAATGACAGAAAAACCCAAATAATGGTATTTTACATAAGATGTTTATTTCTCTCTCACATAAAGGAGGTCGGGTGATATTCCGTTTGTTAGGATGGCTCTGTGATCATCAGAGATCCAGACTCTTCCTATCTTATTGTGCCGCTCAAACATTGCCGCTACTTCATGGTGCCGTATGGCTGCCAGAGCTCCCAGCCATCATATCGGCGGCATTGCAGCCCGCTAAAGTAAGGAAGTGGGGGAGAAGGGCATGCTGCCCCGACACCCGAAAGTCACATCCCATGTCACCCAGGACATGTCTCTGTATACCCTATTGGGCAGAATTAATCATATAGCTGCACCCAGCCTCTAGGGTGGATGGAAAATGTAGTCTTTAGTTTGGGTGGACATGTGCAAAGCTTAAAATCAGGGGTCTTGCTACCGAGGACGACGACCAAAGAATGGAGTATAACTAGCTGTCCTTGCCACAGCCTGCAGCGTGAGCAGAAGGTTCCAGATGCTGTATGATTCCCATGGGTCCCTCTGGATAGCATCCTTGCTGTGGGGAGTGGGACTCTGGCTCCCGGTCAGGTCCCTGTCTCCAGCTTTGGGACTTGAAGTCTTCCTTAGAGCTGTGGTGGCAGCAGGAACATACCCTCCCTGGCGTCTCCAGCTGGGAGAGGATGAGTTTGATGATCAAGGCCAGCCATGCCATCCCAAAGAGGATCCACAGGGACACCATGTTCTTGTACCACAGTGGGTACCTCTGGGAGGGGTTCATTCCTGGGGAAGAGGCAAGGTCAGACGATGGAGGCCTGGGAAAGTCAGGACCACATTCCCCAAACAGAAACAGAGATACATGGTTTGATTCATATAAGCAAGTTGAGGTGCCAATGGGACAGAACATGGAGACTCCTAGCCTCATGGTCACCTCCGAAGGATTCCAGAAAGCCTCCCTGGATTGGCACTTGGGTTTAGGAGCTACATTTCCTCTTTGTCTTTCTGAGGGAATCTGTTTATGCTCCATCCCAGCAGTTCTCAAAGTGTGGTCCCTGGGGCCGGCAGCATCAGCATCCCTGAGAGCTTGTTGGAAATGCAAATGATGGGGCCCCTACCCCAGACCTACTGGATCAGAAACTCTGGGCATAGGCCCAGCAATCCGTATTTTTTGTTTTGTTTTGTTTTGGAGACAGAGTCTCACTCTGTTGCCCAGGCTGGAGTTTAGTGGCGTGATCTCGGCTCACTGCAACCTCCGCCTCCTGGGTTCAAGCGATTCTCCTGCCTCAGCCTCCCGAGTAGCCGGGACTACAGGCGCCTGCCGCCACGCCCGGCTATTTTTTTGTATTTTAGTAGAGACGGGGTTTCACCATTGTTGCCCAGGCTGGTCTTGAACTCCTGAGCTCAGGCAATCCACCTACCTCGGCCTCCCAAAGTGTTAGAATTACAGGTGTGAGCCACCGTGCCCGGCCAGAAATCTGTATTTTAACAAGCCCCCAGAGGATTTCGATGTCCGCTCTAGTGTTTGCCAGTCTCTGTTTGGTTTTCTCGTATCTGAAATGAGGCAGCTTGCTGGAGCCAGGGGATTTGGGATGAACAATGGAACCATAAGAATATGTATCCTGACTCGGTTCTTCAGCCACCTGTCTGAACCTCCTTCACCTGTGAGATGGGGAATACGACTGCGCCCCCTTGGCTTTTAGGATGAAGTCCAAATCCTCAAGGCCCTCTGCCCGCTTCTGCAGCACACCTCTCCCCTCTGACTGCCTGGTCATTCTGGTCTTTTTCCCGTTTCCCCATCTATCATTCTTTCTGCCTCTGGGCTTTTGTACTTATGGCCTCTCGGCTCCAAATGCTCTTCATTTTCCATTTTTCTTGGCCTGGTTACCTTCCCTCATCCTGCAGACCTCAGTTCAGACATCACTCCCTACAGACCACGTTGGGTTCCTCTGTTACACGTGCTGCTTTCATGGCCTATGTGTGTCTGCTGGGAAAGTTACTTCCTCATCTGTAAAATGGAGACAGTAAGAGTCCTCCTCCTATGACTGTTGGGAGGATCACATGGGCTGATGCAGCTCAAGTGCTCAGAATGGTGCCTGGTACATAACAGGTGCCCAAGATCTATAGGTGGTTGCTTGTTTCACTCACCATCGGACACCCCCAACGAAGTTGGTGCTGGGTAAGTATAGCTGAGGGAGGGGACTGATGGGAGCTGCTGTGAGTCTTAGATAAATCTTGCCAAGGATTTGCCCTATCATTTAGTACCCTCCCTGGAGGTCTGTGCTGCCTCCCTCATCAGATTGGAATCATTCAAAGGGTAGAGCTCTCCCCTCCTATTCCTTCGTCATCCTTTTCTGTCTTTGCTCCCTGTACCATGCCTCTGTCTACTCCTCATCCTGTCCTGCTGGCCCCAAGACAGCCTCTCTCTCCAGGTCCCCCAAGGCTGGGCCCCTCTCTAGGACCCCCACATGGGGATGAGGCTGCCACCTGGGAGCTGACCTGTGCTGCCTGGCAGGAGCTGGGATTGGATTAGGCTGATTGGGTTATGGGGCTATGATTCCGCTGATGGTCCTAAATGAGATCAGGCACTGAGCCGGCTCTCTGGCCCTGCCACCCGCCAGCTTGGCTTGCTCCTGGTGACAGAGGGGAGGAGGCGCTCTTCTCCGTTTTTATTTCATTTTTTTAAGCTGAAATCATAAGTGGCAGGAGACCTGGCAGCTGGCAAGGCGCTCAACTGAGCTGCAAATGCAATTGGGAGGCGCCAGGCTATGGGGCTGGGGAGGAGTAGCCGGATGGGACCTGGGGGCGGCTCTGGCCACAGCCTTCAGGCAGAGGAGTGGCTGTGAAGACAGCGCCTCTTGTGGCTGCTGATGCAGGGATGTGAACACCCAGTAGCCAACTGGTGGACCTCAGTATCCCCATCCAAGAAAGGGGTTGTCCCTGTTACTGGAGGACAAGGAGACCTGAGAGGTTTGAGGAATAGGCATGGAAGACTCTGAAACATGGGTGGTGTGAAGGGCCCAGGCTTGGGAGTTTATCCTAGATTTGCCCTGACTTACTTGCTCTATGACCTTATGCAACTCCCTTCCCTCCTCCAGGCCTCAGTGTCTCCATCTGTATAAGGAAGATCCCCTGCAGGTGAAGCAGTTGGGGCTCTTATTGTGGTGACCTGCTACGAGGCACTGCCATGACTGCAGAGGGGCCCAGGAGGTAGCAAGTCTCCATAGATGTGGTGAAGGGAGAAGCTCTGCCAACTGCAGTGGCCGCTGGGCAGGAGTGTTCTTGCCCATCCTTGCCCCAGGCCTGGGCAGTCCCTCTGGGCTTAAAGTTTGGACTAGATCTCCTCAGTCAGATTGTATTGGTAGGAGGGGGGTTACAGAATTTGGACTAGATCTCCTCAGTCAGATTGTATTGGTAGGAGGGGGGTTACAGATTTTGGACTTTATCCTAAAACTATGGGAAAACAATGAAGTTCTTCAGAGGAGCTGGGCAGGTGACATCATAGCCTTTGTAATTTTTAAAGGTCATAAGAGCCAACAGGGGACAAGGAGAGAAGCTGCACAAGTCCCTGGGTGCCATCCTTATTATGCTCTGTGTAAGTAGCAAAACTATAGGATTGTGCAGTGCCCAACCTGTGCAGCTATATGCAACAACCCTGCCTGAACTAGGGAAATGGCAGTGGAAATAGAGAAGAAATGACAGATCTAAGAATCATACTCTGAGCTGCGAGGGTGCAGGTATGGCCCTTGGAGCTACTGGGCTCAGCTGTCCTGGGACATATCTCTCTACTCTGAGGGTAAAGGTGGGAACATGACCCAGTTGGAAGAAATCTTCCCAAGAATTTCCTTCCAGAGCAACAGACCTCCCAGGATGAGGGAGATCCAGAAGGGGGCAGTGTGAGGCCCCAACACCTGACCCCTCTTCCTGGGGACCTTGCAAACAGAGGCTAGAAGGCACTGAGGGGCTCTAGGGATTGCCTCATTTTATAGGCAGGAACACTGAGGCCCAGAGAGGAGACATTTTAGGTGGCCTGGAAACAGTATGAATTTTGGAGTCAAATAGATCAGGATTCACATCTTACTAGCTGTGCAGTCTCAGGCAGATGGCTCAGCCTCTCTGAGCTTCAGCTTCCTCCTCAGTAAAATGGGGGTGACAATTGTTGCTGTAGGTTGCCTGAGGAGTTAGCTGAAACTAACTTCATTCTTCCAGGCTGGGTTCTGTCGCTGAAGAAGTGAAGAAGGGCAAGGCCTCCTCCCCACATTAGGGTCTGGGATCAGAGGGAGTGCATGAAGCCGCTTGAGGCTGGCGCGGTAGTGGTGCCAGCGGCACCTTCAGGGACAGGAAGGGGCGGTGATGAGGCTGAGCTGGGGCGCAGCCACTCCGCCACGGCACAGAATGTCCCTCCACTGCCACCTGCTGGGCATCGGACTCAGCCTGATTATGCAAGGCTGGTGGCTTCTAGGGCCCTTGTCTTGCCTAGGTTGGGTTGTGCCACTGATTAAACCCACCCTGGGTCCACTGACCATGAGGCCCTTTCTTGCTGGCACTCAGAATCTGCCTGCCAACTGTTTTCCCACAGGGCTCTGGGGAGGCTGGGGTTCCAGGAGTCTCCCGGACCCTACTGTCTGATCCCCGGGTACTGTGATCTCCAGCCCCAGAGAAGTGGGACAGATTGGCCTTCCATAGGGAGAGAGTGAAGTGGGGAAGGGAGACCCTGGGGCAAGCATGGACCCCGGAGGGAGGCGGGGACTCCCGTCATGTGGAGAGCTCTAAGCACAATAGGTGGGCCCGCGGACGTGTTGGACCTCTCCGCGTTGGTCAAGAAGGGCCAGAGTGACCTCAGACCCGTCACACAACAAAAGCGGGTAGGACAGTGTCTCCGGATTTTGGGCCCAAAAGCCCCCACATGGCGTGCACACAGCAGGTGCGCCAGCTGCGGGAGCAGATGAGTGAGAGGTATAGGCAGCCGAATGTCCCCGCCAGCCCAACCGCCAGGAACTCTCACCAATCACGTAGTCGCCGAAGCCCACGGTGCTGAGGGTGATGAAGGCGAAGTAGAAGCCCTCTGTGTAGCTCCAGCCCTCCATGTGGGAGAAGAGCAGCGGTGGCAGCAGCAGGAAGAGCAGGAGGCCCGAGAGGAGGGCGCCAGAGCCCGCCAGCCACCGCGCCTTGTCAGGATCCTGTGGGTGCAACATTGTCCCCAGGCCTCCTGAGGCCTTCACCCCATGCGTGGGAGCCGAGGGAGCTGGAGGCAGGCCAGAGCTGTCCCCAGTAAGAAGGGGGCTCTTCACCTGGTCTGTGTTCTCCAGGTTCCCTGCCTGGAGCCTGTGCCTCATGTCCTTCCTGTCTGCCCAGTCCCACCCCATCTCCACCATTAATGCCCTTTTTCACTAAGGACCCTATTCTGAGCAGTGACCCCCAATCCCAACACAACCTCACCAGTAACACTTGCTCCCACCTCTTGTCATTAGTAACCCCAATTCCCACCACAGCCCCTCATTCTAGAAGTGACCCATCCCCACCCCGTCCAGCAGCCCCCTCACCTGCCAGGTGCCCCCCAGCCTGCTGGCCCAGTGGTTTACTCCCTGCTGCATGAGATGCCCCAGTCGGTTGAGCACCACGAGGTTGAGTGGGATCCCCACAAGGGCAAAGAAGATGCAGAAGAGGCGGGCAGCCATCGTGTTGGGGCTCAGGTTGCCATAGCCTGAGGTGAGAGGGGGCACTCAGGGGACATTTCCAGCCCAGCCCTGTCCACTCACCACCACAGCCCCACTCCTGGGCCCAACCCCCAGGGCCCTCATTCTAACCCACTGTAGATGTGGGCAGCTGATACTTACCAAGGCCCTCCTTTTCTGTGCTGGGCACTGTGCAGGGCACCCTGTACATTCATTCCCTCAGTTCACCCTCGAAACCACCCTTCCAAATCAGAATTATGTGCCATATTTTACAGGCTGGAGAAGCTCTAGGAGGCTAAGCTGCATGCATGAGCTCAAACCCACCAAATGTGAGTCTCCTCTTCCTCTCTTCATGTCCTCCCTCTCTGGATGGGCAGATGGATGCTGGAGGGGGCAGAGCCTCCAGCTGTTGCACTCTTAGGATCTACTGCACCATTCAGGCTGAGGCCATGCTGTCTCCACACTGCTCCCAGCCATGCTTGGGCACAGTGGGGCACTGAAGCTGGCCATCCCTGCCCAGTGTGGCACTCCTCTTTCAACCTTTGCTCTGGGATCCCCATGGCCTGGCCCAGACTTTCTGACAGCTGCAATGCAGAGAGCAGCTCTTCCCACACCAGTCTCCTTCCTTCCCTCTCTCCTTTCATAGGTATCAGGCCTGCTTGCAGTCTGAGGCTTTTGACATTAATTCCTGCTCCTTCTCTTTTATCCTTCAAAGGCTCCCCTCAATATATCTCTTGCGCATCTAATTCTGTCTTGATATCTGATTCCTGGAGGACCCAAACTAGCACAACGGGGCTCCCTCATAAAGCTCAGTGGGAGGGAGGGACAGACAGTAAGTCATCAGCTGCCTAGGGGAGGAGGTAGAAGTTGGGGGGGTGGTCTCTGATCCTCAAGATAGGGAGAGGGGAAGCTAGGGGAGGAAAAGATGTTCATAAAAGATTCTATCCATCTGGACATTCTTTTCTCCTCCAGCTCTGCCTCCACCCTTCTTGATCACCACCACTGTCTTGTCTTATTAAAATGCAAAACTGATTAGATCATCATTGAGGTTATAACCCTTCTTCAGTCTCCTGTCTGCTGGGGAAAGTCCAAGCTCTTGCCCAGCCTTTCTCTGAGACTCGTCTGGTGCCCCCGCTTCCCCAGCTCTAGCCACATTGCTGGCCTGCAGAACTCTCCAGGTCCACTCGTGCCTCTGCACCTTTGACCACAATGCTTCCTCTATGAAGAGAGTCTCTCCTCTTTACCCACATAAATATAAATGACCCTTCCAGTCCTCGACTCTCCAGTGCAGCTGCTCCTCATCCAGGGCCCCCTCCAGCACTCTCCCTTGCACTGTGTGAGAAAGATTTGTTTCCATGTCTGCCTCTTCCAAGTATATCAAGTATATGCTCTGAGCCCCTCAAGAGCAGGGACTGGGTCTTTTTTTTTTTTTTTTGAGACGTAGTTTCGCTCTCTTGCCCAGGCTGGAGTGCACTGGCACAATCTTGGCTCACTGCAAACTCCGCCTCCTGGGTTCAAGCTATTCTCCTGCCTCAGCCTCCCGAGTAGCTGGGATTACAGGCATGTGCCACCACGCCCAGCTAATTTTTGTATTTTTAGTAGAGACGGGGTTTTGCCATGTTGGCCAGGCTGGTCTCGAGCTCCTGACCTCAGGCGATCTGCCCGCCTTGGCCTACCAAAGTGCTGGGATTACAGGCGTGAGCCACCGCACCCGGCCTGGGACTGGTTCTTAATCACCATATTCTCAGCAACTGGCAAAGGATCTGACCCTTAATAGGTGCTCTTCACTACATATGTGTTGAATGCATAAAGAATGAGTGAATGAATGAATGAGGAAATACAAAAGTGAATGTGTAAGTAAATGAACAAATGCCTCTCATTTTGCCTCCTAGCACTGCCTAACATTCTTGCTTGCCCAGATGGGGTCACTGTGCCCACACACCCTAAACTCGTCTGTACTATATTGAAACCAATGTTTACATCCACCCCCACCTTACTGAGGGGTCCCAAGAGAGGTCAAACTATGTACAAGTACAGAGCATGTGCTTTGGAGTCTGCTGCACCTCCTAGGTTTGGATCCCAGCTCAGCTCCTTGCAGGCTGTGGGACCTTGGGCAAGTGGCTCGATCTTTCTTTCTTTGTTTTTTTTTTTTTTTTTGTGACAGAGTCTTGCTCTGTGGCCAGGCTGGAGTGCAGTGGCGCGATCTCGGCTCATTGCAACCTCTGACTCCCTGGTTTCAGCGATTATCCTGCCTCAGCCTCCCGAGTAGCTGGGATTACAGACACATGCCACCACACCCAGCTAATTTTGCATTTTTAGTAAAGATGGGGTTTCACCATGTTGGCCAGGATGGTCTCAATCTCCTGACCTTGTGATCTGCCTGCCTTGGCCTCCCAAAGTGCTGGGATTACAGGTGTGAGCCACCGTGCCCAGCTTGCTTGCTTCCTTCCTTCCTTCCTTCTGTCCTTCCTCTCTCTCTCTTTCTTTTGGCTTGACCTTTCTGAATGCTGCTTCCTCCTGTAAAATGGGGATGCTGACATCCACCTACAGTGGGGGGTAATGATGAAATGAGGAATGGAGGTACACTGTAGAAGGGAATGTGAGCTTGCAAGCATCTGGTATATACAAGGTGCTAAATGTTTGTTGAATAAATGAATGATAGAACTCCAGTGAACTGGCTTCTGGTCTGAGGACTTCAGAAGCCTCTTGAGTCCCCATCTACCTCCCCCTCTGGCCTTTATGGGTTTCCTCTTCCAAAGGAGAGTTCTCCTTTCTGTAGGCATCTAGGGCGAGGTAAACCTCTTACTTTCCACCCACCTCTCTGCCTGCCTCCTCACCAACCCCTCCTCCTCCAGCTGTAGGTCCTGCCAAGTTCCATCATCTGGTACTGGTTTTTCTTCCCCATTCAGTTTTCACCAGCGGGATGGGGACACTAAGATTCCAGCTCTGAGAGGAGCCCCATGGAGGCCTGCAGCGTTCTCAGGCTGACATTAAATGGGTTTTTTTCCTCCCCACTATTCTCAGCCATCCCTCAGGTCAGCAAAAGGATGTCACCTACCTGTTGAACGCTGGGTAGCCACAGCCCCACCCAAGCCACCTTTCACTTCAGCATGTCTCCTCACTGCCACTTTGCATCTTGTTGGGATCTCTGGGCATCCTGCAAGAACCCTACAAGTCTATCTGTGATTGGTCTTCTCTGTACTTTCTCTGAATGCAGCTCCTGTTTCCAACCCTCTCCACCTACCTGGACCTCCTTACTGCTCCCCAAACACACAAGTCACATTCCCATCTCAGGGCCTTTGCACTTGCTGGCAGAGGATTCTCTCCTCAGATATCATCAGTTTGCTCCATTATTTTACTCATGTCTCTGCTTCAATGTTACTGTATCAGCTTCAATGTTACTGAATGGACACCCCACCTACAATAGGTGCCCCCATCACTATGAGACCCCTTTAACTAGCTTTACTTTTCTCTAAGCACACCCCACTACCTGATTATTGTCCATGTATCTGTTTAGTGTGTGTCCCCTCACACTAGAATGTCAGCTCCCCAAGGGCTGGGACTTGCTAATTTTGATTACCATTGTATCCTCAGCACCAGTGTCTGGCCCACACTAGGTACATATGTATGTGTACATACACACACCAAGGTATGTATGTGTGTATGTATGTACTTATCTTTTGAGGCAGAGTCTTGCTCTATTGCCTAGGCTGAAGTGCAGTGGCACAATCTCGGCTCACTGCAACCTCCGCCTCCCAGGCTCAAGCGATTCTCGTGCTTCTGCCTCCCAAATAGCTGGGATTACAGGCACCCGCCACCACGTCTGGCTAATTTTCATATTTTTAGAAGAGATGGGGTTTCATCATGTTGGCCCGGCTGGTCTCCAACTCCTGGCCTCATGTGATCCACCTGCCTCGGCCTCCCAAAATGCTGGGATTATAGGCAAGAGCCACCATGCCCAGCCTTCAATTTATTTGTTGAACAAATGGATGGATGAATGAAAGAACCAATGAGCAAGCCAGGAATGGAGTTCATAGATGAGTGATTTCTGGGCTCAGGCCTGTCCTACTGGCCCAGAGGTATTTGTGTTAGGGCTTGGAAAGTACTGCCCTTGCAGGGTGCTGGTCCCAGGGTAATGGGTTTGCCGAAGAGGCTGCCCTCTGCTGAGCCTCTCAGAATATCCCTTCTTCCCTTGTGGCATTCCAGATGTACCTCATCTTCCATCTCCCTCTCCTTCTCTCTCCAAATACCTCCCATGTGTAAGTGCATACAGGTGTGGTCAGCATCACAGAACCCTCACTCCCCTCCTGTTCACTCCACAATGGCTAGTCAACTCTGCTTCTCACTAGCCGTATGATCTGGGGGAGATGGTGCAACATCTCTGTGCCACCGTGTCCCCATCTGTGTCATGAAAATAGGCTGGACACAGTGGCTCACACCTGTAATCCCAGCACTTTGGGAGGCCAAGGCGGGTGGATCACTTGAGGACAGGAGTTTGAGGCCAGCCTGGCCAACATGGTAAAACCTGTCTCTACTGAAATACAAAAATTAGCCGGGCATGTTGGCAAGTGCCTGTAGTCCCAGCTACTTGGGAGGCTGAGGTAGGAGAATCGCTTGAACCTGGGAGGCGGAGGTTTCAGTGAGCTGAGATCATGCCACTGCACTCCAGCCTGGGTGACACAGCGAGACTCCGTCTCAAAAAAGAAAGAAAGAAAATAATAAGACCTATTCTTGGAGGTTGCCATAGGGACAAATTGAAATCTTAAATGTCAAAGTGCCCAGCACAGTGCCTAGTACAAGAAGACCTCGGGTGTTTCCTCAGGTGTACTGTGTGTGTGGGGTGGGGCAGGGCCCTCCTCTCTTTGCCCTCCTCACCCTCAAGCTGGTTGAAACTGAGTGGAGAGGAAAGGACAGAGGCATAATCCAAGCTAGGGGTGGTAGAGCTGGGAAGAGAGGTAGCAAAACTCTGAATTTGGTGGGCCAAAGTCACAGGCCCTGAGAAGAGTGTGGGAGGTGTGGGGTTTGCAGACTAAAGGACCCCCAAATCTGGGAGGCCTGGCCTACAGTGACTGTGTTTTAAGATCTCCTGCTACCCTGGAACTCAATACATGCCTGGTGAATGCATATTTAATGGAATTCCTTAACGTGGCAGTATTTATTGAGTGGCTGCTGTATGCTGGGCCTTGTAATAGACCCTTGGGGATGTAAAGATGAATCGGCCCATCCTGCCAGTCCTTCAGGGGCTCAGGGCCGCTGGAGTCTGAGATGCCTCCCAAGCATGCTTGTCTCAAGGATTGCCCAAGCTCCCATGTAGCTCTGAGGTCTGCTTTCAAGAAGTTCTGGCCAATTTAAAACTAGATGGAGAATCCTCTGGGTGCTCTTGCCTTACCCAACCCTGTGGGGAGGCTGGGATACTGGTGTCCTGGAGAGAGGATCCTGGCTGGCCAGGAACTGGGAGGCGGTAGCCCAAGTCACCAGTGATACCAGCCTGCCACCTGGTGGCAAGTCCTGTGTCATGCAGGAGTTGGGGCAGAAGGATCTGGGTGGCTCGACTTGCATGATTTCCTGGGTTTCAGAACTGCAGGGATCTAGCCTGCTCTTCTTTGCACAGCAGCCCCTCAGCACCCTCCTGAGACAAGCTCTACCTCAGCTCTTCCGCAGAGGAGGGTTAGTCCAGGTGTCCCTGTGTGTGGGGAGGATGGCGATGAGGAGTGGAGGGGGCTGTTTGCAAGCTGAAGAGAGGACTGTGGGAATGGGGTCTGGAGACAAGGACATGGGAGGAATGGCCACCTCCCCCAGGGCTGAGAAACGGGGGGTCTAAAGCTCTTTCTTTGGATTTCTACTTCTTCTTCCTTCCTAACTTTCCCTCCACTTCTCCCGACCACCACTCCCGGGGCTCAGTGTTGGGTGGGCTCAGCTGAGGAGACTGGCATCCTTGTAGTGCCCAGAGACATGTTTCTTGCTGTACTGGGAGACCTCTGCTTCCTGAAAGGCCATGTGGGGCAGAAGTCCCCTAGAGCAGTGCTTGTCAAACTCGAACAGTGCACATGAATCCCCTGGGGACCTGGGTGAGATGCTGAGGCTGAGTCAGCAGGTCTGTAGTGAGGCCCGAGACTGCTCCCAGGCGGTGTCCATGCTGCAGAGCTGAACTGCACTTGGAGTCATGAGACTCCAGGTAATCCCTCCAAAAGGCAACTAGCCTGTTGCCTCTCAGGGAGCTGCCTCCTTCCCCCACCCCCATCCCCCTGGCCCCATCTGGCCCTTACCAATGGTGGTGATGGTGGACACAGAAAAGAAGAAGGAGCCCACGAGCTCCCAGCGCCCCATGCTGGTGGTGTTGCTGAGGAGGCTGGCTCCGTTTTTGTATGCTTGGACGACATCCTGGGGAAGAGGCTGCAATGACCACCAGGCTCTGTGGGGTGATGGATTTCCTGTACCCCAAGATGCACACACACACACACACACACACACACACACACACACACACACACACAAACAAACCTACACACACAGCCCTCACAATTACTCTTCGATCCCAGCCCACCAGGGCAAGGAGGCTCTACCCCTCTCACCAAGGGCTCACCAGGTACAGCTACTGACAGCTACCATGGGGACAGCTCCTTCCCCACCCTTTACCCAGTGGCTAGGTCAGGTTGGAGTCCTAGTAAACCAGCGACTCATTTTCTCCCCTGCTCACTCCCATTCCTGCAACAAACACTAGGCCAGGCGTGATGTGTGGTGCTTTTAGGGGACGTGACCACAAGAGACATGACCCCAGCCCTCAGTGGTACATAGATAAACCTAATTAACTCTAATATGATGCAGTCAATGTCACTTTGGGCATTAAGGAGGAAGTGCAGCTACACAATCCTGGGCAAGGTGCTCAACTTCTCTCTGTGCCTCAGTTTCCTTACCTGTATAATGGTAATACAAATAGTACCTACTTCATAGAGTTGTTGTGTTAAATAAGGTATTATGTGTAGACTTAGTACCTGGCACATGGTGTTAGCAGTTGCTATATTGCCTATATGCATTATATAGGCATATAATGTTGTAGGACTCTGGGGAAGAAGGATGTTCATTCTCATTTGGGTAGGAGCAGAGGCCTCATGGAGAATGGGATGTTTTAGCTGGGCCTTTGAGGGTCAGGTAGGATTGCTTCTGGTGGAAGGATGTTTAGGTAGATGGGACAGCAGTGCAGAAGGTGGGAGGTGAGACTGCCTGGGACCTAGATTAGGGAGACTGGTAAGAAGTGATTGAGGCCAAGCTGTGCTTGGCTTTGCCATGCCAGGGATGAAGTCGCAGGTATCAGCCAAGGTCACTGAGCAAAGGGGAAGTAGGATCAGGTTTGTGTGCTCTGTGGCAGCTGGCAGTATAGAAAGGGTTGACCAGAGGGGAGAGACTCCTGCAGAAGTGAGTGATAGACGGGCCCTGGCCTGTCTCCTGGCACAGGTGGTCCAGGAGGAACAGAGAGGAGATATTCAGAAGCCCAGGCCTCTGGCCCTATTTAGTATGGGCAGTAAAGGAGATGTTGCAGAGGATTGTGAGGGTGTGTGGACATGGGGCAGACAATCGAGATTTAGGACAGGTGGAGAAGCAGGGCTGGGAGGAGGAGGACCACTTGCTCTTGGCCTTGAGGAATTTCAGAAGTTGCATGTCCACATCTGGTGCTCAGAAAGATCTGGGCTGGATACCACATCCTTATTCCTGGAGTTGGCTGAAGCCACAGGAGTGTTGAGGAAGGGGGTGAGGTGGGGGTGGAGGGAGTTGAAGGGAAAGCCCAAAGAGATGACAGCCTGGCTGGGAATCTTGGGAAGCACCCACATCCACAGGTCCACACTGAGGCAGTATTTATGCTGGTTAACAGCTCCAGCTCCTGGCTATGTAGCCATGCATTCGTATGTAACCTCTCTGAGCCTGTTTCTTCACCTCTGAAACAGGATGATAAAAACAGTACCCACCTGTGAGGGTGAAACAGGATGATAAAAACAGTACCCACCTGTGAGGGAGGTGAGACAAATGAATACGGGTAAAGTACCAGCAACAGTGCTTGGCACACGATAAGTGCTGCACAGAGGCATTTACTGTTATTATAATCACCATCATAGCCATCTCCCTGGGCCCAGGCTGCTTGTAGTCGAAGTTCACCACCTTTGCAAGGGTAATGGCAGGCAGCCTCAGCACCAGGACCCAGCAGTCGGGCTGTATTTGCAGAAGTCCGCAGGTGGGGAGCTGGAGGAATCACTTTAGGTCCTTAGTAGAGATAGGCCTGGCCCTGGCTACCTCCTGACCTCACCGAATCGGCCTAGTCCGAGGGTTCAGAACACCACTTCCGCTCCGCGCTGGGTCCCTTCCCACCCTGGCACGGTTCCCTGCCACCTTCCGGGGATTGGCTTTGGACTGGAGACTCTGGACGGATAAGCCACCAGGACTGCAAGACGGGGATTCTGGGCTGGCGCGCAGCTGTCTGGACTCTGGGCTCTTGGACGAAGGGGTGGGGAACCAAGCCAGGACCCAGGACATCAATGCCTCCGCCAAATCGAGCAGCTGCCAGTCTGGCGTCGCTTCAGTCCTAAGATGCGCCACCCCTAGAACCCTCCCCGGCCTCCTCCGCCCTGCTAGGCCCCACCCTTGAGGAGCCTCTGCTCAGATTTACCTCTGAGTCCTCCCCTGAACCCTGCCTTCAGCCTTTCTGGGCAGCCGCGCGGCGGCGGCGCGCCCAGTCCTTGTGTCCGAAGACTCGGAGTAAAGCGGGTTCAGCCAGAGAGCGGCCCTGCGTCCGCCCTCCTCTCGAACCCGGGTCTGCGCACGTCGAGCCCCCTCTCTGCGTTGAGGGTGGCCCCGACCAGCACGCCTCGGGCCCAATCCACCCACCCTCCGGGACAAACGCGCCTTCCCCCAGGCTCCTACGGCCGCGCCCTCGCTCCTGCGCATCCTTAGACCCGGCGCCCCTGCCGTCCCAGCTCCCAGTTCGCAAACGTGCGCCCGGGTTCCCCCTCTGGAAGCGGCCAGGTGTGGCGTTTAGCTCTTTGCCACGGGTGCGGGTGCGACCAACCCCCAAGCAGGCTCAAACGCGCCCTTTCCCGGGTCAGGCCGGGCGGGGCCGGTTACGCGCGCGCCCCCTGCCGTAGTCGTCCTCGCCCCCAAATTTGGATGTGTCCCCAGGCATCTGCCTCCTCACCGGGCCAGCATGCCCTCTCGCCCCCAAGTAGGACTCAGCCCGGCTTCTCGCAGTCCTCTCGCTAGGGCGAGGGTCTTTTCCTCCGAGGTCCCCCAACCCTCTGGTCCCCGCGCAGGAACGCCCACCCCCGTTGTGCCCGCGTCTGCGTTCCCGACGTTTCCCTGAACAGGAAACACCTGACCAGGGCCTGAATAGGCCCCCTCGCCCTCGGCCCGTACACCCCGCGGCCCGCTACCCCATCCCGCCGCGCCCAGGCCGACGCCGCTCGCCCCTGACCCGGATCAGCGAGTCCAGCGCCGGGCGGTCCAGACACGTGAAGTTCTGCAACAGCTCCCACTTGTCGCGCTGGAAGCTGCGGCTGGAGTCCTGCGCCGCGCGGCCCTCCAGCGTCCAGAACACGCCGGTGCCCAGCGCCAGGTAAGCCAGGTAGGCGAGCAGCAGGAGCACGGTGCTGGGCACCGCGCAGCCCCGGACCCTGCCCTCGGGAGCCGCCCGGGCTCGCGGTCGGTACATAGCGGGAGAGGCGGGGAGCCGGCGCCGGGAGCGGTGGACTAGGACCCGGTGGGAGGGAAGGGCCAGGCGTCCAGCTCGTATCTCCTCTCGCAAACGCCTGCTGGTGCCCGGTTTCGCCGGGGAGGAGGAGTGTTGGGGAATGGGACAGCCTGGCCCCACCCAGCCCTGGGATCCAATCCCCGGGACAAAAAGAGGCTCTGAACTGTGGGCATCTGGCCCCGCCTCAAATGTGTGCGGGGTGCCCACCTGCTAGGCCTAGGCCAGGGAGAAGGAGGAAGCTGCTGGGTGACCGCAGGCGCTGAGGGAAGGGGCCCAGAGCCCCCTCACATTTCCTGAAATGAACAATGGGAGGGACTTCTGGAAACCGCACTCAGAGGTAGGAGATAGTAGAGACCAACTTTATTGTCTTGGGGCCCCTGCCTAAGTTCTTGGACTCGGGGGCTATCTCCAAGGACTTGCTGTCTGTCAATCTCAAGACCACCTTGGGTCTCCCACACCTCTGTCCTTTCCTTTGTACCCCAAAAGAGGGACCCCAGCTGATTGCCACTTGTCCATGAGCTTGGGAGGTAAGAGGAGCCTTAACCAAGAGGCTTGTCCACTCCTTGCTTCTGAGAAGGCCCCCGAAATCCCTCTACCTGGAGTGGAGGAAGCGTCTAGGCTGTGTGAAGAGTCCGTGGGTCCTCAGCTTCCCAGTCCTTTCTTGGATATGGGGAAGTCCTGGGGTGTGACTTGGACTCCTCTTGCTGCTGTAGAGCCTCTCCTGGGTCTCCTGCCTGGAGCCGCCTTGGCTCCACAGCCTTGCCTCAGACCTGTGCAGAGGAACCCAGCCACATAGGAGCCCACTTGCTGTTGGATGATGGGAGAGGCAAAGGCCAAAATTTCCAGGCCCCGGGATGGAGTGGTCTAAATCTCTCCTGGTCAGGGATGTTGCAGTCTGGCAGGGGAAAGGCCAGACCTGGAGAATGCATTCCTGAGAGAGGCCAGACGTTCATGGAGCTCACTTTCTGGAAGGATCCTGGGATCTGCTGGCTCTCTGGCTTCCCATGGGGTGTTTGGAAAGGCTCTTGAGAAGGCAGGAGCCCAGAGGGAGTGATGAAGTTAAGGGGGTGGCCTGTGAGGGTCAGGGGAGGCCATGTTCAGGAAAGTGGGTAGGACACCCAAGAGGTCCTAAGCTTTGTTCACAGACAGCCCTGGACTTCTAGGCAAGGGGAGCTGGCGAGCTTTGAGAGGCAGCTCGCCTGCCCCTCGGCTGAGAGCTTCCTGAGGGCAGAGATCCTCTTTTCACTAAGATTGTTCCAAAGTCTCTGCCCAGGTCTCCCCTCTCTTTGATGCTCCCTGCCAGCCATTCCCATGGGCTCTCATCAACCCTGGGGCTATTCCCATCATAGCATTTTGGGCACTGTGTTGGGGCTGCCTCTTTGCTTGCCTAGCAACTAAAGGCACATCAAGGGCAGGCACTTCCACTGCTGTATCCCCAGACCCTGGCACAGACCCTGGCACAGCACCTGGCACATAGTAGGGGCTTGGCAAATGCACTGTGCACATATCAAATGAGGCAAAAGTAAAGTCATCCTTTGTTTGTGTAAGGTCTCCTGGAAGGGGGCATGGGGAGGGCAGTGGAGATCTGGCCACTACCTTTGGGTGGAAGGCTGTGGCAGGGGCTCTGGGACAAGGGTACACCTCCCCATCCACACATGTCTTTAATCCTATCTCACGTCTCCTCTCTGTTACTTTCTTGGATATACCTGTCTCCTTTCTCTCTTGGGAGAGCTCCTGAGACCAGCCCTGGCTGAGAAGTGAGGGGGTTGGGAGAGGAGAAAGCAGGGCTGGAAATCCAGAGAGCAGATAGGGTGGGACTGGGGAGGATGAAAGGGGTTTCTGGGCCCCCCCCGGGGGCCTCATGCAGAGATGGGGATCTTCTGAGGCCTGGGGAGCCCACTGGGGTCAGAGGCTGCCCCATCCTTGACGCCGAGGCCCCTACTGAGCAGCCAGAGCTGGCAGCATCTGTGCAGAAGCAGGGGGCCCAGTGGGAGGATCAGCGCCAGCCACGCCAGGCCCAGGAGGATCCAGATGGCTGCCAGGCTCCGATACACTGAGATATAATGCTTGCTGGGGTCTGTGCCTGCCAGGGAAGGGAATGGCATCAATGCCAGGGGTCTCAGGGCATAGCCACCTCCAGTTTCCATAGGGACCCTCACCAGCCAGGATGCTCTCTCCCTCTTCCTCATAACAAGGAACAGCAGTTGAGGTAGGTCTCTGCAGGGTGGTGATGGGTCCTAGACCAGAAACTTCTGAGAATGTTGCTTAGAATCCACAGTAGTCCCAGAAATCATTGGTTTGGCTCCCTTGAATGACCAAGGGCTATCTTATCCTCAATAGTTGTCCTCAGCTGACATCTCTCCATCCCCCAAATCCCAGTGGGCACCCCCACCCTGAGATAATGTGACTGTTTTGTTCTCACCAACAACATAGTCCCCAAAGCCAATGGTGCTGAGAGTGATGAAAGCAAAGTAGAAGCCCTCGCTGAAGCTCCAGCCCTCCACATGGCTGAAGACCATGGGTGGGAAGATGAGAATGACCAGCGTCCCCAGGGTCAGGAACAGAGCCAGGCCCAGGACTTGCAGTACCTAGGAGGGAGGGAGTTGGCCTCTGAGTCCACTTGAAAGTCTCCAGGATTGTATGAGGTTGGGGGGAGTCTGGGGTAAACATGGGAATGGGACTGGGCCATAGCTAGGACCCTTTCCTGCACTGCAGACCCTCGAGGTGGAGGTTGTATCTATGTGTGCATGACCTTGTCCCACCCAGGGAAAGATTTCGGCAGAGGGATTGCGTTAGTGGGTCAAGAAGCGATTTGGAGACCCCTTTGGACTTGGGGATCACACTTGAACAGGCTCCCTGGGGACTCAGATCTGGAACAGAAAAGTATCATTGAACTGTCTGCGTATTTCTGGCCTTGCAAGTGGCTGGCCAAGGGTGGGCACTGAGGGCATGCTGGGCAGCCTGCAGAGCTTGTTTGCTACTGCACAAAAGGATGTTGGAGTTCTGTGATGACCTTGAAGATGTGCTACAGAGATCCCTCACTTAAAGGAGGACGGTGGGCCAGCTGCCAGCTCCTTCAGGGTGTTCAGCTGCAGAGAACCTCCTGGCCTAGGGGCATACCCTTCCTGGGAAGGCCACACCCAGTGCCTGATTGAGGCAGGTATGAAAACCTGGCTGGTTCCGCCCACTGTGGGACAACTCTGACAGCTCTCACATGCTGTAGAGCTCCTTGGGGCCAAGCCTTTGTAGAGCATGCATAGAGATCCAACTCCCCACTCTGCCCAACCCTGCCTTCACCCTTCCTCTTTCACAGGCATCTACCCCTAACACCATGCATGCCAAACTCCATCTCAGCATCGGCTTCTGGGGAACTCCACTTGCAACAGATCTGTCACAGCAGGCCTGTAAGGGAGTTAGGGGGCATACCTGGGAGCGCCTGGGACGGTCCTCCCATCTTTCAATGGCGGCCAGATGGGCACGCAGCCCTGTGCCCAGGTGGTTGAGGAAGATCACGTTAAGCGGGATGCCCAACAGGGCATAGAAGACACAGAAGACCTGACCTGCCTCTGTGCTGGGTGCCAGGTTCCCATATCCTGCAAGGGAAGGGGGGCGTGTGCAAATATGGAGACTCTAGAACGCCCTCTGCTCCTCTTCCCCAGACTCTAGCTGAGGTTTGTCTGTCACCACCTCTGGGGGTGAGAAGGGGAAGCTCCCCTGTTCCCATGAACTCTGCTGGAATGATTTTTATTTATAGGACTCCTGCTCATCTTTGAAGGCCCATCTCAAATGACTCTGCCTCCATGAAGCCCTCCTGACTGCCGATTTCCTTCTCCCTTCTGGGTGTGGTTCCCCATAGTGTTTTATGTCATTGCTATGTAATTATCGACTTTGTTTTCTATTACTTTTTTTTGTGTATTTATCATGTTCCTCTTTGTTGGACTGGAAGTTCCTTGCAGGCTGAGCCTGGGTCTGATCCAAGTTTGTATCTCTCACCCCCAACTCCATCACTCTGCCTGGAATGTCACCTGAGTTCAAGGAAAGTATGTGGAATTGGACTTAACTGAATGGATGGGGTAGACCTGGATCTGATGGTTTCCTTGGGGTGGGATGGAGTGAGTTTTCTGGCCGAGGGGGTGTAGCAGCTGCTGTCAGTGCCCTGTTCCCTCAGAACACATGAGATACCACCTGAAGCTTTGGTGGACAGTTCCTGTATACAAATCAACCCCCGCTCCCAGTTTCTGCACATCTCTCTCTACCTGAGAGATTCTTCTGGCCAAAGGAGTATGCTTGGTCTATGGGAAGTTTCAAAATGCTGGGGAACTAATATACTCGGGACCAGCTCTCAACCTTTGAGGGCAGGAGTTGGTAGCTAAATGGCCCCTCATTCTTGTCCCTCGCTGGACCGTTCTGAGGAAGGGCTCTATCTAGCCTCTCAGAGGGTCCCAAGGAGAAGTGAGCTCAGTCACCCAAGCCAGTAATCTGCTAATTAATGCAAATTTCATTGCCACCTTCTCCCTACTGTTTCACTTACCCACTCCCTCCCTGGGCTTCCTGAATAATCTCCTAGACAAACCACATCCTTGTCTCAGCATCTGCTTTTGGGGAGCCCAAACTAAGACAGGGGCCTTGGGGAAGCTCTTCTCTACCCCAGCCCTTTACCTATGGTAGTGACGACTGTGCCTGCAAAGAAGAAACTGCTGCCAAAGTCCCAGTTGCTGGGGTTGGTAGAGTTGCCTTTGGGGTTCACACCTTTCACCCAGGCTTCCATGATGACCTGTAGGGGGTGGCATGGCAGGGGAGGAAGAAGGAGCTGATGGTTACTGGGCACCAGTTGTTGCCATGCTTTTGGCAGCATGCTTTTGTGTCATCTCATCTAATGATACTCTTAGATGATATTGTTCCCATTTCATGGAAAAAGGAAATGAAGACTCAGAGTGGCTAAGTGACCTGTGCAAGGTGACTGGACTCCAACTCCAGTGTCTGTTCCACTGTCTGTTCCACTGGCCAGGGCTGACTGAGGTGTGGGCTGCAAGCATGGGCTGGGGCGGGAGATGGGCCTGAGGGGTGAGGTGGAGGATGCTCAGGGAGGGGTCCCGTGGGAGATGCTGCTGGTGGCCAAAAGGATGGCACCCACATCAGCTGTTAGAACAATGGGAGGATTTCAGGTTGGGTATGTCTGGAAGGGATTGCTGGGGAACACAGGGTTTAGGGACCACAGGGAAGCCATGGGCTGCCTGCTATGAAGCTAATGGTGGGAAAGAGAGCCCTGTGTTCCCTAAGTGTCCAGGCGAGTGGGCACCCTTGCTCTTTGCTGCTCTCTAGTGAGCCTCAGCCCTTGCCTATGGGAGAAATTCTAACAGAGGCCAAGACAAAGGTGGCACGTGTGAGTGTGTGTGTGTGTGTGTGTGTGTGTGTGGTGGTTGTTTATATGTGATGTGTTGTATGCACGTGTTGTGCATGGCAACTGTATGTTGCACATGTGTGCATGTTTGTATGTGTGTTGCATGTGTTTTCACAAGACCCGAACCTTTGCCGGCTCAAGCCTACAACACCTCCCTTCGCTGCCCCACTGCTGACAACCTCCAGTCCCTGGGCCCAGCCGCCTTGGAGAATAGGCAGGGCTCTCTCCTCCCCTGCCCCAACCCTCTCCTCTTTAATTGTGGACTGTCTCAGAGCAGCAGCACAGCCTTGCCACCGAAGAGCCCCAAAGGCAGGAGGAAGCCAGGGACACAACAGTTCTGGCTTCCAATTCCTATGGGAACCAGTTCCCGCTGGCTGGGTGGGTGTGCTTAGATCAGGGCTGGGGTGGCCCTGGTGGGCCAAGCCAGTCAGGGCATCTGCGGTCACAGGCTGTCTGCTTCTCCTCACTTTGACGGGAACTGGCCTCTTAAGATGTGGACTTTGGCCTCCCTTTCTTTCCCACATCCACAAAGTGGCCAGGGCCCAACATTCCCGAACATGCTCGTTCTCTGGAGACCCTCACTTCTGGGGGCAGTACTCTAGTCCTGGGCCATCCCCCACTGCCAGCCTGCAGCCCTCATCCTGCTGAGGGTGCTGAGTGCCGGTGGGCGGATGCAGGTGGCCATGGGTTCTGACTTCCCAGTTTTGTGAACCTGGGCAAGCAGTGTTTCGTCACAGAGGCAATGTTTAATACTGCTTTTAATACTAGTTACTCAACTCGCCCTGTGCGTCTGAGAGTTCAACAGGAATGTGTCTTCTTCCAGAATCTCACCCCAGTGTTCTTCTGCCACCCAGCTCAACTGCCCCTGGCAAGGAAGGGTCTCTCCTGAGGCTGAGGACTCTCAGGGAAAGGGATGTCCTGTCTTCCCTGGGGAGGCCCCAGGGGCTAATCAGTGGCAATCCCTTCGGGGCTGCAATCAAGCGGATGGCCTCCTTTCGTCTTGGTTAGCAGAGCGAGTTAGGTTGCAGCTACCAACCCTTCCCACGCCCTCCAGCTTGGCTCTCACCTCCAATGCAGAGCTGAGGGAGGAGATTTCAGCTTCTCCAGGGCCTCTGCCTTACTCCCAGGGTTTTGGGAGGCCCCTGAACTGTTCTCAACCCTGATGTGGTACTATGGTCCCCCAACTTTGACTAACCTTATCCATCAGGGAGAAGAGAGTAAAACCTGAAGCTGGAGGCCTCACTTCCTGGTCTCTCACAGCTACAGAATGTTGTCTGTGACCACCCAGCCCACGCATCATCTTCTAGGCCAGCTGTTCTCAGTCTTCAGGGTCCTCAACATCACCTGGAGAGCCTGTTGACACACAGCCTGCAGGACCCATCCCTAGAGTTCCTGAGTCGGCAGGTGCGGAGTGGGGCTTGACATCTCCAGTTCTAACAGGCTCCCAGGTGATGCTGATTCTGGTCCCGGGACTACACTTTGAGAACTGCTGCTTCAGGTTGCATCCTGCCCCCAGCACTTATGCTAATTTGTGTGGTGAAGACCCGGGGCTCCAGAGCCAGAGGCCTGGGAGTGAATGCTGTCTCTACCAGTAGCTGTGCAGCCTTGGTCAACATATTCTACCTCAGTTCCCATCTACAAAGTGGAGATAGGGATTGTAATAGGTAATTATGAGAAAACACCTGTAACACGCTCAGTGTCAGGTGATGAGTGGATCATGATTGGATTAAGCTGGTCATGACCACCCTGCTTCCCACTGTTTTAGGCACATTGTGAATGCTCAGTAAATGCCAGTTATCAAGGTGATTTGGCACTTGGTCTGTTCCTTTGCAGGGGATGTTGTCACTCGCTCCAGTGCCTATTTCAGATGCATTCACCTCCCTCCACAACACCTGGTTTTGTCTTGTTTCTGGGAAAGAGGAAACCAGAAAGGACCCAGGCAGGGGGTGACCCACTCTGTTACCAAGAGAGAGCCCCATTTGGGTGCAGTGCTGGCAAGCTCAGTCACCTTGGCCATTGCCCACCAAACCCAACTCCAGGTGCAAACAGGCCAGGAAAGGACAGCTTGGTGGTGGCTGCTCCTGGCATTTATCTGTGTCTCCCACCCGCAGCCGTCTGCCCAGGGATATGAGCTGGGAGAGGGCAGAAGGAGCTGCAGCCCTGGAGTTGGGGAAGGGGAAGTATGAAAGTGTGGGAGGAGGAAATTTGGATAGCGTTGATAACGCTGACATATAGTTCCCATTCATCCAGCAAGTGACAGCTTAGAGAGTGCTTTTAATCTGCTGTCAAATGTCTGCAGTACCGATATGGTTATTCTTGTTGCCTTATAGATGAGGCTGTTTGGGTCCAGAGAGGTTAAGTGACCTGTTCAAGGTCACACATCAATCCAGTTGTAGACCTGGGGCCAGAATCCAGGATTAGATCTCACCAGGCTCTCTGTTCCCACCACACTCTTCTTCCAAATGGGGCATCAGCTCCTGGGTGAGGACTGTGGATCTGCCACAGGAACCCCATTCCACCAACCTTCCCAAGCCTCTCCATCCCAATCCCACATCGCTCCCCTTCACCTGCACAAACTGCTCCATGGCCCACTGGTCCAGGCAGGTGTAGTTCTCCAGGAAGCGCAGCTTCTCCAACTGAAACTGGTCCCTGGACTGAGCCTCCGCCTGCCTCTCTAGCAGCTGGAAGATAGTGGCACCGAGCAGCAGGTAGCAGACATAGGCCAGCAGCAGGGGCAGCACCCGGCCACCCCAGCAGCTGCAGAGCCCAGCACTGGGCATGCTGTGGCCAGGACCCTGCCAGGGCCGTGGGGCTGGCTATGGGGGAGAGGTGGGAAACAGGTGAGGAGTAAGCACCTAGGGGCCTGTGCCCAGGCTGCCGCCTGCCCTGCCCTCCTCCTCGGCACAGGTGTCTGGAGGCTGGGGAGACTGTTTGAACAGTGCGGCTCAGCTTGGCTGCACTAAGTGCTATGCTGTGAGTGCAAACAGGCCGGCCACCCCCACCCGGCCTTTGTTTCCATGGACAGCAGCAAGTCAGTGTCAGGGACCCTTCAAAGAGACCTACCAGGTTCTCCTGAGTGCTTCATGTCTCTCTCTCTGTCTCCAAGTTGGATAGATGTTTCTGGGCTAAATCGGATAGGTGTGCTCACTCTGTCCAGGCCCCAGTGGGCTCTCTCGGCCGCCCCCAGCGTCTTCACCCTTGAAGGCTGTAAGACCCCAGCTTAGGAGCTGGGAAGAGGTCAGAATGGGTATGAATAAACCTTCTACTCAGTTGCCTTGGCTACAAAATGGGGCAGGATAATTGAACTGCCTATTGGGGGAACCTCAGGATGAGTAAACTGCGTGACAAATCAGGGCAAAGTAAATAGACAGGTGATTGTCTCACTCAGCCTGATGGTAAGAGTATCAGGGTTGATTCTGCTGATAAGTTGGATTCATTGGTTTTATAACTCTTGCTAATTTGTCTTGCATGAAGCCCTCTAGTGGGTTACCTTCAGAGGATATGTCGGTGAAATATATGTGTGAATTAAAAAGAAACTATAAGTATATCCTGATCCTGGGATGGTAAGAGGGGCTGTCTCTGAGTGGATGGAATTGAGAGTGCTTTCCTTTCTCTTTGCCTGTGTGTGTGTGTGTACACATGCTTGTTTATGTACATGTATAACAGCTTTATACAGATATAATTCACATGCTGTATCGTCCACACATTTAAAGTGTGCAATTCAGTGGGTTTTAGTATATTCACAGGGTCTTCAAGATCCAGCCCTGTTGCAACATGTAACAGTACTTCTTCCTTCTTTCTGGCTGAGTAATATTTCATTGTGTGGCTATAACACATTTGTTTATCCATTTGATTTCTAGTTGATGGACATTTGGGTTGTCCCTGTTTCCTTCTATTAAGAACAAAGCAGCTATGAACCTCTGTGTATGAGTTTTTTTTGTGGACATGTGTTTGCATTACTCACAGGTACATACCTAGGAGTAGAATTTCTGGACTATCTGGCCACTCTGTATTGAACTTTTTGAGGAACTGCCAGGCTATTTTCCAAAGTGGCTGAACCATTTTATATTCTCACTAGCCCAGGGCGAGGATTCCAATATCTCTGCTGTGTTTTCTGCTGTTTCCTTTAATGAGCTGTGGCTGCAGACACTGTGAGTTGCCTGCTGAGTATCCTTTCCCTCCTCCCCAGCTAGCAGAACCCCGGCTTTGTAAGTGTTAACCCCAGGTAATTGAGCATAATTGGTCTAAGTCATAGTGCTAATCTTGCTCCCCTCTGTCTCAGCCCCTGAGAGCAGTGAAGTCACTGAAGACCCATAAGACAGTGGGCAAGAGGGCCAGGCTGAGGAGAAAGCCAAACAAGGCACCACAGTCCCAGCCTCAGCCTGGTTCCTGGGAGCTCTGGCAGGTGAAGTGCACCCCAGTGAGTCCCAGCAGGGGACCTGGGCCTTCATATCCCCACATTAGTCCGTCACTCATGCATTTCTGGCTTTGCGCACGTGCAGGAAAGATGGCTCCAGGAGCTTGTGGAGAGACCCCTGAAGGAGAGCTCCAGGTGCAGGCTAGGCCACTGGGAGAAAAACACATTAAAGCCTGGGGAGGAGACCCCAGGGTCGAAGCGTCCCCTGCACCCACTTTCCCAAGCTCCCTTGCAGCTGGGGCTGGCCACGTGCCCAGGTCCAGCCATGATTGGGCAGAGTTGGCTGAGGAGGTTTGGGCAAAATTGTTGTCTGTTGACCAAGGGTTCAGCTGCAGCTGGCCCCGCATTTCTGCCTCTTTCTGTCTGGACCTGCTGAGCCATCTTGTGTCCCTGAGGGAAAGGTCATGGGCACTGCAAAGACACTGGACCAATTCCTGCACACTCCTCTCTAGATTTCTTTTTATATTGAAAACATAAACCTTGTTTCAGCCACCATTAGGTATTATGTTACTTCCCAATTGTTATTATGAGTTTTTGTTGTTGTTCTTTGTTTGTTTCTTTGTTTTTTTGAGATGGAGTCTCACTCTGTAGCCCAGGCTGGAGTGCAGTGGCATGATCTCAGCTCACTGCAACCTCCACCTCCTGGGTTCAAGCAATTCTCCTGCCTCAGCCTCCTGAGTAGCTGGGACTACAGTTGCGCACCACCATGCGTGGCTAATTTTTTGTATTTTAGTAGAGACAGGGTTTCACCATGTTGCCCAGAGTGGTCTTGAACTCCTGAGCTCAGGCAATCCACTCGCCTCGGCCTCCCAAAGTGCTGGGATTATAGGGGTAAGCCACTGAGCCCGGCCTGAGTTCTTTTTAAAAAACTGTTCAAGGCTTATTTGAGTTGGAAGGGATCAGAACACACTCCAGGTATTTCTGGTAATTAGACTGTGTGCTGTAGGAACTGGGGAGCAGCCAGGGTTCTGGAGCCTCCTAGCTTTCCACCAGCAGCGTGGCCTGACCACTCTCTACTCGCCCCAGGTGCCTCCCATCCGCCGTTTCTCTGCCTTGGGGCTCCACTCCTGGCTGACCTCCTGGCATCTGGTCAGATCCATGCCCATTGCCCTCTGCTGCTTTATCTTGGTATCTCTTGGCTTAAATCCTTTATGGATGGGCTAAATGCCCAAGAGTGCCTTTTCATGGTGGCTACTCTACAGGTGTCTGGTGGGCTGAGGATGGCCCAGCCTTGGATGAAGCGGCCTTCTCAGCTGACCTGCCCCAGCCCAGGGGATGGGGACATCACACATGTAGGCACCACCTGGAAGGCACTTGTCATGGCAGATACGGTGGCCTTTCTGTCCAGGACAAGCAACAATTGTTTTTGTAATAAGGAGGAGAGAACAAAAGAGAGAGTGCGAGAGAGAGAGGGAGAGCGAGAGAGAGAGAGAGACCTTGTAGAAGATAAAAGCAAGAGGGAGACATTATTTTTCAGGTATGTGGGTGATCAAGAGATTGGTAGTAACATAGGGTTCTGCTAAAAACCAAACAACAACAAATCACAGTGAGCGGAGGTGGAGCCCACATTGTGTGGGCTGTTCATTAAGAATGTCCCGACGCAGTGACAAACCTGCAGGCTTTTGTCCACCCTGTGGCTTAGGCACGGCCCTGTCTGGGGGTGGTGTGATGGAGCCCACCTTCTCTGGAATTCTGCTGCTTCTGGAATCCTCTGAGGCCATCTGGGGATCTCTGAAGTGGTTCTGTGCAAGCCCCACTTCACATGGTCCGGGAGCTTTCCCAGACGGCACCTTGTTGGGATGTGGGCTTGTCTTGGAGGGAGAAGGAAGCATCTGGAATCAGTGGGGCAACAGAGTGCTGGCACTCATTTCTGCTACAGATGCACCAGCTCCTGGCTTAAGCAAGAGTTAGAATTAAATCTGAAAGGCAGCGTGAGAGTCAAACCCTATTCGATTGCCCTGGAGAAACTCAATACATGGAGAGCTCTCTCGTGTATCACTTAGAAAGCTCATCCGTGGATGTCTGCAGGGCTTCAGGCAGGACTGAGTAACTCTGTAGCACTGAGTATCTTTGAGCAGTCTGGACACAGTCCACAGGTAATGACGGTTGTTCTAAGGGGGACGGAAACGAAGGAAAAGAGAATGGACTATCTGCATGGGAGAAGGGGATGAACGTAGTGGGCCACAGGGACGTCTGAGATGGGCTGGGGTAGAGGGAGGGATGAATCAGCCATCAAGGTGCCCTCCCTCCCTCAGGTCCTGGGCAGGAAGTGTACCAGGCTCACTGTGGGCAGACACTCCATTCATTTATGAATGATCTGTTGGGAACCTACTGTGCGCTGGGGCTATCTGTTGAGACTCTACCATGTTCTGGGAAAGTCAGCCAGCACAGCTTCCTCCTGCCTTTCCTGGCTCTTTCTCTCCACTGCTGCCTCTCTACTCTCTTCTGGTCACACCCTCACATCTCCCTCTTACATCAGTTTTTCACAAACCACCCAAGCCCAATAAGACTTCACCTGGCTGGGGTTTAGGATAGAGTCTTTCTCAGAAGCATGTTCAGTTTAATGGGGGACTTCTGAAAACCCTAGGGCCACAAAAGCCACAGAAAGGGCAACATAATGGTGGACTTTGGGGGAGATCTCAGCTCAAGAGGCCCACAGACTGTGCTGTAGGAACTGGGGAGCAGCCAGGTTTCTGGAGCCTCCTAGCTTTCCACCAGTAGCCTGGCCTGACCACTCTCTACTCGCCCCAGGTGCTTCCCGTCTGCCGTTTCTCTGCCTTGGGGCTCCACTCCTGGCTGACCTCCTGGCATCTGGTCAGATCCATGCCCGTTGCCCTCTGCTTCTTTATCTTGGTATCTCTTGGCTTAAATCCTTTATGGATGGACTAAGTGCCCAAGAGTGCCTTTTCATGGTGGCTACTCTACAGGTGTCTGGTGGGCTGAGGATGGCCCAGCCTTGGATCAAACAGCCCCCTCAGCTGACCTGCCCCAGCCCAGGGGATGGGGGCATCACACATATAGGTACCACCTGGAAGGCACTCGCCGTGGCAGATACGGTGGCCTTTCTGTCCAGGACAAGCAACAATTGTTTTTGTAATAAGGAGGAGAGAACAAAAGAGAGACTGCGAGAGAGAGAGGGAGAGCGAGAGAGAGAAAGAGAGAGAGAGAGAGAGAGCTTGTAGAAGATAAAAGCTCTCTGCACCAGAGAGGATGTTCCCATCCTGCCTCCCTCGCTTCCTGCCTTAACTCATTCTACACACACTGACTGAGCGCCCTCCATGTTCTGGGACCTGATTCAGCTACTCTTCCTAGTCCACTGTGGTCTTGTGAGGTCAGCGCTTGGTCAAGATTAGGAGAAAAACTGCAGGGCTGCAGAGACCTCTCTGTCCAACATCTCCCTACGTGGGCACTACTCTGCTGTGAGCTCTGGGTGGACACCAGGCATGATTTACAATCCCTTTCAGGGAATTATTGCTGCTAATGGGCAGAGCCAATTTATGCTTCCCAAGGGGGAGGGCAAAATCAATTAATGGAGAGCCTGACATGGCCAGGCCTGATGACAGAGTGTGGCCTGACATCCGGAGGTGATAAGGGACTTTCTGAGGCTGAACTAATAAGGAGATTGGGGAAAAAGAAGAAAAACAACACCCCCTCCCCATCTGCCCAATCGATTTGGTGTACAATGGGCAGAGAATGCAGAGTAAACAGAGCAGCTGGGCACGAGCCTCTTTCCATCTGAACGAGCCTGGAGATAAGGACTGGACAGGCCGCCCATCCCACCATCAACATAGGTATTCGCTATGGAGCCCCTCAATAGACATATCCATATGGGTGAAAAAGGACACTTTCCAAACCAGAACACAGGGGAGAAGATAAGGCCCACCTGCCCCAGGTGTGTGCCTTGTAGTAGAAAGGGCAAGTGGAGACAGAGAGCACTGGTTTTAGATGCCAGCTCCCTAACTGTGCCCCCCAGATAGTTTGCACCACGTGGCTGGAGCGGCAAGCTTTCGATGTGGGAGCCTGGGCTCCCGGAGTCTCCCCCACAGCGTCCTACGTGGAGGCGGCGGTGGCGCGGGTTTGTAGGGGTCTTTGTGTGTCCTCGTGAGTATGATCTCAGAGGTGGGCCAGCTCGTGCTGTGACCAGCAGACAGACCAGGGAAAGCTGAAGGGTGATTCAAGGTAAAGCCTTGAAACAGACAAACAAACACACCTGTTACTAATTTTGCTCAGAAACTGCATCTTTCTTTTTTTTAAGGAGCAGGATTCCTCTTGCACATGAAATCTTTCCCAGAGCCCCAATCTGAAGCCTACTTAAGAGTGGAGCTCTGGTTGAAGTAGGGGCAGAGGGCTCCCATTTCCACCAGCCCAGAGAGTGTGATTTCAAGAGCCCTTACCCGTAATTCTGAAATGGATGCCCTTGTCTAAGTTGGACTTCCCTCAGCGCAGGTCCCAAGACACAATGCGGGTGTGCGTGGTTCATCTGGGACCTGATCCAGGATGCGCAAGCAGGGGAGTGGGGAACAGAAGGCAGTCGATTCAGGGTGTGTTTTCGCACAGGTGACTGTTGCGGGCAACTGGGGCCCCATCCCGCTGGGGACCTCTGGGAGACTGTGCAGAACACACTGTAGAGTTGTTCCACAGAGTGGCAAGGAAGCTGGGGTGTTTATCTACCAACTCTTGTCCCTTGTTAATTGAAGATTGCTCCTGGGGAGGTTAACTCCTGCACTGCCAGCCTGCCCTGCCTGTGGGCTGAGAGCACTCCTGCGGCCAGAGAGTCCCTGTGGGTAGAAAGATGCAGGTGCTTAGGACAGAATGCTACTGGTATAGATGGAGGCTTTCCACAAGTGCTGCATGTGACCTCCAGGCGGGCTGGGGGGATCTGGCAGAGTACTGACACTGTCTGTCACAGGCTCTAGTTCTCCACTCCTTTGTCTGGGTCACTGTGGTTTTGTCATTCCTGCAGGGAAATTGCTCTTCTGTGAACCTTAATGAAGGGGTGGTCAGCTTGTCCTGGCATATTAGGCCGGTGCCCTTGGAAGCATGACAAGAGTGGGAAGACCATACCCTCATCTCTTGATGGCCACTCAAATTGAAAAAAGAAATTGTTTTTATTGATTTATTTATTTTGAGATGGAGTCTCACTCTGTCGCCCAGGCTGGAGTGCAGTGGCGCGATCTCAGCTCACTGCAACCTCTGCCTCCCGGGTTCAAGCAGTTCTCTGCCTTAGCCTCCCAAGTAGCTGGGATTATAGGCAGCCGCCACCATGCCTGGCTAATTTTTGTATTTTAAGTAGAGATGGGGTTTCACCATCTTGTCCAGGCTGGTCTTGAACTCCTGACCTCATGATCCACCCTCCTCAGCCTCCCAAAGTGCTGGGATTACAGGCGTGAGCCACTGTGCCCGGCCATGAAAGATATTGTTAAAAGATCTGCTGGCCATCCCCTGTTAATGAATCTCCCTACATCCCCTCACCTCTTCAGACTATAAGAAAAACCCATAGCTTTGAGAGTCATTGGAGCTGCAGCAGCAGCAAGAAGCCTGGGCTGCTGTGAGCCAGGATGTAGATGAGGGGTGCCGCTGAGACAGGGAGGAGCAGAGCGTCCCCAGGGCCTGGGAGAGATACTGAGCCCAGAAACCAGAGGAGAGACAGGGCCAGCTGCTCTTGGTGTGTGAGGGTCCTGGCAAATATTTTTTTGTGGATGGACCCCTGTGTGTATAAACAATTTGATGAAAAAAACTTAGTACCAAATTCATGAGCCCATGTGAGGTATAATGATTGATTTGTGTAGATTTAGAATAATGACAGAGAAGAGGCACTTAGGCATTTGTTTATTGTCTAATTGGTTCACATGACGATTCTTTGTCCTATGATGTTAAGAGTCCATCAAATCAGCATGTTAGCGCAGGTCTGGTGGCCCAATCCCAGGTAGTGCCATAAAAGAAATGCCACACCAGCCAGCGGGAATGATCTCCTCATCAGGCTGCTTTCCTGGAACCAGGGACTGACTAGGAAGCCCTAAAACAGCTTCATAGGCATAAGTCCTAGAGCACCTTGGGACATCTGGTCAACCCTATGCATGCACTGGAGAACTTCCTGAAAGAAGAAAAGGGAACTGAGACCCACATGAGGCCTGGACTATGTTAGGGGTGGCCTGCATGGATGACGTTGTTGGTCATGGCTGGTCCCAGCACCAGAGGGAGACTTAGAAAGTTTTTAGCAAAGCATGTCAAAGCACAGGTTACCCCCAAAACATGGGGCTGAAGGCATGGGGACTGCTTGCCTCAGTCTAAAGACAGTGATGGAAAAGACAAACCCAGGAGATGTTTCGGAGAAAAGAAAACAACAACATCCCACACCTGGGGCCAGAAGGGGAGGGGTGCTGGCCTGGGGAGGGGCTGCCCTCCTGAGATCAGGAGCTGAGTGAATGGAGAGGGAAGAGTACCAGCTGGCATGCTGCTTGCTCTTTGCTGAGTTCCCTCTCAGTGTGGGTGAAACTGGCTCAGCCCTGCTGGCTGGCACGAGGCCATGGAAAACCCAAATAAAGCAGTTAACTCTGAAAAGGTTGCTGCTTCCTCCTATTCCTTGGGAGATGCATTCAGGGCTACACTCAGAGGCCACTTTTCGCAAGGTGAGGAGGAGCTTGTATTCAAGGAAACACTGCTTTTTCCTCCCACATTTGACACATATGTTTTCAACATCCAACATTCACAGCCAACCTCTCTACACCTGCTCTGCCTCGGAGCCCTGGCAGTCCCTGGACACGTGTTATGGAAGGAACACTGTCTCCCCCACATGCTCACATGGCCCAAATCCCCACAAGTCCCCTTTTTGCCAAGCTCCACGTCCTTTGCCTCTTCCCATCACCCAATACCCAACCTGCCATCATTGTCCTAAGCTTCCCTTCCCTGCTTCTCTCTTTGCACCTTGCCGGGTTCTCACACTCCCACCCACCTTGATAGTGAGTCCAAGCCCATCCTACCCCACCCCCAACTCCTTCTTCTTTTTCTGAGACAGGGTCTTGCTCTGTCATCCAGGCTGGAGTGCAGTGGTGTGATCACAGCTCACTGCAGCCTTAACCTCCTGGGTTCAAGGATCCTCCCACCTCAGCCTCCCGAGTAGCTGAGACTACAGGCGCTTGCTACCATGCCCAGCTAACCCCAACTCCTTCTTAATCAGATTGTCTTGCTTACTTGTTTATTGTCCCTCTCTTTTTTTTTTTTTCAGAGAAGGAGTCTCGCTCTTGTTGCCCAGGTTGGAGTGCAGTGGCACGATCTCAGCTCACTGCAAACTCTGCCTCCAGGGTTCAAGTGATTGTCCTGCCTCAGCCTCCAGAGTAGCTGGGATTACAGGTGCGCACCACCACACCCAGCTAATTTTTGTATTTTTAGTAGCGATGGGGTTTCGCCATGTTGGCCAGGTTGGTCTCAAACTCCTGACCTCGTGATCCGCCAGCCTCAGTCTCCCAAAGTGTTGGGATTACAGGCGTGAGCCACCATGCCTGGCTTGTCCCTCTCCTTCGTTAGAAGGTTCCAAGAATGCTGGCACTTTCTCTGTCTCTGTCACCTCTGACTCCTCAGAACTTAGCACAATGGATGGCACATCCTTGTCAAAACAATGACCAGATGAATGAGACATGCTTATGTTTAAGGAATTACAAGGAGCATTTTTTCTGCCTAGATTTGAAACACACACCCATTGCATTTTAAAAAATGTTTCTGTCTATTTACTCTATCAACTGTGCCATGCCTGGGGCTGTTTCTATTTGTTTTTTCTTTTTTTTTTTTTTGAGACAGAGTTTCACTCTTGTTGCCCAAGCTGGAGTGCAATGGCACAATTTCGGCTCACTGTAACCTCTGCCTCCTGGGCTCAAGCAATTCTCCTGCCTCAGCCTCTGAGTAGCTGGGATTACAGGTACGCAACACCATGCCCGGCTATTTTTTGTATTTTTAGTAGAGACGGGGTTTCCCCATGTTGAACAGGCTGTTCTTGAACTCCTGACCTCAGGTGATCCTCCTGCCTCGGCCTCCCAAAGTGCTGGGATTATAGGAGTGAGCCACCACACCCGGCCTCTATTTCTATTGATGGTTTTTTCTCCTCTCATGGCCCATATTTTCCTGCTTCTTTGCATGCCTGATTATTTTTTAATGGACACCAGACATTGTGGATTCTATATTGTTGGATGCTGGTTTCTTTTTGGTTTGTTTTTCATATTCCTTTAGATATTTTGAAGCTTTGTTTTGGGACTCATTGAAGTTACTTGGAAACTTACTGGAAACAATTTGACTCCTTTGGGGCTGGCTTTTTAAGCTTTGTTAGGTGGGACCAGAGCAATCTATCATCTAGGACTAATTTGGCCCCACTTCTGAGGCAGTACCTTATGTGTCTCTATACAATGACTGTTTTGGGAGGTTTCTCCACTCTGGCTGTTGGAAACATGAACTCTTCCCAACACAGTGTTATCTCAGGAAATTATTCCACCTGCTTCCTCCTGGTGGTTCTTTCCCCTGCCTTGGGTAATTTCTTCACATGCAGATGTTGATCGGTAGTTAGCTGAAGACTCAAGGGTAACCCTCTGAAGATCTCCAGAGCATGCTCTCTCTCTTTCTCTCTCTTTTTTCTCCTCTCTCTCTCCTTCTCTCTCTCTCATCCCTGGGACTCTGCCTTGCAAATTTAAGCCACTTTGTCCTCCCTGGATTCCCAGCTCCATTTCCTCAACTCAGGGAAACCACTGGGCTCTACCTGGTTCCCCCTTCCTGGGCTGCAGCCTGAAAACTCACTGCAGGCAGTAAGTTGGAGCAATCATAGGGCTCCCCTCACTTGTTTCCCTTCTCTTGCGGATCAATCATACCCTATATTGCTTGTTATCCAATGGCTGAAAACCATTGGTTTGTATAGAGGATTTTGTCTCATTTTTAGTCATTTAAAGCAGGAGGGTAAATCAGGTCCTTGTTGCTTCATCATGGCTGTAGGTGGTGGTCCTGCTTTTCCATATACAGGATGCTCTCAGTGCCTTTCCACAGGCTGCATGGAGAGACAATGAACTCTGCACTGAGAAATCCTAGATCCAGTCATATACTGTCTCTGGGTTCCAATTTCTGTGCCAGTCTGCTATTGCTACAATTAATGCTATATAACAAACCACTCTAAACCTCAGTGGTTTATGACAAGCAGCATATATTCTCATGCCAATAGGTCTTTGGGTGAGCCATAGTTCAGCTGATCTGGGCTGGGCTTGCCTGGGAGGCTCTGCTCCAGGCTGTAGACTGGGCTCAGGTCTGCTCTCTGGATGTTCCAGGCTGAAGGGGCAGCAGCTACCCATGGCATGTTCATCCCAAGAGAGATCACTGGAGCAAGAGGCAAGCTCAACCATGAGAGCACAATTCAAGCCTCTGCCTGGATCAGGTTTGCCAACACCACATTAGTCAAAGTGGGCCATGACAAAGCTTTGGATGTGTAATTCTATACTGGTGGTGAAGAATTAAAATGATGTATTCAGTATACCACAATTTCTCTATCTGCTTTCTAAAACTCCTTTTTAGCAAGATCTGGGCAAGCTACATTTTAACTTCCCTCCTCCAACCTCCGTCCACCCTACTTCTTGTCAAGGGATTGGTAGAGCCAGTTGAATTCTAGCAGGGACTGGGCTGGAGTCACTGGCTAGGCTGCTTTCCAGAAAATGTTTTTGAAAATCCCACATTTTGGCCTAGAGTGAACTCAGATACTTCTTGTCATCCGTGGCTCCACTGATCCCAGGTGGATTGCTGGAAAGTCTTTTCAAAACATTGCATCAATTTCTCCCATTTGCAGAGGCCAGTGAACTCTGGGAAGGTGCACTGCTGTCAAGCATGTGTCCATATCAAAGGCTGGGCTTCCATTAGGGGATGTTCGGAGCAAAAGGCCCCTTGGCCAGTTGCTGCACACACTTTGCATATGCTCTGGACACCAGTGGCCCCAGATCCCATGTTGTGTGTTTTTCTGTCTTCATTTCCTTTCCTGTCTTAGTGATTGCCCCAGGAGGCTGGTTCACACCCCGCATGGGGCCATGCCACACATCTCTGTCAGTAAGGCCTTTGGATCCAGGAGATGATGTCTCAGTGGGAGATCTAATGTTGAAAGACTCTGGCAGGGTATGTGGCTCATGCCTGCAATCCCAGCACTTTGGGAGGCCAAGGCGGGAGCATCGCTTAAGGCCAGGAATTTGAGACCATCCTGAGCCACACAGTGAGACCCTGTCTCTACAAAAAATTTAAAACGAGCTAGGTGTGGTGGTGCATGCCTGTAGTTCCAGCTACTTTGGAGGCTGAGGTGAGAGGATCGCTTGAGCCCAGGAGTTGGAGGCTGAGTATGGCTTGAGCCCAGGAGTTGGAGGCTGACTAGTGAGGTATGGTCGCACCACTGCACCCCAGCCTGGCTGACAGAGACCCCCCCCATCTCAAAAAATAAATAAAAGAAAGTAAAAATAAAAGAAAATAAAAGTTAGTAGACTCTACCCAGCTCTAGAGGGCTGAGGGCACTAAGGCATGCCAAGAATACTGCTGCTGCTACATAGGGGACTGGGGCAAATGCCATGCCATCTTCAGGGCTCTTGAGAGTGTGTGTGTGTATGTGTGTGTGTGTGTGCAGTTACATGTGTGTTCCATGGACTCTTGGGGAGGCTTCTAGAATCAGAATTTGGTCTTCCTCTGGTTCTACAGACTTTACAGAGGGCTTACTATGTTCCATTGAACTGTGAGGGCCAGGAGTGGACCAGAGATGCTGGCCCCTGTCCCGATGGGATTCAGTCAGAGCCTGGGGGAAGTCAGAGTGACACCAGCCTGAGAAACACATCTGGGTTCTGGCTCGTCTACTCATGAACTGAAGGACCGTTTACTGAACAGCGACTCTGTGCTTGGGACACAGCAATGAGCAAGACAAACAGGTCCCTGTTGCATTGGAGCTCTTAGTATTATGGGGGGTTGCAGGTATTTCAAAAATAGGCAAGTTCGGAAGGATAACATGTCAGATAGTGATGCAGAAAAAATGGTAATGGGATAGGGGATAACTAGGGGGTGACTCGAGATGGAGTGGTCAGGGGAAGCCCCCTGAAGAGGGGACATTTGTCAGTGGCATAGAACAGCAAGCTGAATCTCCCCTTCACTCTGGCCTTCTAATTATATAAAATAGGGGTGTGGATTAGAGGAGCTCGATGGGCCTGCCTAGCTTAGAAATGTAATGGTTTAATCTTCTCCTGCATGATCCTGTTACCCAGTCCTAAAAAACGAAAAAGAAAATCAAGCCAATTATACTATATTACCACTCTGCTCCCCTCCAGGGTCATCAGGTCCTGTATTTATAGGACAGAGACACCAGGAGCAGTGGACCAGCACTTTTATCCAGTTAGCTTCATTTCCAGGTGCCACTCCTGCTCACCCTCCGCTGCCCCTCCCTGGCTGCAGCTGGGTTGGAACCCCCTGGCCCAGGGGGCAGTTCTTCAAGAACCTCCTTGAGGGCTGCCCACCTTCCCTTGGATCTGTCATGGAGAGGGCCCATGGAGACAAGACCCCCAGGCAGCTATGTTTTTCCCTGTGGAAGTGGGGAGTGTCAGCCCAAATCCTCCCAAGTGGCTGGGTGAAGGTTGTGAGGCCCAAGGTACCCACACTGCCCTCTCTCAAGCTCTCAGCAGAGCCCCTGGGAGCTGCCCACTGTTCTCTGGGTGCTATGATGTCCTTAGACCCTGCAGGGCAGATGGCTCCCTGGAGACACAGCTGTTCAGGCACTGCCTCCAGGTCATCCTGGCCAAGAGGCTGATGGTGAAAGATGTGGTCTGGGAGATCAGGATTGGCCTTCAGGATGCCCTGCATTCCACTGCCTTGCCTGTGGCTGGGACATCCTGCCTGGACCTGTCATGGCCATTTCTGGGCTTCCAAACCAGAGCACGGGCCAAGGGAGAGAGCTGGCAAATCGTTAAAAATAAAAATATTCCCCCCACATTCCACTGGTGTGAGCATCCTCTGACATTATATTTTGATGGTGCTATTTCACATTCTCAAAAGCTTATAAAGATCTACACAAAACGTCACTACAACAGTGAGCTGAAGCCTTCACCCTGCCCCTAGCACTCTGGCCTTGCCTGGCCCTGCCAGCAGCTCCAGCAACCACAGGAAGGATGTTGTGGTCAGCCCCAGCCCCAGCCTCTCGGTGGCCTCCAGGTCAGCATCCTTAAAGAAACACAGTCCCCTCCATGGGAATCAAAGTCACTAGTTGCTCCCAGCAGCCCATAGTTCACTTCTGAAGCCAGAGCAAGTGAGGGGCGCTGCCTTCATCTGTGCTTCATTCTTGCTGGCATAATTCATGGATGGATATTTCCTGGAAATTCAATTGCTTCCCAAACCTGAAAGGGAGACAGGATGCTTTTGGTTAGGCTGTGCATGCAGACACTGACTTTTCCCAGGATTGAATCGGGGGGAGGGGAGGCCACCAGCCACTCCCCCTGGGTCTTGGGCACTGCATCTGTGTCTTGCCTCCCAGGAGCTGCATTTATACCCCAAGCTCTGAAGGAAGAGGCCCCCTTTGCCCTTTGCAGAAGCTCCATCTCCCTAGGCTGAGACTGACGCCTGTTTTCCTACCCCACCGTTTTCTTTCCTTTTCTTTCTTTCTTTTTTTTGATGGAGTCTCGCTCTGTCACCGAGGCTGGAGTCTTGTCTTTTCCTTCCTTCCTTTCTTCTGTCCTTCCTTCCCTTCCTTCCCTTTCTTCCCTTTCTTCCCTTTCTCTTCTTTCTTTCTTTTTCTTTCTCTTTCTTCTCTTTCATTCTTTCTCTCTTTCTCTCCCCTTCTTTCCTTCCTTTCTTCCCTCCCTCCCTCCCTTCCTTCCTTTCTTTTCCTTCCTTCCTTTTTCTTTCTTTCTTTCTTTCTCTTTCCTTTCTTTCCTTCTTTCCTTTCTTTCTTCTTTCTTCTCTTTCTTTCTTTCTTTCCTCCTTCCTTCCTTCCTTTCTCTTTCTTTTCTTTCTTTCCTTCCTTCTTTCTTTCTTTCTTTCTTTCTTTCTTTCTTTCTTTCTTTCTTTCTTTCTTTCTTTCTTTCTTTTTCTTTCTTTTCTTTCCCTCCCTCCCTCCAGCCTCCCCTCCCTTCCCCTCTTCCTTCCTTCCTTCCTTCTTTCTTTTTCTTTCTTTTCTTTCTGGACGGAGTCTTGCTCTGTTACCCAGGCTGGAGTGCAGTGGCACAATCTCGGCTCACTGCAACCTCTGCCTCCGGGGTTCAAGTGATTCTCCTGCCTCAGCCTCCCAAGTATCTGGAATTACAGGCACCCACCACCACGTCTGGCTAATTTTTGTATTTTTACTAGAGATGGGGTTTCACCATGTTGTCCAGGCTGGTCTCAAATTCCTGAGCTTAAGTGATCCTTCACCTCAGCCTCCCAAAGTGCTGGGATTACAGGTGTGAGCTACCACACCTGGACAACCCCATGGTTTTCATTGATGCTCCTACCTAATCCTCAGATTCTCTCCTTGCTTTTTCCTCCAGATATTAATTATATTCCAGGATGGCTCCTCCTGACCATGTGGCCCCTATCCTGTCATCTCCCATGGCTGGGCATGGAGAGGGTTCTCTGGATTGAGAACCAGGGCCCTTGCGTTCTAGCCAGGACAGTCCCCAACCCACGGTGTGACTTTGGGCAAGTCATGTCAGTTCTCTGGGCCTAACATTTCTCTTTGCTGGAGCAGATGAGATACCTGGAAAAAGCAAGGTGGCTTCTTGCTTCACAAAATGTGGTCCATGGACCAGCAGTGCTGGCATTTCCAGGGAGCTTGTTAAGAAAGGCAGAGTCTAAGACATGGTCCACCCTGGACTTACTGGATCAGAATCTACAGTTTGACAAAACCTGTCGATTCATTAGCACATTAAAATGTGAGAACTGGTAAGAGTGATATGCAGTTATTTTGCTTAAAGTTTGGCTAATTTAGTAAGAGCAAGAGAGAATTTCTGAGATTCTTGGATGAAGTAATAAATACAATGTTTAAAAAAATTTCAGTGGACAGAGAGCCTGAGGGGTGAGGCTGCTCAGGGAACAGGTGAGCAGGCAGCTGCAGCCCTCCAGGTTCGGCCACAGGAACCTGGTACTGGGTGACGAGTGTTAGCTTGGTTGGCTTGATATTGCTGTGGAAGAAAGGGTAATTCTTGGTGATACATTGAATGGCCAGCTAGTGCGGAGGAAGAGATTGGAAATAATTCACGGCTGTGAGCCCTTGGTCTTTCAGTTCTAATTCTGTGTGCAAGACCTCTGGCAGGCCTTGCTGTTTAATTAAACAAATATGGTCCTTATTTTTAAGACATTCTGATCTGTCTGAATTGAATTCTAGAACGGGAAGTAAGAAGACAAGTACACCGAGCCTATGATGGTCATGTGTTCCTGTCACTCTGGACTTGTGGTTCCCAGCTCTGCTACACAACGGAAATCTCTGGAGAATCTCTAGACATCCTGGTGCCCAGACCACAGCCCAGAACCATTCAGTCAGGATCACTGGGGTGGGTCCAGGTGATTCTGAGGCATGGCCATGGCTGAAACTCACTGCTTTTGTCTCTCTAGTACAAGGACTGGCAGGGCAAGAGCTGGGGGCCCGTGGGCACGTGGCTGCTGATGAGATCTGGGCTCTGATGTTTCTGCTGCACTGTTGAAATGCAGCCTGGGCCAGGATTGTGAACGCTGCCGGTGGTAGGGAGCATGGAGTCTGAGCCATCTCCCACCCAGGATGGTCTCTGAGCCCCTCACACACTTGCATGCAGTAATGACAGGGGGTGGGTGGGGTGGGGCCTGGGAAGAAATGCTACAGAATAGGGGGGAGAGCACGCTCTGCCCCAAGACATAGCTCCTTACATGCACAGACCTCAACACAAAAGGCACCATTTCAAACTCATTCACTTTATGGGCCCCAGTTAAGTGATGAAGCTCTGTCTGTATTGGGGTTTTGATTACCGTGGGCTCCCAGAAAGGAGGGCACACTACAGATGTACCATTAAGAAAAAGCAAAATCACACCTCATGGTGTTGGGCCAGCTCTCACCACAGAGGCCACTTCCCTGTTAATAATTCCTTGGTGCTTGGGAGTTGATAAGGGACTTTAATGGAGATTATCTGGGAAAGGATCAGAGCCTGGGCAAGGGTGGAATCTGTACATGACAGACAGTGAGAGGGAGGCTTGGGGAGGTGACCTGCCCAGTGTCACGCAGAGCAGAGATGGCCTTGGAATTTCCGCCTTTTCCCTCCCAGCTCGGGGCTCTTTCTCTTTCCCTGGGAGGGTTTCTGAACACAGAAGAGAGCTGGAGGGTTTCTCTGAGTGGGGCTGGAGGGCTGGGAGAGGCAGGACCTCTTCCTAACACCTCTTGGAGAAGACAGACTTGTGGTTATGGGGGTCGCACCATGGTTCCTTTCCAGATGGGAATACTTCCAAACTCAGGGATTAAGCAAGATTAAAAACAAAAAGGCCCTCTAGAAAGGGGTTAACCTCATTTCCTCAGACATAAAAACTGTCCTTGGCAGTTGGAAACAGCAGAGTTGACTCCACGGATGACTGATGCCCCTTACGGGTGTTATATACCTGTCCACGCCTGCCCCTGGCAGGGATTTAAACATTCCATGCTGTTCCATGAATCCTAAATCAAATAGATTCATCCTGGCCCTTGGTGAAGCCTAAGAGCTGGCGAGGCTTATGTTAAATTGCCCTCTCTGGGCTCCTGCTCCTGAGCTGACAGTCACAAATTCCCCTTAATGAGCACTCCTGAAGTAACCAAGGCAGCGCTGTGAGCTAAATTAAGATTCGAGAGCCCAGGCAGGGAGAGGGAGGTGTTTGCTTTGGCTGAGAAGGTGCCTGGGCCCCGGCCTGTGTGTTTGCCTGGGTGCCCTGATAAGTGGGCTGCATATTAAGTGCCACATGGTGGGACCAGAACCATCTGCTGTATGTCTGAGAGGTCACGCCTGCTGGCCCTTTGGGACCTGGTGGCAGAGGGACCCCGTGTCAACCTGTCTTTGGCTTCCTTTGTGGCCCCGTGGTCACTGAAAAGCCAGAATGAATATTCTTCCTTTCGGAATAAAAATTGAGCTGTGGAAGTTTTGTTTGCTTTGATGAATTACTTCCAGGCTGCTGTTTATTTGGAGAGCAAAGCTCCCCAGCTGCAGGGTGGGTAGAGGCTGCGGTCACTCCCCTCGTCAATGCTGGTTCCTGTTCCTGAGGCCGAGAGAACTCCTGACAGCAGAGTGGGCATATCTTGGTAGTTGCAGCTTTTCAAGACAGTGTGGCCCAGTGGGGAGAGAGCAGAAAACCTGGGTTATGCTGGCTCTGCCATTTATCAGCTGTGTAACCTTGGGCAAGTGATACAACCTCTGTGTGCCTCAGTTTCCTTTCCTCACCTGTCCACAGGGGATCATAATCTTGGCCCTGCATGCCTTACAGGAGCGTTAAGAGCATCAAATGAAACAATAAAAATGAAAACATTTATAAATGGTAGTTTGCCATACATATTTTAATAAAAGTGCCTGCCCTTCAATCCAGCTCTCTGCACTGCCTGGGGACAGTGTTAGCAGGAGGACACCACTCTGACAGGGACCTGGACTTCCGCCTCTTCTGTTTGGAGAGAGTTAGATGATCACATCTCTTATATGTACAAAAGCTTAGTGAATGTAACTTAAAGATATTGCTTGCTTGTAGGCTTCTTGAGGGGAGGAATGATGGTTGGTTTCTATGGATTTGTTACAGGGGAAGGGATATCTCAGCTCAAAGGATATCCTGCGTATCCAAGCCTTCCTCCACTTGTGCCCCACACACTGTCCCCTCTACTTTCTCAAGGAAGTTTTTCCTGCAGCTCTGCTCCCCTCTCCCACCACAGCATCAGTTTCCCTCTCTATGCATGTTTCAGCACGTGAGCATGTCTTAAAGCATCCCTCTGGGCTCCTGCTTCCCTTTAGCTCCAGCCCAGTTCTCTGCTCCTGTCACTGCTCAACCCCCTGGAGGGGTTGTATCTGCTCACTGCCTCAGCCTCTTTCCCTTCCACCCTCTCCCCAGCCACTCCCAGTCCCCTGGCTAAATGGTGCTTGTCCATGATCACCCTGACATGCAAAATGGCCAGTGGTCCACATTCCATCCTGCCACACTCTACTGGCCCGTCTCCCCTTGGAGCTTGTGCTTCTCCAGCTTGTGCTTCTCCAGCTTGTGCCTGAGGCCATACCCACTTATCTGCTGTTCCTTTTCGCACCCTGGCAGTGCCTTCTCAGCATCTCTGCTTCCTCTCTCTCCGCAACTGTTGGAGAACCCCAGGGGGCTGTTCTCAGCAATTTGAATACCTCCATCTCTGGTCTTCAGAGGACATTGTACTCAGTCCTGTGGCTTCAGACACCAACCAGACATGATGACTTGCATATTTCTTTTTCTAGCTTAGACTTTCTCTCTGAGCTCCACTGATGCTCACCTGTCTACTCGACACCTCCTCTTGGACATCAAATGTCATCTGAAACTTCAAAAAGGGCAGCCAGAACTCTCCATCCCTCCAGCTCCTTGCCTCTGATGGTCATGCCTCCCTGCCTTTCTCATTTCAGTAAATGGCACTGCCATTCTCTTCGCTGCTCAGATCAAAAGCCCAGGAGGTGCCCTGACTCTCCTCTTTCTCTTGCATCTCATATTTGGTCTACTGGTGAGTCCAAGCCACAATCATCCCTTGCTGGCACTTTCATGGTAGCCTGGTAACTGGTCTACCCTTGGCCCCTACAATCTACACTACATGTGACAGACAAAGTGAGCTTTTTAAAGCATCAATCACATCATATCACTCCATGGTTAAAATTATTCAGTGGGCTTCCACTCTATCCAGAATAAAATCCAAATCTCTTTCCCCTGTGCATAAGGCTGGTGTGACTTGGCCCTTGTGCTCTTGCTCCCTGCCCTCCAGCCACTCTAGCTTCCTTCCCACCCTGTGGCCAAGCAAAGCTTCCCCTTCAGGCTTCTCGCTTTCCGCTCTGTCTGCTAGGACTGTGCATTCCCAGAACGCGGCGTAGCTGCTCCATTCTCATGATGCAGCTGTCAGTTTAAAGTTATCTTCTCCAGCAAGGCCTCCCCAACCTACCCAGCTAAAAGCAGTCTTCCCAGTTACTGTCTACAACATTACATAGTTTAGCTATTTCATAGCACTTATTATCCCCTCAAACAATCTTACGTATTTGTCGACGTGTTCATTGTCTGTCTCCTTCCTCCCCCTAGAATGTCAGTTTCTCACGTGCTGGGTTCTGTCTTGTTCTCTGCTGTAGCACCAGCACTAGTAGTAGTGCCTGGCATAAGAAGGCACCCAACATATACAGTGTTTGCTGACTGATTGGCTGTTCATTGCTGTTCAGTGCCTGATACCTATCATCAGAGTATTTGGGGCATAGATGGGGACTTGGAGATCACTGAATCCAGTTTTTTATTTTTTTTTATTTTTTTTTATTTTTTTTTATTTTTAGACAAGGAAACTGAGAATGAGACAAGATCACAGCAGAGGTGGGGCTGTCTCAGGCTTAAGAAAGGACCTGACAGTGTTGCTGAGGCTGCTGGTCCTGGTGGTGAAGAGAGGATAGTAAATAAGCAGGCTGGCGGCCAAGCAAGGCGAGTACAGGACCAAGGCCGGCTCTCAGTTGCGGCGCTCCATCCATGCACAAACCTCTTCCTGCCCAAACTGCACACGGCTGGTGGAGAAGCTGAGTGCAGGCGCCACAGGGCAGGCATCAGTCATTATACATCGAATCTGCCAGCCCATACCATCACGGTGGGGGCGCCTTTCTGGCAATGTGAAGGCAATGTTAAGCCTGCCTAGTAGCCTTTGGGTTATGGGGAGGAGGCTAAGACAAAATGCAGGCCTGGGGTAAGGGGCCCTGGGGCTTGCCCTGTGGGTGTGTTGGGGATGGAAGGCAGAAAGAGAAAAGGCCCAGCCACAGCAGATGGGAGATGGGCAGCTGCCAAGAGGACGGGGCTGGGGGTGGAGGGGGCAGTGATGCAGACCAAGAAGAGCCTTCTTCTCTTCCTGTTGTCTGACACGCCACTCTTACTTCCTCTGTGATTGTTATGGTGTCCTCGGGCCTGGGCCTTCAAGCAGTGTTTACACTCACAGCTCTTTGGCAAGAACCACACTCTGATAGGGGAGTGAGACTTTAAGCCAGGGGTTCAACGAGTTACCAAAACATCACTCAGCCCCTTCCTGTTTGTAGAAGCCTGAGCAGAGGAGACAGCTGACTTTGGGAACAGAGAACAAAGGAGCTGAAGATCTGGAAGAGACAGAGAGCAAGCTCTGCCAAGAGGGACAGGAGCACCTGGGCCGCCCACCCACTTGGGCCTGTCTTGGTGTTTCTGATGCTGCCCCTTGAGGCTTTCTCGAGAAGGAATCAGAGGCTGGGCACATGTGACTGACAGGCAGGCCAGTCCTGTGGCTTCAGGAATATGCAGGAAACTCCCTACTCCCCTCCCACCTCACTGTGTGCTCCCCACAAGTGTTGGTGACCTGCTGCCCAGGAGGAGCCACCGAGGGAGGTGCACTTACATTGCTTCTGCAGAATGCTCTGTCTGGCCTTGATGAAGGCGATGATGTCCGAGTCCGTCTGGCTGTCTCCGGTGAGAGGGATGGACGACACTGGCCTCTTGGGGATGCTGGAGGCAACCACGTGTCACATTTTACTACACTTTACAACTGGACTCACCACTTATATTTCCAAAATGCTTTTCCATTTTAGGTGACTGATCTCACTCAGAAAGCTACATGACACGGCTGGCCTGCTTCTCACTCCCTCCTACCTTCTCTGTGTGGCAGCCACACTAAGCCTCTTGTCATGCAAATTGGGTCAAGTCATTCCCTGCCATAGACCCTGATATGGTTTGGCTGTGTCCTCACCCAAATCTCATCTTGAACTGTAGCTCCCATAATTTCCACGTGTTGTGGGAGGGACCAGGTGGGAGATAACTGAATCATGGGGACGGTTTCCTCCATACTGTTCTCGTGGTAGTGAATAAGTCTCATGAGATCTGATGTTTTCATACGAGGTTTCCCCTCTCACTTGGCTTTCATTCTGTCTTGGCTGCCACCATGTAAGACGTGCCTTTCACCATGATTGTGAGGCCTCCCCAGTGACATGAACTGTGAGTCCATTAAATCTCTTTTTCTTTATAAATTACCCAGTCTCAGGTATGTCTTTATCAGAAGTGTGAAAACAGACTAATACAGACCCTTTAGTGGCTTTTCACCACTCATGGAATAAAACTTAAACTCTGTCCCATGACCTACCAGGCTGTGTATGATATGACCCCGGGTCAGGGGCTCCAGCTGCCCCCTTTTCTTTCAGTGACTTGCATTTACCAAGCCACTTCCAGCCTCAGGGCCTTTGCTCTGATGCTTCCTCTCCCTGGACTGCCCTCCCCACCACCCGTCACATGGCGGCTGTGCTTTCTCTCGCTGCCTTCTCTATCCTCTTACCACCACCACTCTTGTCCTCCCATCCCTGATTTACCCAAACCAGCACCCCTTAACCTGGGGCCCATCAACTTCTGTGCCCAGCTTAGATGTCATATCATTCAGTGCTGTGTCCTCAGAGCACCCTCATTCCCCACGTGGCTTAGCTAGTTGACCTCAAGGCAGAGATTACTGTTCTCCTGTCTCTCCTTAAAAACAGAATCATATTTAGCTAAGTTGCCACAACTAAAAAAACTACCTTTCCCAGACTCCTTTGCTGCGATGTGTGGCCGGGTGACCAGGTGCTGGCCAATGAGATTTGTAAGTAGAAGTGTTGTGTGGGAATCTCCTTAGAAAGGGAGGGCTGTGTGTGCCCTCCCCCATCCCCTTTTCCATCCAGCTTCTCCATATAGCATTCCCCTTCAGCAAACTCAGAGCAGTACACTTGCCTGGCCTTGCCAACTTTCCGTCCATCCTCACCCCTGTGCCTCTGCACAGCAGGAGGTGGTAGCCACTTCCTTAGAAGGCAGTAAGGACGGTATGTAACAAGGGGCTGGCCATTCCCGCAGGTAGTTTGGGTGTTGGCTTTCCCGCTGCAGGCCAGCCGGAAGCACTAAAGCAGAGTCCAGGCAGGCAGGGCAGAGGCTGTGCTGGTGAAAGAGGCTGAGCAGCCATTCTAGCCGGAGGATACAAATGCCCATGGTGCTGATCAACTCTGGTAAGCCTGGAAGCAAATGCTGCTGGGTCTTCAGGCCAGGCTTGTCAGCTCCCTGCTCTGCTCTGTGGTGGGGCTGCCCTGGGCTGGCTCTTTCCCTTTCTGGCCCCCAGGTACGTCTATTCACAAGAAGATATGAAACAACTCTGCCCAACACAGGGCCCTGGTGACTGTGGGAGAAAACCTCCCCGCTTTGAGTTGGCCTGTGTGAGAGATTCCAGGGAATTCCCAGGGGACCAGGGCAGAGGCCAGACCTGGGTTCTGTCTGTGTGGCTACTGGACGAGGGGCTTTTTCGGGGAGTAGACTGGAGATGGAGGCCCACTCCGCCCACTGCAGGGGCTGTCACAGGCATAACAGGAGAAGACCACAGACCTGTCTTCCAGTGGGGTGCTGGTGCTGCTCTGTTTCTGGCTGTGTGGACTGGGGCAAGGCGAGGGCAGGATTTTCCTGGCATTCACATCACTGCAAAACACAAACAAACAAAAGCAAAAGGAATGGGGGCAAATTTATAGAAGGAAATTCAGGGTTTATATCTAGGAGCTGTTATGGACTGAATGTGTCCTCTCAAAATCCCTATGTGGACACCCTAATTCCCAGTGTGATGGCATTGGGCAGTGGGGCCTTTGGGAGGTGAATAGATTTAGATGAGGTCCTGAGGGTAGGGCCCCTGCACTGGGATTAGTGTCCTTATAGGTATAAGAGGAGGATGAGAAACTACAGTGCTCTCTCTCTCTCTCTCTCTCTCTCTCTCTCTCTCTCCCCCCCCTCTCCCTCCCCCCCTCCCTCTCCCTCTCCCTCCCTCTCCCTCTCTCTCTCTCTCTCTCTCTCTCTCTCTTTCTCTCCTATGTGAGCACACAATAAGAAGGAGGTGCCAGCAAGCGAGGAAGGAAGCCCTCAGCAGGAACTAAATCTGCTGTGCTACGGACTGGAGGTTTGTGTCCCTGAAAAGTCATGTGTTGAACCTAATCTCCAATGTAATGGTAGTAGAGGTGGGGCCTTTGGGTGGTGATTAAGTCATGAAGGTAGAACTCTCATGAATGGGATTAGAGTCCTTATAAAAGAGACATTGGAGAGCTCCCTTGCCCCTTCCACCATGTGAGGATGCGTCGAGAAGACAGCTGTCTATGAACCGGGAAGGGGGTCCTCACCAGACATCGAATCTGCCAGTGCCTTGATCTTGGACTTCCCAGCCTCCAGAACTGTGAAAAATAAACGTTTGTTGTTTGAGCCACTCAGTCTATAGTATTTTGTTATAGCAGCCTGAGCAGACTAAGACAAGAGCCAAGAGTCCTGTCTTGGATGGTTTACACAGTAATTTTCTTTTTTTCTTTTTTTTTGAGATGGAGTTTCACTCTTGTTGCCCAAGCTGGAGTGCAGTGGCATGATCTTGGCTCACTGCAACCTCCGCTTCCTGGGTTTGAGCAATCCTTCTGCCTCAGCCATCCAAGTAGCTGGGATTACAAGCATGCATCACAACACCTGGCTAATTTTTTGTATTTTTAGTAGAGATGGGGTTTCACCATATTGGCCAGGCTGGTCTTGAACTCCTGACCTCAGGTGATCCACCCACCTTGGCCTCCCAAAGTGCTGGGATTACAGGCGTGAGCCACTGTGCCCGGCCTACACAGTAATTTTCATTGTTAGAGCATGCATCTGTTGGCTGTAGCAGCTGAACAACAAACGATGGCCACAACTGTCATTGATAGACACGCCAGGCTTCGTGAAAGTGCTCTGCAAATATCATGCCATTTAATCCTCTCAATGACCTAAGAGGTAGATGTCATCGTCTCCATTTTATACATGAGAAAACTGAGGCTTAGACAGATTAAAGAAATTCTAAAGTTATCCAGCTGGTAAGTGGCAGAATCGGGAACTACTCAGGATTCTTTGAGGCTTCAGAACCTGTGCTCTCAGCCACAATGCCTTCTAACTGGGCTTGACTCTGTGGCATTCTAGGAACACACGCTGGCCTACCCCTGACCACACTGCCTGCCCCTGGGACCTAGCTTCATGCTGAGAGAGGAGTCAGATCCAACAGCTCATTAGATGCAGCTGTGCCTGCTCACCTAGGCTGCTGACATGTGCGCCTTGCCTTGGATTCCTGGCCAAGTGCAGTGGAACCCAGAAGCTCCTCTTGGGAGGTGAAGAGGCGCGTGGACACGGCTGGTTGGAGGCCAGTGTATTCCACATGCCTGTGGTTACAAGGTCCTTACTCTAAGTTGTGCTGTAAGGAGATCTTCCTCGCTTCCTGCCTGGAGACAACCTCAGAGCTGGAAGAGGCCTAAGAAGTCACCTGGGTACAACCCTCCTTTTACACTCTGGGGACACTTGGGCTGAGAGGCAGGCTAGGGTTAGAGACAGGTGAGCCGGCTCCGCGGAGTCTGCATCTTCAGTCCAAGGTACTCTACAGACCTGACAAACTGCGTGTCTCACTCATGAGTATGGCCCCTTCCCCGGCTCTGGCCTTCCGCCTTCCGATCTCAGCCAATGGCAAGGCTGCTTCCATAGGTCACGACTGTGGTCAAACAAGCAAGAAAAGACACCAGAGCCTGGGGAAGCCCCCCCTCACCCACCAATGTCCATTTCCTAGCAGTGGAGAGACTTTCCACGAGGTGCCCTTCATGGTGGGAAAGCAGAGATCCCTGTGCTGGGTCTAGTGAGGACCGATGTAGGACCAGAGGTAGCCACCAGGTGGCAGGCTCTGCACGCTTTTCTTCAGAGAACAGTAACCAATTCTCAAGGCTCCTGCTGAGTGGTTCCTGGTGCAGCCTGGAGAAGGGAAGGAGAAAGGGCTTTCCATCCTGCAAGTGCTTTCATGACAACGGGTCAAGGTCAGTTTGGAAGCTGTAGCAAATTTGCAAGACCAAGGCACTGGCACAAAAATGGCTCATTCACTCAGTGGCTTCCCAGTGGAGCCTTGGCTCAGGTTCCAGGGAGAGTTCACAGGTGCCAAACTATTGAAAGGTGGGAGGGGGTGGAAGAGGATGGAGAGATGGATGGGGCAGGGTAGAAGGGCACGATCACACCGTGGCCAATAGGGGCATCTAGTACTCTTTGCGGAGGCCCAGCTGCCCCACCTCATGCAGGAGGGCAGTGCAATGGAAGGCTGGGGGCTCTCGAGGGAAATGACTCCTCAAACCTGTAAGCTGCTCAAGCATCCTGTTCCTGGATGCCACAGCTTGGTTTCTGTAATTCTGGGGATGATGCCATAAATGACCTCTGCCCTCTCCCTTTGCCCAACCAGCCTTTGACACCGAATTAATTTCTCATGTTGACGCCCCTCTGGAGAGAGAACATACCAGCCATCAGAATGAAGTATCTTCCTTAATAAGGATTAATAAGCCATATTAATAGTAATTAGGCCTTCTGGGTTGCCAATCAGAGTGTTTAGTGGGATCAGCTTCCAGGACCTGAGCATCCCTGGGGAAGTGATGAATCAGGTTTCTTTCAGAACCTGATGAGCAGAAGACCAGCGCCCCGCTACCCCCAGTTCCCCACCTGCGGCAATTCTCAGGAGCAGCCGCTCTGGAGCTCGGGCAGCAACAGCCGCTGGGCCCTCGCTCTCTCACCCTGGCGGCTCTGACCGGGCACTGACCGGGCAACATTTATCTGCTCACAGAGTGACCGTGTCGGAGGGACCTTTGCACATCTTACAGATGAGGCAAGGGAATCCCAAAGTGGGGAGCTGGCTTGCCCGAGGGTGTGCTGTCGGAGGGGCCATGACTGGGATTCATGTGATTCAAATCTCAATAAAGGGGACTTGTTGGAGGTGGTCAATAATGACGTGACACACACCTTTGAAGTCCAGGGTTCTCGACTGCAGGGTTAAAGGTCTCTAGGCAAGCACATCCAGGAATCATCTTAAGTTGGAATACCTAAGGAATCTCCAGGAATGCCCAAGGCCAAGACAAGGTGGAAGGAGCACTATTCTGATGGGTGGCACAGCAGACAGTCCCTGGAGGCCTTGCCCAGGGGCTACTCCTTAGACCTATTCCACCATGGACTCTCTCGGAGATGCCGGCGGATAAAGGCTGGCAGCGGCATGATCAACAAACAAGCAGTAAAGAGGCAGCCCTGGCTGCAAGGGAGTATGACAAAGGGAATGAGGCAGAGAGGAGGAAGAAAAGGAGAAGGGGGATGTAAGGCAGGAATAGAGATAGGCAGAGCTGACAGTGGAGGGAGGGATGGGAGAAGAGGCGAGTGGAGGAGGGAAGGAGGCAGGCAGAGGGCAGGGGGAGCAGTGGGTGGAAGGAAGAAAAGGCACTTGCCATGGAGTGTGAAGGTCTAGGTTTAATTTGTGGCTCTTTTTTTTTTTTTTTTTTTTTTTTTTTTTTGAGACAGGGTCTTGCTCTGTCTCCAGGCTAGAGTGCTGTGGTGTGATCTCAGCTCACTGCAACCTCTACCTCCTGGGTTCAAGCGATTCTTCTGCCTCCGCCTCCTGAGTAGCTGGGACTACAGGCACGCACCACCATGGCTGGCTAATTATTTTTGTCTTTTTAGTAGAGATGAGGGTTCACCATATTGGCCAAGGCTGGTCTTGAACTCCTGACCTCGTGATCCACCCACCTTGGCCTCCCAAAGTGCTGGGATTACAGGTGTGAGCCATCATCCCTGGCCTAATTTGTGGCTCTTTGTGTTATTAACTACAGAGTTAAAGCATCTCATTCCCTTTCGGGGCCTCAGTGTCCTCATTTACAGAATGGGGAGGCTGAACTCTGGGTTTCTCAGCTGAAATGGCAAGGGCCAGTCACAGGGAATTCTGGGTTTCCACACCTTAGAAGGTTGGCCTTTTAAGGAAACACAGCTTTACCCTTTAAAAATCCTGGCCTCTTGGGAAAATCAGACGGTGTGGACACATTGGAAGAGCGGATACCCCAGGCAGGAGGATCTGGTGGTGGGAAGCACATAAAGAAAGCGCCTTGTACAAAATATTACAAAATGTGGGCTGGTAAATGCCAACACCTACTAGATAACATTATGGACATGTGTCCCTAAAAGGCAGTCATTGATCCTAAACACAACTGCTGTGAGGAATGAGGGGAGTGCACGACTCCGACAGGCCTGGGTTTGAGTTCACCACTGATTAGCTGGTGACCCTGGGCAAGCTACTTCATCTCTCTGAGCCTGAATTTTTTCACCTGTAAAGTGGGGGACCATGATAGTAGGCACAGTGCTCATGTATTTTGCACCTGGCCCAGGAGGGCCCTCTACAAAGGCTACGAGATATTATTGCCGTCAGAGGAGAAGGCCAGTGCTGTCTCCCTTGGGAACGTGGGAATGCCAACAGCGAATCCTTCACGTGAGATGTTCACAGGGAATGTCTGAGACGCCATGATGGCCTGAGACAGGGTTCCCTACCTGGCTTACCGTGGCAGAGTTCTGTAGGCCCGTTACTACCAGCATCTAAAGCAAGTGGCAAGGATTTCTTTGTCAGAGGTGGAGCCCCTAGAGCTCTTCCTTTCCAGTCTCTGGCGGGGTTACTTTTCCTCTCACCTGCCTAGTGTGACCGTCCCATCCAGGAATGCTGGCACTCCAACAACTGTTGGAGGAGGAAATATGGGGCAGCCAGCCACTCAAGTTGAGGTGTTTTAACAAACACTGTTCAGGACACTCAGTGATCTCTGCCCAGGAATTAGAGCATCCAACCAGCTCGCCGGCAGCAACCACAGGGGACAGGGCTGAACAGCGCTCTAGGGCTGGCTGAGAGCCATCTTCCCCAAGACCCTTCTGCCAGCAGTCACCGAAGGGGCTTGGGGTGGGGGTGGGGACTCTGGGAGCAGGATTTTTGGAAAAGCTCCTGTGGGTGATCTGATGCACACCTTTCAAATTCAAGGTTCTGAACACTAGGATTAAACTTTTTTTTTTTTTTTTTTTTGCAAGCACAGTGTATTTCTTTTCTTTCTTTTTTTTTTCTCTTTTTCAGACAGGGTCTCGCTCTGTCACCCAGACTAGAGTGCAGTGGTGCAGATCTTGGCTCACTACAGCCTTGACCTTCTGGGCTCAAAAGATCCTACCATCTCAGCCTCCTGAGTAGCTGCGACTACAGGCATGTGCCACCACGCCCGGCTATGGATTTGTGGGGAGGTAAGGATATTTTCATATTTTGTTGTAGAGACGGGGTTTCACCTTGTTGCCCAGGCTGGTGTTGAACTCCTGGCTCAAGCGATCCACCGGCTTTAGCCTCCCAAAGTACTGGGATTACAGGCATGAACCACTGTCCCTGGGCAAGCATAGTGTATTTCTACCTTGCATCTGTCGGGCCCCTTGCTGACACACCTGCCCCTCTCTCTCTCTCTCACACACACACACATGCACATGTACACACTTCAATGTCTTTGAAGCCAAAGGAAAAATGAGAGACAGGGCTTTCTACTCGCTGAGCAGGATATTGCTACCAGTAGAAGCTACCCAAGAGATCAGAAAAGAGGGTACAGAAATAGCCAGGGGTTCTGAGCCTCACAGCTGAAAGGAGAGCTTATTCTCATGGGGCAGATACACAAGGGCTCAGCACAGAGCCAGAGCAATGATTGAGGAAGCTGAATCCTCCTCGTTGTGTTTTTCAGATGTGCTGTGTGGAGTCCTGGAGTTTCAGCGAGAGGGCTCCGTGTGTGGAAGGTGCAGGTATACAGGGGTTGGAATTCAAATTTACTGGCCTCTAGAGGTTGGCAGGTGCCCAGGTGAATGCATGGAGTGGGCCAGGTGCAGGGCACAAATGCTAAGCTGCCTGCATTGCCATGGCATAGTGCAGCTGCCTAGTTATTCTGCTTCTGCAGTTTTAAAAATCAATAGACTATTATTTAGAGAAGTTTTAAGTTTACAGAAAATTGAGCAGATAGTACAGAGAATTCCCTTATACTCCTCTTCCCCACCTTTCAGTTTTCCTTATTATTAACATTTTGTATTAGTGTGATAAATTTGTTATAACTGGTGAATGAATATAGATACATTATTATGAACTAAAGTCCATGGTTTATGCAGGGGTTCACTCTTTGTGCTGTACAGCTCTATGGATTTTGACAAATGCATGACATCATCTATGCAACATTACAATATCATACAGAATAGTTTCACTGCCCCCAAAATTCCCTGTGCTCCATCTATTCATCCTTTCCTCCCTACAAGTCCATGACAACCACTGACTATTTCACTGTGTCCATAATTTTGCCTGTTCCAGAATGTTATATAGTTGGAATCATATAATACATAGTCTTTTCATATGAGCATCTTTCACTAAGCAATATGCATTGCAGGTTCATCACTTTTCATGGCCTGATAGCTCTTTTTTTTTTTTTTTGAGATGGAGTCTTGCTCTGTCACCCAGGCTGGAGTGCAGTGGCTTGATCTCGGCTCACTGCAACCTCTGCCTCCTCGGTTCAAGCGATTCTCCTGCCTCAGCCTTCCAAGTAGCTGGGATTACACGTGCATGCCAATATCCTTGGCAAATTTTTGTATTTTTAGTAGAGGTTGGGTTTCACCATGTTGGCCAGGCTGCTCTTGAATTCCTGACCTCAAGTGATCCACCCACCTTGGCCTCCCAAAGTGCTGGGATAACAGGCCTGAGCCACTGCACCCAGACTTGATAGCTGAATAATATTCCACGGTTTGTTTATTCATTCACTTTTTGGAGGACATCTTGGTGGCTTTCAGTTTTGGGCAATTATAAATAATTATACAAAAAGCTACTATGAACAATCATATTCTGTTTTTTTTTGTGGACATAAGTTTTCACCTCAATTAGGTAAATAACTAAAATGCAATTGCTGGATTGTATGGTAAGATCATATTTAGCTTTGCAAGAATCCATCAAACTGTCTTCCAAAGTGGCTGTGGGAGTGCAAAACCATTTTGCATTCCCTCTAGCAATGAACGAGAGTTCCTATTGCTCAACATCCTCACTGGCATTTGGAATTGTCATTTTTTGTTTTATTTTAGCCATTCTAATATGTATGTAGTGGTATCTCATTGTTGTTCTAATTTGTATTTCCCTGTGTGACACAGGATGTTGTGTACCTTGTCATGTACTTATTTGCCATCTGTATCTCTTCTTTGGTGAAGTGGCTGTTCAGATCTTTTGCCCACTTTTAAACTGAGTGGTTTATTTTCTTATTGTTGAATTTTTAGAGCTCTTTGTATACTTCAGATACAAGTCCTTTATCAGATATATGTTTTGCAAATATTTTCTCCCAGTCTGTAGCTTGTCTTTTAATTCTTTTAAAAATATCTTTTGCAGAGTGGTGTTTTAATTTTAAATAAAGTCCAACATCAATTTTTTCTTTCATGAATCTGCATTGTCTTCCAAAACACCAGGCTAGCCAAACAAAACACATCATGTCAGTTATTGACCCTGGGCTCAGGGGCTCACATAGGAGATGTGTCCTAAAACCAGAATGTGAGGCAGTGAGAGGGCACTGGGTCTGGGATGGCGGTGCTGTAGCCCTGGGCAGATGGACCCAGTGGCTCCTTCCCTAGTGCGGTGTCCGGCATGCAGCAGATGCTGGAGAGATGGACTTCAGGATGGCACTATGCCAGCCACAATGGGCACTATGCTGTGTGCCAGTTCCTACTGCTAAGTGGAGCTAAGTGTGATGCCCAGACCCATGGGGGTGCCACTGCTCTGCAGCAGGACTGCTACTGAGGGCACACTGACATTGCATGGCCTCTGTTTTCACATGGGTCCAAGCCCAGATTGATAGATGACGATGGCAATGACCAGCCTACATAAGGCTCCTGAGAACGGTCACGTGGACATTTGCTCCCTCCTGTTGCAACATAGCTTAGCCCTGAAGGCCATCTGGGATGGAAGGCATGGCTAGCATGTGACCTGCTGCCCTGCAACGGTGACCTGCTGGCTAGCTGAGTTGCCACCCTCCTGTCTCAGGCTGCCCTTGCAGGGTACACAGACCAGGTTTTTAAGCCCCCATCTTGTTCAGCATCCATACTGCAGGGCAGGAAACTGAGGCTAGAAGACCCAGGGAGACCCCCAGTCTGGCCACTGTGGAAGCAAGGGAGTAGGTTTGGTGGGGCTGAAAGTGTTTAGGCTTGGACAGATGATCATATCCCAAACTGGCTCACATGGGACATCTATCCATTTGGAAAAAAGAAGTTATGTCCTTACCTCATCCCATATGCAAAGACACAATGCAAGATTAAAGATCTAAATGTAAAAACACACAATGATGTAGGAACTAGAAGAAAATATGGAATAGGTGACAAAAGCTGCTTTCTAGCTGAATGACCTTGGTACAAGTCATTTGACCTACTTCTCCGTTGCCTCATCTGGAAGCTGAGAATGGTTATAATAGGGCCTGGCCTCAAAGTCATGGTGGTCACTAATTGGGTAAGCATTGGGAAAGCCCTTGAGAGAGTGGCCCACAGCAAGCAGCCTAGGACAGGACCCGCTGCCCCACCATGCAATCAGCACTTGCTGCTATACCATGATTTCATTAATTTCAACAGTCTGATAGGTAGAAAAGTGCTACTGCCTTGTTTTAGTTTGCATTGCTAATGACTAGTGAAGTTGAGCACCTGTCTTCCATGAACTGCCTGCCCATGCCCATTTAAAAAATGTTGGCCAGGTGTGGTGCTCACACCTGCAATCCCAGCACTTTGAGAGGCCAAGGTGGGAGGATCACTTGAGCCAAGAAATTCAAGACCAGCCTGGGCAACATGGTGAGACTCTTCCTCTACAAACAATATCTATATTTTTAAATTAGCCATGTATGGTGGCACGTGCCTGTAATCCCAACTACTCAGGAGGCTGAGGCAGGAGGATTGCCTGAGCCCAGGAGGTCGAGGCTGCAGTGAGCCGTGATCACACTGCTGTACTCCAGCATGAGTGAGAGTGAAACCCTGTCTCAAAGAAAAAAAGAATGTTTTTCATTTCATTGATCCATAGGAGTTGTTTATATTCTGCATATTGATCTGTTTTATATATATACACATATATATGTATCTATATACATTAAACATTTTTTTTCTTTAAGTATAAAAACAAAGTCACTCCAAAAAGTTAGAATACAGGCTGAAGTGCTGGCACCAACAGCCAGATTGGAGGATCTGGGAAAGTCCAAGGAAAATCTCAACCTGGTTGGTGTTGAGGGCTCACTGGCTGGCCTTTTAATTTTAAGAAGTCTTTTTTTTTTTTTTTTTTTTTTGAGGCAGAGTCTCGCTCTGTCGCCCAGGCTGGAGTGCAGTGGTGCGATCTCGGCTCACTGCAACCTCCACCTCTTGGGTTCCAGCGATTCTCCTGCCTCAGCCTCCCGAGTGGCTGAGATTACAGGCATGCACCACCACACCTGGTATTTTTGTATTTTTAGTAGAGATGGGGTTTCACCATGTTGGCCAGGCTGGTCTTGAACTCCTGACCTCAGGTGATCCGCCCGTCTCAGCCTCCCAAAATGCTGGGATTACAAGCATGAGCCACCACGCCTGGACAATAGTTGTTTTTTAAGAATACTTTTTTTTTTTTTTTAAAGAATAGTTTTACATTTACAGAAAAGTTGGAAAGATAGTGCATGGAGATCCCATGTAGCCTGTACCCAGCTTCCCCTATCGGGCAGTTTTACCTTAGTGTGGTTCATTTGCCACAATCACTGAACCGATATTGATACATTGTTATTAACTAAAGGCCATACTTTACTGGACTTTTCTTAGTTTTTCCCTAAAGCCTTTTTCTGTTCCAGGCTCCCACCCAGGACGCCACTTTACATCTCGGTGGTGTGTCTCCCTAGGCTCCTCTTGGCTGTGACCGAGTCTCACACTTGGTTTTTGGGGACCTTGACAATTTGAGGCATGCTAGTCAGTATTTTGTAGAGTGTCCTTCCATTGGGATGTGTCTGATGTTTTCCTCATTCTTTGACTGATGTTATGGGTTTCTGAGAGAAAGGCCACAGAGGTAGAGTGCCACTCTTATCACATCATATCATGGGGACTGTCTGACACCTTCTTCTTTTTTTTTTTTGAGACGGAGTCTCTGTCGCCCAGGCTGGAGTGCAGTGGCACGATCTCAGCTCACTACAACCTCTGCCTCCTGGGTTCAAGTGATTCTCCTGCCTCAGCCCCCCAAGTAGCTGGGATTACAGGCGTGTGCCACCGCACCTGGCTAATTTTTGTATTTTTAGTAGAGACAGGCTTCCCCATGTTGGTCAGGCTAGTCTTGAACTCCTGACCTCAGGTGATCCACCCACCTTGGCCTCCCAAAGTGCTGGGATTACAGGCATGAGCCACCGTGCCCGGCCCTCTGACACCTTTTTTAAAGCCCTATTTTATATTTCTAATGTGAGGGCTCAGCACCCCTTCAAACCCAAAGGATTGCTCCTTGGTGGCAGAGACGGAGGCCCCACACATACTATCCTGGCCTCTGGCATCAGATGGACAATGGCAGGAGGCGTGCTTCCTCGGTGCTACCCCCTGGGTTGTGTGGTTGGAAAGAGACAATAACATGGTTGTGGGGAAGTAGAGTCCCTGCTGGTCATCCCATCATGTAGGGAGACTGGCTCTGGGCCATCCTCATGTGGTGTTTTTGGAGGCTACCTGGATCCTGGCTAGGACGAAGAGCTCCCCTGTGTCTCAGTAGGCGGGCTACCCACTGTCCCACCACCACTGTCCCCCAAACCCCCTTCTCCCATGCTATGACCCTGTTCCATTCCTGCCAATCCCTTCTTCCCACTCAGGAGGCAGGACCAGGGCTTGATTGTGAAACCTCTTGTCTCTTGTTACCATGGCAGTAGGTCTACTGGCTGTCAGAGTGAGGGACTGAAGGGGTGTGCACTCCAACCAACTTGAAAGCCACTGTCTTGAGTATCTACGACTAATTAAACAGTAAAAGGAATTAATCCTGCTGGATCATATGGCTTATCAAGAGACATGAGAGCCACAGGAATAGGTTAAACAGAAAGGTAGGGAGCCTTTTCTGGGAACTCTAACACCTCCGGTGAGTTCTCACCTTACCTTTTGTTAGAGAGGAGTTGGGACCATTCATGCTGGGAGTCAGATGTCTGGAGAAATGGCTTCGTGTGATCGAGTGAATTCACTGCTGGAGAATTTACCTGTTGGCCCCAGAAGGAGTTTCACAGTGTTAGCTTGAATCTAATGACATAGGAAGATGTTTTTGATGTAATTCTTTTTTTTTTTTTTTTTTGAGATGGAGTCTCGCTCTGTTGCCCAGGCTGGAGTGCAGTGGCGCGATCTCAGCTCACTGCAACCTCTGCCTTCTGGGTTCAAGCAATTCTCCTGCCTCAGCCTCCCGAGTAGCTGGGATTATAGGCACCCGCCATCATGCCCGGCAAATTTTTGTATTTATAGTAGAGACGGTGTTTTGCCATGTTGGCCAGGCTGGTCTCGAACTCCTGACCTCAGTTGATCTGCTCACCTTGGCCTCCCAAAGTGCTGGGATTACAGGCATGAGCCACCATACCCGGCCTTGATGTAATTCTTAAGGGGAACAAGCCAGCTATAAAAGTTAGTGTACACAAGGTGTATGGCCAAAAACAAATCTAGACATGGTAATGACCATAATGATGGCTTCAACATATTGTCTAGGGATGGTAAAGAATTATGGGTAATGTTTAATTTATTCTTTATGCTTTCCTGTGCTTTCCAAGTTTTCCACGTTGAACATGTATTCCTTTTTAAAGATAGGAAAAAATTGTTTAAAATGTTATCTTCATTCTTCAAAAATACTTTCTGGTTTTGCTTCTCCTTGTCCCAAAGACCCCCTACTAAAGTCAGGAGACATCCACCGAGCACTTTGTGTAGGGGAACAGCTCTGCAAGCTGCATGTCCCCACATAGGCCTCAAGAGCAAGGCATAGATCACAGCTGGTCTAAGTCTTGGCAGAATGCCCTGTAAGCCTCCTGGAACGTGAGTGCATACAGGAAGCTTGTGAGTGGTTGCTACTAGGTTATTTCCCACTTGCTTCCCTATCCTCCCAGAAGGCTATCCTAGAAGTTTCTTGTCACCTCTCTTGTTCTAATGAGGTTTGGAGCTTTCTGCCTCTGCCCACTGAGGGTACAGCTGCAGGCTATAGAACTGCTCAGGGGCAGCATGGAATTGGCCCCTCTGTACCAGTGTATCCCACCATCCCCCTTGCTGTCATCTGGTCCCTTTTGTTTCAGTGACATCCTGTGGGGCAGGGGACACATGGAGCTGACACCCTTGCCTACTCTGGCTTTCGCTGTCTCTGTAAGTCATACACTGTCTGAATGTGTCAGCTTTGCCTGGACACTTCCTGAGTTTCGCTGGTATGACCCTTGTCGACCGGTCAGTGGTGGACTCCCTCGGGCACCAGCTGGGGAAGGCCTCATTCACTGATGAACTTGCCAGGAAGGGCTCTTAACCTGGAGTCCACAGACAGAATCCAGGGGCTCTGCCAATGTGGATGGGAGCCAATCACAGCTGCATTTCCCCTAGCTGCTACCTGAAATTATTTCTTTCAGTGATAAATGCAGACAAGAAACCACAAAAGTATTAGCAATACCTGTGACTTTGTCACCAACGGAAATCAAGCATATTTTCATATCACCTGACAGTTGGTGTAGAGATCTTGAAATATTGTGTCATTTCATCATGACTTTGAAGTTATGATAAATATTGGGCCTACACCTAGATCTTATTAATTAGTGCGTTTTAAAAGTGGTACATGTATTACTATACCATAACTCAAAATATTTTGATAACCGTATTTCATTCTAACTAGTTTTCTTTGTTATCTCGTGTATTTAATTTTATCCAAATATTCTTCTCCATTGTCCTGCCGCGTGGCCACTTGCTATCACACTGGTTATTGCTTGGCTATGTCCTTGGCAAATCATCTTCTCTGGCTCTCAGTTTTCTTGTCCTTAAAATGAAGGGATCAGCCTGTCAGATAATCAGTAAGCATTCTGCCAGCCAGAAAAGGGATCTGATTGTGCGTATTTTAGCACTTCCGCTGTGCCACAACTGAGGTGTTACATGAGGAAAACTGAAACTGGGATTTTGTGCTAACACTTATGGAAAGGTCATTTTAGCCTTCATCAAACAGAAAACTTCTAAGAATTTGTCTAGGAAATATGCAAAAAATTATCTGCAAATATGTTTTGAGTAAAAAACTAGAAACAACCTAAATATTCAGCGATAGGAGATTAAAACATATTTACATGATGGAACAGTAACAGCCATTAAAACAACGCTGTAGGATAATAACATGAAAAAGTAGCCATGCTATACAATTAATTTTTAAAAGCCATTTGCGATACTTGAACAGCTATGTGATTTATTATTATTATTATTATTATTTTGAGACAGGGCCTTGCTCAGTCACCCAGGCTGGAGTGCAGTGGGTCTATCACTGCTCACTGCAGCCTCGACCTCCCAGGCTCAAGCACTCTGCCCATCTCAGACTCCCAGGTAGCTGAGACTATAGGCACATACTACCACATAATTAGCCTGGCTAATTATTTTTATGTTCATTTTGGTAGAGACAGGGTCTTGCCATGTTAACCAGGCTGGTCTTGAACTCCTGGGCTCAGGTGATCAGCCTTCTGAAGTGCTGGGATTACAGGCATGAGCCACCGTGCCCAGCCTGATTCTATTTGTACAAAAACATATGGATATATATGCATAGAAATCAAGGTAAAAGAATATAATCAAACATGTTAATATCAATTACATTTAAGTAGAGGAATTATGGTGATTTTTACTTTCTTCTTTGTGTTTTTCTGCCTAGTAAAATTTCTATAATTCATATTCACATATATATGACTATGATAAGAAAAACAATAAATGTCAGTAGGAAATCAGTGGAGAATATCACACAAAGCATTGGTGGCAAACCCACTGATTTTTGGGAGCTGCATCTTTTATCCCTAATTTTTCCATTAATCAGGCAGAATTTTAGGCATGACAGCAAGGAAACAATGAACCCCTGCCCTTTTGTCATCCTTGTTACTACAGTGAGCACCTGCTTCATGAGCAGGGGCTGAGACCATGGGGGCCTGTGGGTCAAAGCCCCCACTGTGTCTCTTGACAGCCCCAGTGGGGCTGCATGACTGGCCCCTCCCCAGCTTCCCTGATGTTCCCCAGGCCATACCTGCAGGTTGGTGGCCTCCTCTGCCCACCAGACTTCAAACTCTTTCTGTAGCTTCACCTTGGCTTTGTCCATGAGCAGCTGCAAGTGCTCGATCTCCACCTTCAGGGCTTTCAGGCGAGTGAACATTGTTTTATACCTGCGGTGGAATCGGGGAAGAGTCAGGGCACTGCTGTCTTGAAAGCACGGCATGGATGCAGGGCTGTAAATGAATGGGGCCCGTGCCTCAGAATCCCGTCAGAGCTGCCCTGGTGCTCAGGGACTGGGACCCTATAGGAGCTTCGGAGGCCAGGCTATGGCACCAGGGTTTGAGTCCATCACAGAGAAGCAGACGGAGACATTTTGGTCCAGTAGGCCCATGGGAATCTGTGTGTGAGATGAATAGCCTCTCCCCCAAGAATGAGAACTGCCATTTGCTGAGCACTTACTAAGGGATAAGCATTGCTGCAGGCACTCAACATATATAAACTCATTTAATTCTCCTCACAACCCTATGAAGGAGATACTATGATTATCACCTCCATTTTACAGATTCGGAACCTGAGACAGGTATGAAGAGGTTATATAACTTGCTCTATGGGACAGAGATAACTGAGGAGCCAGGATTTGAACCCAGGTGGTCTGGTTCTAGAACCACAGTCTTAACTGCCTCACCATTCCGCTGGCTCACCTTCATGCTGAGGACCAAAAGTAACACTGTGCTTATGAACGCATACATATATTGGTTTTGAGAATGCTATAATGAATCAGAAATTGTCCAATAGGAAACAGTCCAATAGCCAGGCCGAAGAGATAAGTTGGCCTCTAAGGTGACACTGAGATTGGAAATGTGGGCCAAGGGGACAAGATGAAGATGGAGTAGAGACACAAGAAGAATGGGTTGGAGGCTGGGTGTGGTGGTTCACACCTGTAATCCCAGCACTTTGGGAGGCTGAGGCGGGTGGATCACCTGAGGTCAGGAGTTTGAGACCAACCTGAGCCTACATGGTGAAACCGTGTTTCTACTAAAAATACACAATTAGCTGGGTGTTGTGGTGCGTGGCTGTAATCCCAGCTACTCAAGAGGCTGAGGCACGAGAACTGCTTGAACCCGGGAGATGGAGTTTGCAGTGAGCCAAGATCACACCACTGCACTGCAGCCTGGGAAACAAAGTGAGGCTCCATCTCAAAAAAAAAAAAAAAAAAAAAAGCGGGGGGTGTTGGAAAGAAACTAAGGAAAATGAACAGAGCGAGGGAGAAGGTGGACGACTGGCGAGGGCCCCAAGGGAGTGGAGAGCGACAGCAGCGTGTGTGCTCAGGTAGACTTCTGTAGGAAGACACCTGCACATCTGCCAGGAGCGACCTGAAGACCAGCGCCTGGGGCTTTGATCTCCTGGGTGTGCGTCGGGGGGCAGGGGCGGTGGTGCATGCCAGGTCAGCTGGGGGTTGGGGTGGGGCAGGGAGTGTGCTGCAGTGACACCACCAGCTCCTTGAGGCAGGGAAGATGACTGTAGTCTCTCCAGAGCCTACCCATGGCATGGAGGAGATAGCACACATGTGCTAAATGCATCAATGAATGAGTGGATGCAGCTTGATCAGCATGTGGAGCAAGATTCGGTGACCATGCTGTATATCAGGAATGGCTACATGCCTGTTTATGCTTGAGGCTCCTCACTCTGTAAGTGAAGTCGTTTGGAGACCCCAAATGCCTGCGGCTGCGTGAGAGTATGACGTTCTCAGGACTCGGAGGGAAGTGGACTTCAGCCATAGGCACGCGGAAAACCACCGTGGTCATATTTCTTGGCTCCCGTAGGTGGCAGCAGTGGACAAGCCCAGCTGCTTCCCGGGCCTGGCTTGGCTTGTTCTGCATTCTAACCTCACACTGCCTGGGGTCCTGCCTTTCACACCTGCCTGCTCAAAGGCAGCCCCTCCTCCTCCTGCTGTTCTAGGATCCAGCTGCTGGACCCACATCCCTGAGTAGCTGCAGCCCTGGGAAGCTCCAGGACGACACTGAGACCCTGGGAGGCTGGGCTCGGACTGTGTGTGGCTAAAAGGAAGGGCACCTTCTCTTTTCTTCCTCCAGTTGTGATCGCAGCTTCTCCTCCTGCTGGTCTGGCATCAGAGGCACGGCCATGTTTTCCGAGATTCCTGTAGAAGGAAGGTGCCAATGGGATGGTGAGAAAGAAGGGTAAAAGGAAGAGTGTGATATTTGGGCAGATGACAGAGTTCAAGGGCACCCCAAGAAGAAAGGAGCCTCTGTGAGTTCCTTCTGGGGCCTCTTGGTGGCAACCTCTGCTCAGCTGAAAGCCCTGAGAGGAGCAGCTTCCAGGGTTATTGTCCCTCTGCTGTCCCTCCCACTGCCAACATCTGTCACTGGAAGGGAATCTTCCTCTGTGTCTACTAATCCTTTTACTATTGAGCTCATTCATTTCCTGTTGAGTTTCCAGGGAAGACGCAAAATAGCATTTCCCCATCCTCTGATAAAGAGCCCTTCAGGGCCAGGCACAGTGGCTCACGCTTGTAATCCCAGCACTTTGGGAAGCCGAGGCAGGAGGATCACCTGAGGTTAGGAGTTCGAGACTGGCCTGGCCAACATGGTCAAACCCCGTCTCTACTAAAAATACAAAAATTAGCTGGGCGTGGTGGCGGGCGCCTATAATCCCAGCTACTCGGGAGGCTGAGGCAGGAGAATTGCTTGAACATGGGAGGCGGAGGTTGCAGTGAGCCGAGATCATGCCATTGCACTCCAGCTTGGGCAACAAGAGAGAAACTCCATCTCAAACAAACAAACAAAAACAAACAGATAAACAAAAACAAAAGCCCTTCACAAAAAAAGGAAACCTCTCTAAACCATCTGACATCTTTCTCTGCACAAGTGGAGGTGCTTAATTTCCAGCCTCAGAATCGTGTCTCCTGTTTTTCACTCCCTCTGCAGCAGTGGTTCTCAAGCCTGATGAACGCAGGCCATGTTAATTCACAACCAGGGATGAGCCCAAGCCTTGGCGATGGGACCATCATGAGGCCCAGGGGAGGGCTGAGCACGTCAGCAGGGATCAGCTGCTGCGTGTGTCTGCGTCCCTGCTGATGCCGACCTCTGTCTTCCCCCACATGACTGCCACTGGTGCCTGGTTGCCTGCTCTGGCTAGTGTGCTCATCTGAAGCTGGCTGTCTCCTAGCCCAGAGTGTGGGGACTTTTTATTCTTCTAGGAGTCTCTTCGTGGTTGCCCTGCTTTTCTGAGCTCCACAGACAACATCCTAGAAGTCGTACAGCCCTGCTTTTTACTCTATGTAGGGAAGACTCTGCTACAGTCCATGTGCTTCCAGACATGCTCAGACTGAATCCTTATAGCATTTATTTGTGGTAAGTGTTATTATGCCCATTTTACAGATAAGGATATTGAGGTTCAAAGAGGGTAAACTGCCCAAGTTATGTGGCTAACTTCAGGAAACTTGGATTCAAAAATCCCTCGTATAACATTTCTGACAGAGGGTCATCTGCTTTCTGCTCAAATACTTGCAGGGATGAGGAGCTCACTACTTTGCAGGGTAGTGCATTTCATGGCGGACAGCTCTGTTTCCTCCTACTTTTGAGCCAAGACATTTCCCGCTAACTTCTTTTCACCTCTACTTTGGCTCTTTGGAGCAGTGTAGCATATCTTTCTTCTTAATCTGATGGTCCCTTAAATATCTGAACAACAACATCAAAATATCACATGTGTCTGGAACTTTTTTTTTTTTTTGAGATGGAGTCTCGCACTGTCACCAGGCTAGAGTGCAGCAGCGCGATCTCCACTGACTGCAACCTCTGCCTCCCAGGTTCAAGCGATTCTCCTGCCTCAGCCTCCTGAGTAGCTGGGATGTAGTCCATCCCAGGGTGGTGTGGTAGTGGTATGGTGCACACCACCACGCCCAGCTAATTTTTGTATTTTTAGTAGAGATGGGGTTTCACCATGTTGGCCAGGATGGTCTCGATCTCTTGACCTCATGATCCACCCACCTCGGCCTCCTAAAGTGTTGGGATTACAGGTGTGAGCCACCGCGCCCAGCCCCCTTTTTTTTCTTAGACTGACTCCTGCTCAATCCCTCACCTGAAGTCTCAGTGACCTGGTTACTTTCCCATTTATCTTAAGTGTGAAGGCTAGGTCTTGACATAATACTTCCATGGGTCTGAAAGGTATAGAGTAGAGTAGGGCTCCTCTTACCTTTTAAAAATTTAAGCTCTATATTTTTGTAGTAGGTGAATTACTAACAATGACCATTTACTGGGGACTTTCTATGTTCTAAGTTCTGCCAAATTCTACTAGGCACTGGGCTAGGTCCTCCATGTACCCTATTGCTAATTCTCAAAATAACCCTTCAAGGATGGCATTGCCATCTTCTTTCAGCTAGATTCTTGGTCTCAGAGAGGGCCATGGATAACTCAAGGTTACATAGCTACTAAATAGCAGAGCTGGGATGTGAACCCATTTGTTTTTTTCTGATTCCAAGGAGCTAAATGTTTCTACCAGACAGCCTCCCCAACACTGCTTATGATTTTTAGCAGCTCTGTCGTGGTTGGCCCCTATTAAGCTTGTGGTCAGTTTTAAAACTTGCATTTTTTAAAAATAAGTGATTGTTAAAATGCGTCCTGTTTCAGTGTGATTGTCCTTTTGATCCCAAAGGCAACACTTCACATTTATTGGCAGCCTAGTCTGCTGAGAGGTCCTTATTCTGTCACGCCATTATTCTTCCCCTTTGACTCCCTTACCCATTTGTTACCTGTGTCTTTTGTGTCATTAGCTTACTGATAACTATGCTAACTGGATCACGATTCTGTCTGTCATCTTCCAGGTGCCATTGACCCCCCTTTTCCTTATGTCAATTGCCAACTTTAAATCGACAGGCAGAGCAAGTGTCTTATTTCATTATCTAAACACAGGACATGCAGATACCATCAACATCCCACCTGAAGTCCACACTGTCATCTGTGTTGGTGCAATTTATTGGCTCAGATGAGGCAGCCCGCCTGTCCACATCACCCACAGCCCCCCAAGTCTCAGGCACAGGAAGCCCTCAAGGGCAGAGATTGGGGTCCTCCTGCTCTTAGTGTCTTCCCCCAGTGCTGTGTTCAGACTCCATGAGTCACTCCATGAGGGTGACTCAGTGCCTCGCATGTTTGCTGGCCTTGCCTTCTTTGAAAGTCATCAGACATGATAAACTGAAGGAAGTATCTTAATATGAAACCGACAATGGTAGGACTTTCAATGGACAAACAATTCCTTTTTAAAAAGTTTCAGAAATGGGCCCAGGTATCTTCCAGCCTGCTAAAAAAGTAACACTGTGAATTTCCTTCCTCCTTTTAACACTTTTGTCCCCACCCCAAGGACACCCCCAAGAAATTCAGTGAAGCCCCACTCTGCGGTGACTGGCTAGACGTCCTGCTGCAAGCCCAGTACGTGAGAGACTGCTGGAGGCGGGCGGAGGAAGGGCTGCTGGACTCACACAGGGCCATCTCACCCGGCCAGAAGAGGCAGTCTCCAGGCCTTGGTGAACAGACAGCAGAAGGTAGGGGGGACGGCCAGGGCGGCCTGCTTTTCCATTTAAAGGCTGCGGTCACCCCATGTGAACGCAGAGCCCCTCTGTAGGAGGCAGGCTCTTGCCTCAGCCCATGACTGGTTGTCTTTTCCTTGGGCATCTTGCAGGTTCCCTGGCAGGTCACAGAGTCTCAGGTGCCCTGGAAGTGTGTGGGGTGCTCGGGAGCCTTAGGCAAGGAGCACATTCTGAATGCAGCTGACACAAGCACAGAATGATAACATCAACGCCATCTGGGGAGTCGCTTGAGCCCATTCCCTGCGCAACACCACTTTCATTCTCACCACCTCAGCTGGCAGACATGATCACCTCTGCTTCACAATCAGGAAGACCAAGGCTTAGGGTGACTGGGTGGCTTGTGCGATGCCACAAAGCTACCAAATAGCAGCGCCAGGCTTTGGATCCAAGTCTAGTCACTCATCCGCTTATTTAACAAATGTTTATCGAGCATTGACTATGTGCCTGCCCCTGTTCTAGGGGGATTCCAGTGGGGAAGACAGACACTAAAACCACAAACAATTGAGTCTGCAACATCATGCTGGGGATCGGAAGGTGCTATGAGGAAAGACAAAGCTGGGTAAAAAGACAGGATGACAGGGTGGAAGACTGCCATGCTAGGTAGGGTGGGTGAGGGCCTCTAAGTGGGGGGACATTTGAGCAGTGACCTGAATGGAGGAAGGGAACAGGCATGCAGAAATCGGGGCACAGAATGTGCAACAGTAAGTGCAAAAGGCCTGAGGTGTGAGCCTGCTTGCTGCATCTAACAACAATGAGAAGGCCAGGAGCGGTTGGGAAGGGAAATCGTGGTGGGAGCTGAAGTCAGTGAAGAAACTGAGGCCAGACCCTGGAGGATCTTGGGAGCCATGGTAAGGACACTGGCTTTGAGAGAGATGGGAGTATTTTGAGGAGAGGAATGGGCTCGATCTATTCCTTTGAAAGCTAAGTTGAGCATTTTTTTTTTTTTTGCTGATCAAGACAAAGCTACTCCAAATTGAACAACAGTTAATGTGGAGGTGGCGCCAGGAAGCCGGGAGTCTGTTGAAAGGGTCTGGGAAAGAAAGCTGGGGCAAGGGACCTTGGGAAGCCAGAATGAGGGCACAGCACACTCCACGACACAAACTACCCACGTTGTCATGACAACCAAATGGGCCTGCTGCCCAAGGTGATGTCTGCTTGGTGAAATGCATTGCAGCCTCACCAGGAGACAGCCTCTGGCTGCTTCTGATATGTTCTGAGGCTTGGCTCATCAGTAACCTCTGAAGAGAAATAGGGGCTGGGAACTCAAAGGGAACCAAATAAAAGCCACTGAGCAAGAACAGAAGAAGAGGGAGTAACTACAAAGGGCATTTGAGTTTTGTAGGTCTCCATCCCCACGGGGACTCTGGCCAGGGACAGAGCCTCCCATCACCTGACAGGAGGCACAGGGAGCCCTCCTTTCAAGGACAGGATTCTGGCTGGGACAGCAGCACAGGAGCTCACAGTGCCGAGTGGCCTGCGAGGTCACACTGTTCATCTGTGGGGAGGCAGCTGCCTCCAAAGCAGTACAAAAGCAAGAGAAGGGTTTCACTCAGTGGCTGTAGGTCTGAATGGCACACAGGAAGAAGCCCTGAGCAGTCAAACAGTAACTGAAGCTTCAAGTTGGGAGGACGCACAGACGCACAGTCCCAGGCTGACCTTATCTCTGAAGTCACGGGTGTTTTGGAATTAGCCGTGCAAGGACCAGAGGGGCTCTTGCTGGGAAGGCCAGTCAAGATGTGGACCCCCTCCTTCCTGACATAATTTCTACTGGAAAGATCTCTGCAACTCCTTGTCCCACTTCCCCATGCCCTCCTCTCAAACGCTCTCTCTCCCACGCAGTTATCTGATATTTGAAATGTGCAGAATAGTTTTTTTGGTTCAATGGTTCTCAACTGGGGGTGCACATCAGAATCACTTAAGGAGCTTGTAAAAGCACACAGACAGCTGGGCCCTACTCCAGACCTACTGAGTTAAAATTTGTCAATAGGGTCCCCTGGTGATTCCAATGCTCACCCCTTGTTAAGAAACACTGCTTATGGCTTCAAGCCCAGTTTCAATGCAAGTACTCTGTGCAGAAGTTACTGAGAATACAGGCCCTACAGAAGTTTAGATAGGATGGTGTGTAGGAGCCAGCACGTCCCCTACATGCCTGCCTGCTTTCCAGACATTTGGGAGCCACTGTGATAAAAGTAAATAGGGCTTCAGGGGTTTGCAACCAGGAAAGCACACTCTCTGTAAGGTTGAAACTGCCTGCATCGGGCCCTTGTAGGTGCTTGATAAAATCTGAATAACCATAACCATCGCACAGCTGCTACATGGGTTAGGAACTTCATATGTATTGTCTTGTATAATCTACAACTCCCACTCCAAGTGGGGAAACTGAGCTTTGATAGAGGAAGTAATCGCCCAGGATGGCACTGCTGGTAAGCAGAGCTAGTGGGAGAACTGGCTCTGTCCGATTTCAAAGCTGGTGCTCTTTCCTCTGTAAGTGATTCCAATAATGAAGGAAGCCACAGGGCAGATTATTGAAGTCTGTATTGACTCGTCGTTGGTATTTGAAGGTGTTGCTCTTTTCCATGAATGCCTTTCAGATCTGGGGCTGGGGCTGAGAGACAGTCTTAGTGTCTTCCCCTGGTGCTGGCCTGTGAAGTCTGCCCTTTAATAACCGAAATCCATGACCTGTGCCCCAATCCCATATGGCATTTGCAGCTTGCCTGCTAGGTGTGAGGAGCTATATACCCACTCTCCAGGGTCAGCCCACAGAATGCCCACAGCCAGCCTGTTCCATGCCCTTGGCTGGACTAGGAATCCTAAAGAAGATGATGTTGAAATTTCCAAGCATTCACCAAAGCCAAAAGGGGCCCTCTGGGCCTCTGTAGAGCAAAGGCTGTGGGGCCCACATGGCTGTCACCTAACCAGTGCCCTGCGTGGGAAGGGGAAGTGAGTTATGTGGCTCTACCATGGCAGACAAGACATCAGAGCCAGGAGGCATTCCAGGTGGTCGTCTTGGCCATCCAACTACCCAACTAATGATTCATTTGCTGAATACCCACTCTGGGCCTCCTTGGGGCTCAGCTGTCTCACACAACCATAGATCACTTCAGCCTCACCTTGTTTGAGAAGACAAAGTGTCTATTCTTACGGAGATTGATGGTGTTCATAGCTCAATTACCACAATGGTCAGCAGCTCAGAGGCAAAGATTCTGGCTTCCCAATCAGACCATTTCCTGTTTAATGGCTCAAATTTACTGTCAGCTGGAGCCGTCACATGCCGACGGGTGCTCAGTGCTGCCATCCATCCTGGTGCTGATTTTGTAACACCTTAGCGGACCCAAGCATGCCCAGATTTAAGGGTGTGCTGAATGACCCTGCGGACACATGGCTGTACCTGATAATTTCTTGGGCACACTCACCCCCACTGCCACAGACCCTGCGCTCACTGCCACTGCCTTCCCCTCAGGAAGAGCAGGGCACTCTGTGAGAAGATAAATGGCTGTACTTTATTACAATCAGAAACGTGCCAGATGCCTGCTTGTAGCAAAACCCAGGCCCTGACAGTCCCCTCATAGAAGGCCATCCACCATCTCTTCCTGTGTGAGTAATCTTCCCTGCTACGACTGTGGGCCTCTCTGTCCAAGGTTGTCCCCCAGGGATGGCGGCCTCTCTCCTTCAGATCTGCTCCTTCTCACCAGCATGTTCTCTGTGGAGGAGGCAGACTGTAAAGTCAGAGGGTCAGCGTGTACTAGGGTCAGTCGGCAATATAAAGGAGACCCTAGGGCCATACACCATACACAGGGAAGACATTCCTAATCTTATTACTGCTTGAACTTGGCATGGATCCTATTCATGGTCACCTCTGTTCAAATGGGAGCTCTCTCTCATCTCTCTCCACGACTCCTTCTGCTGGAACCCCAGATCCATCTTTTGGTTACTGGTCTGCATTTCTCTTATCACCACCACTAAGAGCCTGGCTCGGTGATTTCTGGGTCTGACCCACAAGGTTCCCCTTTTTCCCTGGTGCACAGCACCTCTCCCAGCCTACCCCTCCAGGGGCAGCCTTCCAGTCCACTGTGACTTTCTCTCTCCTCCATTGGAAGTGTGCCTGAAGTTCTGAACTCAGGTTTCTCTCAAAGCTCTGAGTACCTTGGCAGTTCTCCCTCCTGTCACTTAAGCCTCATGGACTCGTGGTGACCATATGGCTCAGTGCAGTGGCTTCTTAGAGACATTAGTAGGAAACTTGGCATGCCTACAGTCCAGCTGCATCTTTATTGCACTGGACCAGCCAGGGGGCAGTGTTCTCAGGATGCATATGATCTTTTGGGGAGAGCAGTTTTTCTTGCACCTATAAGAGCCAGCACAGGCATTCTTCCTATGAAAACCTCTAATGAAGATGGTTAGTAGGGTTCCATTGATTCTCTTGACTGGCTAATTAGAGAAATTTCAGGAGTTTTAAAAATTGAGTTGTGGATCCTTCATCAAGCTGTCTCCCTCTTCTTTTGGAAAACATACCTGCTACTAGCCAATTTGTAAATTAATCCTTTCATTTGGCAATAATTTATCATATATTGGAGTCAAAAGTGAGTTCTGAGACAGACCACACAGTAGAACTGGCACATTTTCAAAGTGAAATGGCGAGAGCTGGCTAGACAACCCAAACACTCACATCAGCATTTGAAAAGGGCCAAAATAAATGTTTGACAAGAATTCCTTTAAAAAGAGCTAGCAGTTTGCCTAAGCCTACCTCCTCTCCCTCCTTGGGGGTGGTGTGTGTGGAGATGCTTCTTCCTCCCTCAGGGGCAGTGAAGGAGCCCGAGAGACCACGCAGAAAGTTTGCTGAGAATTCTCGGGGATCTGTGTGGGTGCTGGGGGTGGGGGGCAAGAAGGCCAGAGTGCACTACTGTCGATTTTTATTCAGGAGCTCTAGAGGGTGGGGCATGGGCTGATGATCTGCTAGTGGCAAGAGCAGGGTTACTACTGTGTTTCTGTTGACCCAACATGGGCTATAAGCACAGAAGAGAGGGAGGTTAGGGGCATTTTGGATCAGTGGTGTGCTGGTAAGTGTTTAACAACCAGCTCTCTGGAAGAAAAAAGCCCTGATTTTCAGTGTTTGCCAATTTTTGGGGTACAAATATTCCTGTTCAGTCTACCAACATGATGTTCCTGAATTTGGAGTTGGGAAAAAATGTACACGATCAGCCCTTGTGAGCCAGTGGGAGCTGGCTCCAGCACGCCTCTGAGCTCCTCTACCACAACACTTGACACTTACATTCTTTCTCACGGGGCCACCTAGAGGGGCAATGGGAATGCAGGAGAAGGAAACCTGGAGGCGGGCAACCTGGGGGTGGTATGCTGGGCCTATTCCTAGCTCATTGACTTCTCCACCCTCTTTTACCTTCCTTACACCCTCTGCCTTCTGTCTGGGCTCCTCCAGTGGGGAACAGCAGCAAGTAACTGGAGGGTAGGAGGAGAGAGAGGCCAAGCTGTTTCTTCATGGGAGACTTCTCTGCGGGGGTCACAAGCTGGACACATGGCTTGACTGAAGGTCACAGCTCGTATCAGATGGCCAGGGCCTTTCTGCACAGCCCTGACAGTCTTTAAATTCTAGTAACTTTTCCCTGTCTTGTCCAGGCCTAGGGACAGCAATGCTTCCTGCCTTGCTGCAGTGACTATCTCTGGGGTGCTCTCCCTTGCAGTTTCCCTACACTCTGCTTATGCCTCTGTAGATAGGTCTTTATCCAATTCTCTTCACAACGTCTCATCTGAGTGCTGACATCTGCTTCTTGTTAGGACCCTGACCCATATAGATTCAAATTGGGTAAGGAACCGCCCAATAAGGCACATTCCCTCAAGTTAAGGGACCTGCTGGTGAGGGATCTCCAGAGACCCATGAAACCACCCCAAATTAGGAAGAGTCTGCTTTGAATATCTACCAGGCCCAGAGAGTCCAAGGCCACATTACAGCAGAACCATTCAAGTGAGATTTTACCAATGGCCCTTCCTCCCTTCCTTCTTTCCTCTAATCCCTTCTTGAGGAAATCGAGCCTTAGCAGGCTAAGGAAGGGAGGGAGTTAGAAAGAGAGATGACTATTTCCCTCTCCTCCTCACAGTTGGCCTGAGTTGGGGTAAGGGAGAGAAGTCTTATCTCTTGATGAAATTGGAATTATTAAGATTGCAATTACTATATAAAATGACCACTCTTTTTGGTTTGTAATTAACAATGAATGACCAATTCAGTTATGGGGTTGATCAATTTCCATCCAGGGGCAGAGGAAGAACTTTCCCTCCTATGAAGATGGGAAGAGACGGTGGGAGAACAACAAAAAAGTAACCTTCAGGGCACTTCCCTGTATCACTCATGTCAGGCACACCACCAACAGCTATTAAGTCCCTACCAAAAATTACAATGCGCCTGGAGAAGAAAATAAGTGGTAAATTTTCTGTTTTCACCTTTAAGTAAAATGATCCTGACATAAATGGTAGTAAGGAGAATTAAGATTAATCAGAATTGAATTGGGATTCACTTTTTACTACCACTTCTATCACAATGATTCCACTAAAACAGTAATTTTTATTTGATCTATGAAGCCTTGGAATCTAATCCTTCATAGAGTTCTGGGAATTATTATAAACCATTGCAAACACAAAAAGTTCAGAGAATGAGATAAATAACACCCATGTACTGACTATATTTTGAAATATCTAAATAGTTTGCTGCAGTTTCATTTTTTAATTTTAAATAGAATATTACGGAATTGGTAGAAGCATCCTTCACAATTCACTCTACCCTTTCTCCTGGGCAGGCTCCTGGCTCTTTACAACAGCTCCCTAATTATTTCTCAAATAGATATCAGGATTTTCAAAATACCACTTAAAGCTTTCTGTTGGTTATTTGCACCCATCATTTGTATTTCAGCACAGCCAACCTTGGTTTCCTGTTGGTTGTTCTTTCCCAAACTAATCATCACCTTCTCTGGGGAGATGGGAAAGTCTTACCCAACTCCATTACACATGCAACAGAACTGTTCCTAGGAAACACCGAGGCCTTTCTTGGTCCGAGATTTGCCGAGCACAGATGGCGATTTTCATCATGTGTAAAGGAAAAAGAGGACAGATAGAGGGGCCAGCCATAATACATTCTAGTCTAGCAGATGAGATGCAGAGGCTAGAATTTTGTCTTCTATATGTTTGGTCAAATGCCTAATTTGCTCAAAGCAGCAGCCATGATTTCTGCACAGTTGCATGATGAAAAAAATGGCTCTGGCAACTGGTAACAAGATCATCTGGGTTCAGCGCTTAAAGGAATAGACAGCCCCTTCTTGGATGTGATTGCGTTTTTTTGCAAGAAAGAGTAATCAATGGTGTCTGTGAGTAAATATGGCTAGAGCAGTGTAGTGACTGTGTCTTGTGGAGGCCTTCAATGCTGCTGGTGGCCCAGAGCCATGGTCAGCTCTGTGGCAAGGAGTCTGAAATTGTCTCTGTTTGCTGATGACTTGAGTTTATATATAGAAAACCCTAAAGACTCAACCAAAAAACTTTTGGTTGATAAGTGAGTTCAGTAAAGTTACAGGATACCAAATCAGCATATAAAAGCCAGTAGCATTTCTATATACTAACAACAAACTATCCGAAAGAGAAATTAAAAAAAAATTCCATTAATGATAGTAACAACAACAAAAAACCCAAAGAACAAACAAACAAAAATTGGGTGTAAATTTAACTAAGGAGGTATAATTGAAAACTATAAAACACTGATGAAAGAAATGGAAAAAAACCACAGATAAATGGAAAGATATATTGTATTCATGGATTTGAAGAATTAATATTGTTAAAATATTCATACTACCCAAAGCAATATATAGATTCAATGCAATCCTTATGAAAACTCCAATGTTATTTTTTTACAGAAATAGAAAAAAAATCCTAACGTTCATCTGGAACCACAAAAGACCTTCAATAGTCAAAGTAATCTTGAGCAAAAGGAACAGAGCTGGAGGCATTACACTCTCTGTTTTTAAAATTTACTACAAAGCTATAGTAATCAAAACAGCAGGGCACTGTGATAAACAGACACATTGACCAATGCAACAGGAGAGAAAGCCCAGAAATAAACCTACATATTTATGGCCAGTTGATTTTTGACCAAGGTGCCAAGATCATACATGGGGAAACAACAGTTTCTTCAATAAAAGGTGTTGGGAAAACTGGATATCCACATGCTCAAGAATAAAATTGGATCCCTATCTCAAACCATAAAGAAAAATTACCTCAAAATAGATGAAAGACTTAAATATAAGATCTGAAACTGTAAAACTACCAGAAAAAAACATAAGGGGAATAGTTCAACAACATTAATCTAGGCAATGATTTTCTGGCTGTGACCCTGAAAGCACAGACAACAAAACAAACTTGCACAAATTGGATTATATCAGACTAAAACGCTTTTGCACAGCAAAGGAAACAATCAACAGACTAAAGAGATAACCCAGAGTGGAAAAAAATATTGGCAAACCATACATCTGATAAAGGGTTTATATTCAAAATATATAATGGACTCAAGCAACTCAACAGCAAGAAAACACATAACCCTATTAAAAAAATGGGCAAAGGACCTGAACGGAGATTTCTCTAATGAAGACAAACAAATGGCCAACAGGTTCATAAGAAAATGCTCAACATCCCTAATCATTAGGGAAATGCAAATTAAAATCACAATAAGATAGCACCTCACACCTGTTAAAATGGCTATAAGAAAGATGAAAGATAAGTGTTGGTGAGGATGTGGAGAAAAGAGAACCCTTGTACACTGTTGGTGGAAATGTAAATTGGTACAGTTGTCATAGAAAGCAGTATGGAGGTTGTTCAAAATACTAAAATAGAACCACCATGTGATCCAGCAACCTTGCTTCTGGGTATACATCTGAAGGAACTGAAATCAGTATGTTGAAGAGATATCTGCATTTCCATGTTCATTGTAGCATTGTTCACAATAGCCACGACATTGAATCAACCCATCAACAGATGAATGGATAAATAAAATGTGGTATATATACACAATGGAATACTATTAACCCTTAAACGAGAAGGAAATTCTGTCATTTCCAATAACATGAATGAAACTGGAGGACATTATGCTAAGTTAAATAAGCCAGGCACAGAAAGACAAATAGTGCATGATCTCACTTATGTGAGAATCTGAAATAGTTGAACTCATAGAAATAGAGGCTAGAATGGTGGTTACCAGGGGTGGGAGGTCAGGAGAGGGAGATGTTGGTCAAAGGGTACAAAGTTTCAATTAGATAGGAGGAATGTTTTTGAGATCTATTGCACAGCAGTGTGAACACAAGGAGTAATAATGGACATTTCAAAATTGCTGGGAGTAAATTTCAAATGTCTCACCACAAAAAAAATCATGGGTGAGGCAATGAATATGTTAATTAGCTTGATTTAAACATTCTACATTGTATACACATATCACAACATCACAATGTACCCCCAAAATATATACAATTATGGCTTTTCAATTAGAAATAATATTAAGAGAAGCAAACAAAAATACCAAAAATGGTTGAGTAATGAATGGCAAATTTCCTCTCTCTGCTTGAGCTGGGACATCGATCTCCTGCCCTTGGACGTTGGCACTCTGGCACTCAGGCCTTTGGACTCAGACTGGGACTTACTTTTTTGGCTGCCCTGGTTCCCAGGCCTGCAGGATTGGACTAGAACTACAGCTAGACTTTCCTGGGCCCGCAGCTTGCAGATGGCAGATCATAGGATTTCTCAGCCTCCACACTGAGTGAGCCAATTCCTTCCAAAAAATCTCTCTCCATATATCAATATATTTCCTATTGGTTCTGCTTATCTGGACAACCCTGACCAATACACAGGGTGAATGCTCTTTTTGCTAAACCACAGTTGCTATTGCAGGCTGGCACCAGGGCTGACATAGAGTCTTCCTCTGCCCTCCAGAATGGTTGGTGCAGGAGCCTTAAACCACTCAATGGGTCTGAACCCTTGGCAGTTGGGAACTGGCAGGGAAATGGTGTGCAGGCTCCTCCTCACTCCCAGCCTCTCCCTTGAGCATGGAAATTCGGCTAAGGACCTCATGTCACTGAGGATGGCCCTATATTCACAAGCAACTGTGGATTAGAATTAAGTGGTGAGACACACTGTTGATGGTTTTACAGAGTTACCTGAATTCTTTTGGAACCAACTGAGATGTTATCTCAGCCTTAGAGGGCAGCTGCATCCTTTATATCCTGCCTTATTTCAAGGAGTCAACAATTTTATTTCTGAGAGGGTGAAAACATCTGTAATCCATCCAAGCTCTCCCATGTCTCCGCACCAAGGTTGCGAGTGTTTTCTGCATGTCTGAAGGAAGCCTGCCTTCACAGAGGTAATACTGTGACACTTGAGGGCTGTGGAGTGCTAGAGATTCATCTGTTCATTCAACAAGCAGTCAGTGAAGGCCAGCTAAGCCTCAGGAACTGTGCCCGGCACTGGGCTATCATCTGGTCCAACCACGTCATTTTACAGATGTAGAAACCTGAGCGCAGAGCCCCTCAGCTGCTGGCACATCTTTAAGGCAAAAATGTGATGCCTAAGTTTCACTCATTCATTCAATAAACACTTATGGAGGACCTACTGCGTGACAGTCACTGTGCTTGGTGTTGGGGAAAGAAAGACAATCTGTCCAGTGTGGGAGACACAGACTAATCATCACTGTCTAGTGTGACTAGCTGCATCACAGAGGGATATGCAGAGTTCTGTGTGAGCCCAGAGGGAGCTGAGATAGCTCTGGGGAGGGGAAGTTTGGACTATCTGACTTTGGAAATGTTTTAAACAGAGCCATGATATTGGAAGAAAGAAGATATATTAAAAGCTGCAGAACTCTTTCTTCAAATACAAGCTTAATGGAAAGAAAAAAAAAGATCTGAAGTTGTTTTGGTTGAATTTGAGTGGGCGAGAATCCCAAAGCTGCGCTGTTTGCACAGTGGCTGTCCTCACCCTTGCCTCGTGGTCCTGAAGGGGCTGTGGAGACCATCTAGGCTGCACAGAGCACATTTTGCAGACCACTGGGCTAGAGGATGCTGGAAGATCCCCTTCCGTTGTTTTCTCTTTTTCTTTTTTATTTTTTTAAATTTGCTGTCTCCCAGGCTGTAGTGCAGTGGCTCACAGCAGTCTTGACTTCAAGGAATCTTCCCGCCTTAGCCTCCCAAGTAGCTAGGACTACAGGTATGTGCTGCTGTACCTGGCTAATTTTTTAATCTTTTCTAGAAATGAGGTCTCGCTATGCTGCCCAGGCTGGTCTCCAACTGCTGGCCTCAAGCGATTCTCCTACCTTGGCCTCCCAAAGTGCTGAGATTACAGGTATGAGCCACTGTGCCTGCCCTGCCGTCCCCCATCCCCCCCCAACCCCGGTTTCAGTTCAGTCTCAATCAGTGGCTCCTCTCCATATCCTTGGATTCCCAGTTTCACACACTGGATCATGCTAGGTGCTCAGTGAAATCTGGGGAATAAATGGTTGACAGTCTGGCCTTTTGCTTTCTCTTAAATTTGTTGTCCCTAGGTGCAGAACTGCAAAAAGCATTTCAAAACTCAGTCTTTACCAATTTTACATCAAATGGGAGAAAGTGGCATCAACAGCCGAGGCCTGTCTTTGAAGAACAACAGGGATGCCACAAGAGGTCACTGCAGGAATGCTGGTTGGGGGAAAAGAGCCCTCTCAGAGGACTAAACTAGAACAACGCAGTGAAACAGGGAGCCAGCAGCTTCAGAGCCTCTCTCCAACCCGTAAGGCCCTTGCAGGGGACTCAGAGCTGCCTCTGCCTGATTTCCCGGGTCAGGTAGTGAAACACCAGCCAGTGGCAATCCCAGGGCTCCACGTGGCATCACAGTCGAATGGCTTGTTCTTGGGGGCTGCTTTTGTTCAAGGAGATCTTTGTTCCTGGGGCAGTGAGAAGAGGGAGGAGGGAGGTGGAAAGAGGGGTAGTGCCCAAGAGGTAGTATTCGTGGGGGAATCTCAGCCATCCTTTGGAACTTGTTGATCTTAAGTTTAAGATATTTTCTTTTTTTAATTAATACTATCAGTATAACTATCTTCTATAACAGTATATGAAACATGCTCGCTGTCGAGGAAATGGGATGTTCCAGTAAGCTCTGTTTTCACAGAAGTTGGGTCAAGGGGTAAACGCAGAGAAGCGTAAATGCAGAGAAACCCCCATCCCGCACACAAACACACAAACCACACACACATATAACATGTACAACATATCCATACCACCAACACACCACACACACACACAAACCCACAAACCACACACACATACACACCACACACACAAGCACAAAACACACATACAACACATACAACATATCCAACATACCACATACACACATACCACGTGCCACATATACATACAATACATACAACATACCCACACTGCACACATACCACATATACACATGCATACAACATATATCCATACCACATACACACACACCACATGCCGCATATACACAGCACACACGTACATACACAACAGACACACGCATACACACACCCCAACTAACCCAAACTATTTCCCACTCTTCTCTGTGGTTCAGAATCCTGCCCATTCCTCAAGACTCAGCCCAGGCCTGTGGTCTTGGTGACAACCCCCCAGGGCCACTCCTTCTGGTAAGAACGGGAAGTTCTCATGGCCTGTCCCTCTCACCTGACACATTTCACATGCTGCTTGGTAGTGTGATGTATCTTTTAAATTTTAACCACAGGCACCTGTTAAGGGTTTTGATTGTGAACTGAACAAGATCCAGCCCTGATCAAATATTGCTTAGAAGAGATATTTGAGAGAGAGGCCACAGCCCACGTTCCTGGGGCTGGATTCTTCCAGTTTTAGTCCTGCTCTGTGTGGCCATCAGAAAGCTGAGTACCCGGATCCTATTATCTTGGCCGCTCACATAAACGCTTTCAGTGAGCTATGCTTTAATGTCAGGCCTCTAGCTTTTATAGAGGGTCGATACAAGAATCATCTGGTTGAATAACATTTCGGTATCTTTTGTAAAACTGCAGTTGAAGACATCGTTCACTGTGTCACTCAGTGTCCTTTATACAAGGATCCGCACGATAAATTCTGGCTTGTATTTAGTTCCAGGAAGAAATTCTATTTTCTGCAGATAAATTAGTTAGTATGCTTCCTGCTGTCAGAAAATGAAAACTATGTAACTCTGGGTGCCTCTTTTTTGCTTAGCAGCTAGACAAGAGAGAGCCAAATTTATTGCCTGTGTGTTGTAATTTGCTCAGCTGTGGAGTCCAAAAGCACTTATGCCTTCTACTTCTTTTAAATGGGCTTATTTTATTTTATGCTCAAATGTCTCATTGTGCTTTTGCAAAATGTGTGAGTCTGGAAGTCACCTGGGGAAGCATTCATCTGGCCATTGACTTGGCCTATTTATTGCTTGTGCTGGCTGCTAGGGATTCGAAGATGAATTTGACTGCACCCACCTTTCCTGGAGCTTACATTTTAGCATGGAGAATATATATGGAAATAAATAATTACAAAATAGGGTTGGTGCTTTAACAGAGACCCATGAGGCGGAGGCAAAAGCAGATTTTGGGAGAAGGGGTCAGGGAAGGCTTCACAGAGGAGGTCAATGTTGAATTGGTTTTGTGGCTACAGTGGGAAGAGGACAGTGAATGGAAGAATGTAGGTAGCTGAATCTGATACTTAAAAAAAGGAGTTGTCTTTTTATGCACATGTCAACTCATCCTGGTTAGATTGGAAACTCTTTGAGGGCAGGCACTGGATACAGCCCTCTGTGGATTCCATGATGCCTGGCAAAGTGCTAAGGGCAGTGCAGCGTGATGGCTGGAACACTGCTGTGGACCCAGGCTACTGGCCTTGCATCCACAGCGGAGCAAAGTTAGGCAGGTTTCCTTAACCCCTTTGGGCCTTAAATGTAAAGTGAGGATAATAGTAACATCTACGTCATTGGGTTGTGAGCATTAAAGAAAGAAACACATGTAGAGAACTTAGTAACATGCCTGGCACATGGTAAAGTACTCAAGAAACATTTGCTGATTAGTCTCATCTGCATTATCAACAATACTAAATCATTTGGGGTCGATAGTACAGTAAAGTGGTAAAAACACACACAACTGAATTCAGCAAAGCACTCTCAGCTCAGCTAGCTGAATCTAGTTAAGTTAGTATCATTTCCAACTGACGCCTAATTTAAAAATAACATTGTTCTATTGTTTCCTGAAATAGTGTGTGGGAGTCAGCCCTCCTATAAGCCCTGATGATGTTCTTAGAGATGGTTATTGATGTTTGTCTTAAAAGACACCCCCAGCTCTGACTGTCACATCTAGGGAGCTCACAAGGTACAATGCTTCTTCAGCCTCCTTTTTGTCTTCATTAGTTCTCCTGTCCACTAAGTTTTAAAAGGACCAGGGTTCGGTAGATGTTTATGTTTCCTGATGTATCTTGGGTGAGTTGTAAATGAAGAAAGAACCATAGTCTTGACTTTCAGCCAGGAAAGAGAGTAGGAATCCTTATAAAAGCACATGCACAGTCACGCGTGTGTGCACATGCACGCGCACACACACACACGCACACACCCGGCCATGAAAGGGCCATCCATATGCCATTGGTGTGGTGGCAAATGTTTAACAGCCACTCTTTGGAAAAAAAAAAAAGCCACATTTATAATACTTGCCAATTTCCTTGGTGTAAATATTTCCAGCATGGCTGATTTGAAGCCACCAGTATGATCTCGCTAAATGTGGATTTGGGAAGAGAGGCACCGCAGCACCTCGTCACACAGTGTTCCCACCACACAGATACAGTGGATACAGATCACTTCAAAAGCACAGATAATAACACAATGTAGTAAATTAACTAGGAAGTGGTGAATTTTGAGTATTTGTTACCTTTGTTTCTTAATATAACATTTAATTGTAAACTTATCTAATTTAATTTTAATAACATCTTTGTTTAAAAACGGCTCCCCACATTCCTGGAGTACTAACAGTTTATGCTTTTATGGACTGAGCCAGCTCAGCACACCACTGGGAATGGCTTATCATCATCCATGAATGATTTCTTCCAAATGGTGCCTCTCACATTACCACTAAATCTTTGTTCCTTTGGGATATGGGATTGCCTTTATAGAAATTTCCCTGGGCACACATCTACTTACACATCCAGAGACATATTCTTATGCAAAACATATAAGAAAAACTCTCCTGATCCAACTTGCTCATCACCCTTCCCCACGACAAACCCAAACCGATCACACCCACACTTTCATGAAACCATAGGAACATGTAGGCAAAAGAAAGAAACAATAACAGAGGAAATACTGAGAATGGAGAGTGAGAGAAAGTGAAAAGAAGCAGACAAAGGGAACAGAATGAAAAGGGTGATGGTAGTAGAAGATACACAAAAAAGACAGAAATGAAAGGGGGCGTACCACTGAGTCACTTCTTTACTCTTAGATCTGAAGCCTGAATTACAAAACATCAGGGAATCCAAATACACCGAGTAGGCTGCCTTTACTCTTACCGGAGCCCTCTGTCCTAGCCTTCAGCCCAACTGCTGGGCTGAAGGGCGAGAGTTAAGGTTCTATAAGCAATCTGTCTTGAGAGGTTTCTCTCAATGAGGAGAATTCCCATCTGAAATGCGGCCACCTGGGACACACAAGCTCTGGCAGTTCCAAATCTCCATCAGACAACCTCCTAAGGAGCTTGGACGGCAACATGGCATTTAATCTCAGAATGGCAGCTGGGAGATGTTGACACTTCTTCTCTAATTGGGATAGTATGCTTTTAAAATAAATAGGTATTTCAAATGCTCTTAATTAGACTTCCAGCCAAAGTGCTTTCTGTTTGAAGTTTGCTGATTACTTCAGGCAAAGCTAGGCGCTACTGAACCTAACACCTGCTGTAATTCAGAAGACTCCCAGAGAGATGAGCAGAGGAATTAAGGCACAAGCCTGTGATTGAAAACATACAGCAGTTTTCCAAAGGCCCAGGAAGTGTCTGCCCCAGCTGGAAGGACCATCCCTGGGAGGGGTGGGGACTGGGCAGCAGAGAGGATGGAAGATCTCTTGCCCACAAAGTCATGGAAATGGCTTCCCAGACCGAAGATGAAAATTGCCCCTAGAGTTGAGTGGTATTTTTCACATCATTGTTTGTTTATTTTTAAATTTCCATTTTTAAATTTTAGATTCAGAGGTACATGTGCAGGTTTATTACAAGGGTATATTGCATGATGCTGAGGTTTGGGCTTGTATTGATCTCGTCACGAAGGTAGTGAACCTAGTAACCAATAGGAAGTTTCTCAGCCCTTGCCCACTTCCCTTCCTACCTCCTTTTGGAGTCTCTGGTGTTTGTTGTTTCCATCTTTATGTCTGTGTGAACTCAAGATTTAGCTCCCACTTACAAGTGAGAACATGCGGTATATGGTTTTCTGTTCCTGCGTTAATTCATTTGGGATAATGGCCTGCAGCTGTATTCATGTTGCCGCAAAGGATGTGATTTTGTTTTTTTTTATGGCCGTGTAGTGTTCCATGATGTGTACCACATTTTCTTTATCCAATCTGCCATTGATGGGCACCTAGATTGATTCCATGTCTTTGCTATTGTGAATAGTGCTGCAATGAACATAAGTTTGAGTGCCTGTGTCTTTTGGTAGAATGATTTATTTTTCTTTTGGTATATAGCCAGTAATGGGATTGCTGGGTTGAATGGCAGTTCTATTTTTAGTTCTCTGAGAAATCTCCAAACTGCTTTCCAGAGGAGGTGAAATAATTTGCATTCCCACCAGCAGTGTATAAATATACCCTTTTCTGTGCAACCTTGCCAACATCCGTTATTTTTTGACTTTTTAGCAATAGCCATTCTGACTGGTGTGAGATGGTATCTCGTTGCGATTTTGATTTGCATCTTTCTGATTATTACTGATGTTGAACATTGTTTTGTATGTTTTTTGGCCACTTGTATGTCTTCTTTTGAGAAGTGTCTGTTCCTGTCTTTGCCCACTTTTTAATAGGGTTCTTTTTTTCTTATTGATTCATTTAAGTTCCTTATCGATTCTGGATATTAATCCTTCATTGGATGCATAGTTTGCAAATATTTTCTCCCATTCTGTAGGTTGTCTGTTTACTCTGTTGAGAGCTTCTTTTGCTGTGCAGAAGTTCTTTAGTTTAATTAAGTTCCATTTGTCTATGTTTGATTTTGCTGCATTTGCTTTTGGGGTCTTCATCATAGATTCATTGTCTAGACCAATGTCTAGAAAAGTATATCCTAGGTTTTCTTCTAGAATTTTAACAGATTGAAGTCTTACATTTAAGTCTTTAATTCATCTTGAGTTAATTTTTGTGTATGGTTAGAGGTAGGAATCTAGTTTCATTCTCTGCAAACGGTTAGTTTTCCCAGCACCATTTATTGAATAGGGTGTTCTTTCCCCATTGTTTATTTTTGTTGACTTTGTTGGAGATCAGTTGGTTGTAGGTGTGCAGCTTTATTTCAGGAGTCTTTGTCTTGTTCCATTGGTCTATATGTCTGGTTGTGTACTAATACCGTACTGTTTTGGTTACTGTAGCCTTGTAGTTTAGTTTGTAATGGGTAATGTGATATCTCCAGCTTTGTTCTATTTGCTTAGGATGGCCTTGGCTATTTAGGCTCTTTTATGGTTCCATATGAATTTTAGAATAGTTTTTTTTTCTAATTCTGTGAAAAATGACATTGGTAATTTGATAGAAATAGCATTGAAACTGTAGATTGTTTTGGACATTTAAACAATATTGATTCTTCCAATTCATGAGCATGGAATGCTTTTCCATTTGTTTGTGTTGTCTATGATTTCTTCCAGCAGTGTTTTACAGGTGTCCTCATAGAGATCTTTCACCTTCATCATTAGATGCATTCCTAGGTATTTTAATTTTTTTGTGGCTATTGTAAATGGGTTGCATTCTTGATTGTCAGCATGAAAGTTTTTGGTGTCTGGAAATGCTACTGATTTTGTACATTCATTTTGTATCCTGAGACTTTGCTGAAGCAGTTTATCAGGTCTTGGAGTCTTTTGGCAGAATCTTTAGGGTTTTCTAGGTATACGGTCATATCAGCAAAGAGAGATAACTTGACTTCTCTTCTGTTTGGATGCCTTTTATTTCTTTCTCTGGCCTAATTGCTCTGGCTAGGACTTCCTACGTTGCTATTCCTATTGAACCAGCAACATGAAGGCTGAAGAAGAGGGCAGATGTTTCAGGGCCAGGTGGCAGCCCTTGGGGACAACTCCATATCCAGGGACCTGCCAGGGTGAGCACGAAGCAGGATACAGAGGCCCATAAGGTCACCTTGGTACAGTTTTCCAGCAGAGGTCATTCTGCCTTCCCAAGCCTGGCCCAAGGAGTTAGGGCCCTGGGGCAGCCTGGCTCTTTGTTGAAGACACTTCGCAGAATCTCAATGCTAAGTGTGTGCCCAAGTCTCTGGCGCTGGGAGGGCAGTGTACCTGACCCCAGTCCCAGGGCCAACAGTGGGAAGCTCAGAGCTCCAGTTGCCGTGGCTTAGGTGCCCTTGTTCTATGTTCCTGATGTAATCAGCAGCTATTCTATATCATCATTATTACTACTGAAACGAAACAACCAACTTTCCTAATAATACAAATTACCAAAGTCAAATGAGCCATCGTCATGACTTTAGAGGCTCTCCTCTATTTCCCCACCATTGGCCCTGGGTGCTGGATTTCTCCGATTACAGGTAATTGAGGGCCCACACCATCTCAAGGGGAACTTTTTTTGTCTGGAATACATGAATTTCTTATTTAATCAAAGTTCTCCATAAATTGTTGGTCCCAGCTAGCTGGAGAGGAAATGAGGAGGTTCTACCCAGGATACCCACTCCACCAGTCCTCTGCAAGCTATACTCTTCTCCTAGGTGACTTCATTGGGTCACATATCAAAAAAGGGTGTTTTCTGCAGATGTCCACTGCTTAAAAGGTGCCAAGGGCCTCTTAGAATATGACTGTCCTTGTTTTGTATTTGCATTCTTCATGCGTTAAAGCGGGTTGATCATTGCAGTGGGCAGTAAATAGCATGAGGGCTAACAGCACCAAGCTTGGAACAGAACTGGGTTCAAATACTTGTTTCAACACTCACTGGCTACATGACCTTGGGAAGGCACTGCATCTCCCCCATCTGGTAAATGCACTTACCTCTTTGGACTGCTGTGGATGAAAGGAGACTGCATATGAGGCTGTGCAACAGACACGGGTCTGTAAACAAATGCTGTTTTCATCATTAACTATTTCTGTTAGGATTAGTTAGTAGTGGCTCTGAAAAGCTCAGATAGGACCTTGAGAATCTGGGACACAGTGGGTGAATTTAGGTGGGGATGTGGGGTGGGAAAGGAGGGGAGGATGAGGCAACAGCTGGAAGAGTAGGGTGCTGGGTGCTGATGGCCAGGCGCAAGAACACAGGCTGGGGAAACAGATCCTGTTAGAGGAGGGGCATCCAAGGAAAGCTGTGTGGATAGCAACCCTTGCCATCCTTAACCTCAGAGAGGGTTTTAAATGGGTTATCTTTTAGCTGGGTTTGGATTCCTAAAATCAGGTCAGTTTATATTACCTTCATCCTCTTCCTGCAGATTCTCTTTGTACCTACCTAGGGCTACTTGCTGTATATGCCGCTGGGTGATTTCTTCCTTCAGGTGACCTGCCAAAGACACAAAAGAAAACTACCAGTGGGTTTCCAATGGGCTGGAGGAAGACTGCCTCAGAAGCATGTGGCAAGCTACAGAAAAAAAAAAAAAAAGGTAGAGTAAGGGAAACAAAAGCAGGCATAGCTTCCAAGAAATGACCTTCCATGATTCCTAGATCGTGTTGGAAGAAGAGGTTGCAAAGGCCTAGGTGCTGGCACATCAGTGCAAACACACATTTCACCCTTGAGTTCAATCATCTTAGGATTCAAGTATCTTAGCCTGTCACCCATAACTTTCACTGAGGCCCCTATTCTCTTAAATGGTTCTTTCTATTATTAATAAAGGGAAAAGCAGAATTTGGTCTTTTAATAATATTTAGGCCTACTTTAAAATCCACATCTTTATTTAAGCTACATGAAACTGTGTCAAATAAAAAAAGATGGTGGTTTTAACTGACAATAACCCTAATAGTTGGTCATTTGGTGTGAAACTCATATAATTCTAGTTTACATTAATAAAGGTATGATGCACAGAGAACAGTGATAGTTCCCTTCAGGGAGGTGATAGTTCCACTCTGCTCTACAAGTGAGGAGACATCAGCTGGTATTTGTTCTGGGAGTTACTCTTCATAAGGAACATTTGCAAAATAGAAAATATTCAGAAGATGGTGACTGGAATGGTGAGGGGTCTGAAACCATGCCATCTGAGAAATATTTAAGGTGACATGAGACATTTAGATGTGAAGACAAGACTTGGAGAGGAGGAATGGAGATAATGGCTGTCTTTGAATATCTGAACATTGTCATATGAATTAGAAACAGCTTTATTTTTATCTTGCTCCTGAGGGCAGAAATCAAGTCTAATGAAAGCAGACTTGGGGCTTAATACAAGGAAGAAACAACTCACAATGAGGACTGTCTCAAAATGGATTAAATCTTCTGGCAAAGCAGTGAGCCCCTTCCTGAAAGGGTTCAAGCAGAAGCTGGGTGACCATCTGTTGGGTTGTTAGAGTGAGAATTCCTGCCCTGGGTAGGATCTGGGAGGCAATGACCTCCAGGCTTCCTCCGTCTCTAAAATTCCATGATTTCGTGCATGAAGGAGGGGTGAAACAGCAGCCCGGAGTTTGTTTATGTCCAAGGGCTCAGCACACTTGTTAAAATGTCAGTGCTGTCTGTATGGCATGTCCCATTTGGGGGATGTGATCAGGCCACTGGGGGATTCCAAGAAAGCCTGGAAAATTCATTGCTTCCTTGTTTAAGATATTTCTTTCCTCACATAAGTACATTCTATACCTCCAAGGCTATAGCTGAATTGAGTATTCAAAAGATGAGTAGATGAGGAAGCAGTCACAAGAGACTTTATCATTTATGGAGAGTTTTAGGGCACCTCTAGAATGTTATAATTGGGAGAGATGGCAGAGGTCATTCAGTTCAACTTTGCAGTCAATTTAGGAATCCCTTCTACAGAAGGAAATGGGCATTTCCCTTCTGACTTGTATGTATTCGAGCTATTCCATTAAGTTATATGTAAGGAATTAATTATGTGGAGTTGCATCTGCTTCCCTATAATCTTCAGCTATGTGCCTGGCCTGTTTTCTGGATCAGCACAGAAAAAGATCCTCTGTCATTGGCATAGGATCTTCACATATCTGAGGATGCTATGATTGATTTCTCTACTTCGACTTGCCCTTTATGGAGGTCAAACATCACCAGTCCTTAGGTAATACCTCGGAGGCCACTATCTCCAGACACATCATTGTCTTGGGAAAGGGTCTGGGGCACCTGCATGTCTGTGCCTTGGTTTCCATGTGTCCCTACTGGAGAGAATTATGCATAGAGAGCGTGGCAGGCATTGGGACTAAACAATAATTGCACCCTTATTCCATGTGGGGGAAGGGTGGGAACTTCAGGAGTGTGCTGAGGGGGATTTGGGGAAGTGGAAACTTGACCCAATGATGAGTATTGGTGAACCTGGATCCAACAGGAAAATGACTTGACACCTGAGCCAGCCACAGCCCCAAATGGATCTTTTCCCTACTCAGTGCAATTTGACCCTTATTGTCCATATAAGCAGAGTAAAGAAGTTGGGGACATAAGGCTGCTGCTGGACTGAGACTCTAGGCTGCATCAAACACTGCTGAATTAAATTTTAAGATGGGATAGCACATGCATGCTCCAAATAAAAGGAGATATTGCTGTGACAAATGCAACACACCATTTAGAAACATCTCTTGATTTAGAGTGAGTCATCAAAAGCTTTTTAATCCTGCAGTATGGAGAGTCAGTGGTGCTTTGGTGCCCTGCCTGTTTCCTGGGTATCCGGCACAGCCTTATACCACGAGCCTCTCATATGACTGGGTACTGCCTTCCTAATGAGCCTGGACAGTGGCTTGCTCCTTTAGAGCACACACTGGTTTGCACTGCTTCCTGGAAACTACCTCCCTGCTAATAAGCCTTCCCAGTAATAAGCCTCCCTGACAATGCGCCTCCTGACACATGCTTCCTCAAGTCTGTGCCTCCAAACCCCATGCCTTGACCAGAGTAGGTGTGCTCAACCTGGTATGTTACAATTTCTTCAGCGCCTATTGGAACGACCAAGTTCCTTTTTCCCAAACCCTAAGGAAGTATTTTTTTTTTTTTGGAATGACCAGGTTTAAGGATTCTCCACTGCCCCTGGTTTGGGAGGAGCTGCTCACGTAAATAAAGAGGGGATTTTGCCACCACAAGCATAAATACTCACTCTCAGAACAACGAGGCACCACCAGGGAACAAAAGGTGGGTCTTTATAATGTTACATATTGATAAAGGTTGTTTTACAATGCCGCTAGTGATACTCAGTTTTGGTGAATTGACTAACATCTCCCACCACATGGCAAGTTTTTTTTTATTTCCCCCAAACAAGCTTCCAAAAATAGCCTTATGGCTGATACCTAATTGCATTTCTAACAGAGCTATTCTTCATGTGCAGATAACAGTCTCTGTAACCTGCTGGATCTTGCAGCTTTATGGGTTTTGGCAAAAAAAGGAGTTGAGGGGGATTGCAGAATTCACTCAGCATGCAGCTTGCTGTCATTACCACGGTGATAAATTTGCTGGTTTTGGCCTGGGTTCCTGGACACATCCCCATCCAGAGGTATGGAAAAGAGATGAAATGGAAACAGAGAACTCCCAGCCTGAGGCCGGAGACAGTCTGGGAGGGAAGTAGGGAGCCCAGAATGGGGCTGAAAACCAAAAGGGTAGGGGAGGGAAGGAATGCTCTGCCTGCAGGAGTGTCCATAATTAGTAATTTTTCCTTCAGTAATTTACCACAGTACATGCTAGAAACACCTTCTCTCCCTTTTGATACATTAATTGATGGATTGTGGGTGGCAGCGGGGAGCAGAGCTTACAGCAATCCACGGGAAAGCTCCAGAGGAGACGGGTGACCTTAAATATGACCGCGAGCAGGGTATGTGGAGGTGGTGCTCTGTGTGGTATATGGGTTTTCTCTGTTACTGAGTAGTTCTAGGGAAAGTATTATCATCATGCAGAAGTGAAACTGATTTTTTTACATCAGTATTCAGTCTTCTGAATAAAACCATTTTCCATAAGCTTCACACTCTATTTTGCACGCATGCTAGTTTGAGATTATTCACGTGAACGCTGCTTGGCTGGCCTGGAGGAGAGCTATTCACTTACGACTCCCTGAGTGGCTGTCTGCTGCTCCTGCAATTTCTGGGATGCTGTGCCTCATTCAACATGTTTATGTTGCTATCAAACAATAAATACTTATCTCTCATCTACTATCGGTTAAGCACTATGTTCTAAGTGCTGTGGAATATACACACTCGTAGAAGGCTCTATCCTAACCTAGGAAAGTCAGTGCAGTACAGGGATCAGCAAATAGGTGGCCCGTGTGCTCTTTCTTTTAAGTGCTGGACCAACGGCTGGCCTTGCTCCTCCATCAGGGATGGTTTGCTTTCCTGCTGAGCCTGAGTTTGGCTCTTCCACACAGCACTCTGGGCAGCTATAGCCCATCACTTGAAGTTGGACTTGAGATGAAGCAAACCTCTTTGCTATTTCAGTTATTCTAGAAAATAATTACAAATCTGGGCCAGGCATGGTGGTTCATGCCTGTAATCCCAGCACTTTGGGAGGCCAAGGTGGGTGGATCACCTGAGGTCAGGAGTTTAAGACTAGTCTGGCCAACATGGCAAAACTCCATCTCTACTAAAAATACAAAAATTAGCTGGGCATGGTGACGGGCACCTGTAATCCCAGCTACTTGGGACACTGAGGCAGGAGAATCACTTGAACCTGGGAGGCAGAGGTTGCAATGAGCCAAGATCGCGCCGCTGCACTCCAGCCTGGGCAACAGAATGAGACTCTGTCTCCAAAAAAAAAAAAAAAAAAAAAGGAAATAATTACAAATCTGGAGGTAGACGAAGTTGAGTTCAAATCCCAGTTTTGCTACTTCTTAGTTGAATGGGCTAACCAACGTCTCTAACCTCAATGTTATCATTTGAAAAATGGAAAAATATTATAACTGCAATAATATCTGCTTTGCTATATCTCAAGATCTTTCAGAGGAGCAAGGGATAACGCACCAGCATGTATGATATGCCACACTCGTTTTAGGTATTCAGGCACTTTCAGACATATTGGAAGGATACTACATGGTTAAGATGACAGGTCAAGCGGCTAAATGTCAAATCAATGGTAGAGATACATTTAGAGGAGGGAAAGGAGACATTGGGAAAGGCATAATTACTACAGGCGAATTGAGTAGGCTCAGAAAAGAGCAAGGGTGTTAAGGTGCGCTTGGGAAGGGCACCTCAGTCTGAGAGAACTGCTGGGACAATAATGCAGAGGCCAAGTATATACTGGTTTGGGACAGGGGCGGCAAGGGAAGGTTGAGTGGAGGACTAGGGCTGGGGAAGACTAAGTTGTATTCATACTGGAGTCTGGGGTCCTGGGTAATTACTAAGAGCTCTGGACCCAGATAAATGCTATTTGTCTGTTTGACTATACTACTAGAGTTTCTGGGCAAAATCTGGTTAATATAAACATCAGTTGTAGAACTGGGGTGTGGGGAGAATATGCAGAATATGTTTCCTGCCTGAGGGGCCTCTTTGAAATGGAAGGTCTAGTTAGAGGCTCCGAACTCTGAGTGACAATTTCAGCTGTCATGTGAGAAGCAGTTTTTTTGGTACTAACATGGAGGATCATGATAACCAAAAGGTTAGATCCCTAAAGGCTGTGTGTAAGGCTAGTTGTAAAAATAATGGGCCTAGAATAAATTGTGTAATCCTTACACGGATTCCCAACTAACAGGAGGATGTAAATTCTTTGAAACCTTAAAATCAGACATATTCATGTCCCCCTTGCTAATATATATTTCATCAGGCTTTATCCAAACTTGTTGGTATACTTTGAAAATGTATTGAGTCAGGAACTACCTCTTCTCACCATAGCAGTGGTGGATAAAATAGAAAAGAGACTATCAGGAAGACATTGTGGGATTTGATTATGAGACATATTTCTGAAGACCAGAAGTAGGACGGAAATGCAAAAATGGTGAGTGGAGCTGAGGCCTTGAACTTGCAAAGCACTGGTTCCAGAAGTAGGAAGGTAACTAAAACAGCGCCATGCGGAACAGGGTAAGAGTCTGGCACATTGTTTGAGGCTGCGGGTTGAAGTGAGGCTCCCTACCACCCAATCTGTGAGTGAAAGGGGACTGATGAAACGTGCACCAGATGTTGCCTGGGGCTATGGTTTCCAACTCAATGCAAGCCCAAGGAGGAAGAAACGTACAAACTCAGCCCCTCTCCAGCTGCTAAGCCCAGCTGCTCACGGGCTCTATACAGGGTCTGCTCATCTCCAGTACTGTTACGGAGCAGTCACTCCAAATTGTCTTTACTGGAGTTGATTCTGGATTGGGGGCCTGGAGGGTCTGTCAGCCAGAGAGGGATGAACACAAAGAAAAAGAGAGTAAGAGAAATAAATAAAACGTGTTTCGTTAAAAATGGGCCTGCCCAGCAAAATGCCAAAATATATGAATAAATCTCATGCTAAAAAAAAGATAGTCAAGTTCAATAGTTGGAACATGAATTAGTTACAGATGAAAGTAATTTTCTGGGCAGGCAGATGAAGACATTTGTTGATGCAGAAGCACAGAGGGTTGAGTTAATTTTACTCTTCAGTTTAGGGTACACCACTCATCAGCCTGGGCAATGCCTCTCTGGTATGTATGTTTGTATGTATGTATAGGTGTATGTATACATATGCATGTATGTATATATGAATGCATGTATATATATATATGTGTGTGTGTGTGTATACATGTATTTTGGCCCTGATACTTCATGTCTCATGTCCTATTCTTATTCTCCTCTTCTTCCAACAGGCAACCATTCTAGTTGGTTTGATGTATGTGCTTTTATTGTAGGTGTTCTTACAATTTGTATTAAAGTTTTCTGTGTAGTTTTAAGCTGTGAAAGTAATATTGTGCTATAGATCTCATTCTGTTTCTTACTTATTTATTAGTACTGTTTTTGACATCTGTTTTGCTGTATATGCATCTAATTCTCAGTTTCTGACTGCTACATCCATTCCACAGAATGCACCCCAACTTTTACTTCCATTTTTTGATAGTTGAACAACTGGATTGCACCTCACTCCCACTAACACAAACAGTGCTGTGATGACCATCCCTAAACATGTAGTCTTATAAGTCTGTGAGAACATTTCTCTGCTGGGTCTCAGCAGATTTGCATAATTAATTTGAGTGCTGCCCTCCATAATGATTGTGCTAGTCTATCTGCCCAAGGCAAAGACCTTAAAGTATGTTGAGGATACTTAACGAGATTAATGAAGGGATACATTTTCTTTAAAAAGAATAAGAAATATGTGACAAATAGGTATAAATGATACAAGAATAGGTGGATAGAACAGAAATTTTGAAATAAAAATTAGTCATTGAAACAAATAAAAAGTACAGAGACTAAGGAAATAAACCCTAGATGGGGTAAATTTCAAAAGTGAATTAGTGAATTGGAAGACAGTTGGAAAAACTGACTCAAACACAGCACAGAAAGCAAGACATAAAAATGGGGAAAGCGGTTAAAAGTCACAGAGAAGAGACTGAGAGGCTTCCTCATTTGTCTAGAATTCTAGAAGAGAATGGAGGCAAATGGTAAAGAAGCAAATGGAGGCAAATGGTAAAGAATGGTGAAGAGATAGCAGTTGAGATTTTCCAGCATTCGAGAAAAATATAAGCCCTTGGGTTGAAAGTGCAGTTTGAGTATTGAGCAGGATAAATAAAAATAAATCCACCCCCACACATATCATAGTAAAATTACAGAACTTCAGGGAATCAGAACCACTATTAACAGCTTCCAGGGGACCTGCAAAGGAGGAACTTAGATGACCGCCCACTCCTCAGTGACAACCACAGGTGCCGGGAGATAGTGGAGGGAAACAACTGTCAACGTGAATTTTATTCATACCCAAACTATCATTCACAGGTGAGGGCACAGTAAAGACATTATCAGTCATAAGAAGACAAAGAGCATTTACCACCCGCAGGCCCTCTCTCCCTAAAAGAACTCAACTGAGGCAGCCAAGCGTGGAGGGTGAGTGCGTGGACTCTGGAGCCAACCCCCTTGGGTTTGCATCCAGCTGGGCCACTTACTGTGTAACCTCCTGCAAGTGACTGAATGTCAGTGTGCCTCAGTTTTGACATCTGAAAAATGGGGATAATAACAGCATTTGTGCTGTGACAACTGAATTAGGTCACATGTGTCAAGTGCTTAAGGAGTTCCTGACATATAATAAAAACTGTGTAAGTGTGAAAGTTGTTATGATCAGCAAGAAGAAAAATAAACACAAAGATGGGGGATAAAAGAAGTAATAGCATAAAATGTAAATAAAATATTTAAGTAAAAATATTTTATTATTTGACCATTAAAAACCTCTGTGTGTATGTGTATGTGTGTATCTGAAAACCAACATTTTAGGCAATAATAACAAAGTGAAGATAAAGTAGTGAGATGTTCAGTGGGGAGTTAAAACCAGCTGTGACCCTGGATGTGGTTGGGAGGAGGATATATTTGGAACAACTACAGACATTGTTATAGTTACTTTTTAACTCTAGAAGAATAAAAATATGTACAGTAGCAGCCAAATCAATAGAAGATCAGAAAAAAAGGCAAGGGATGGGTGTTGTGGGGAGGGAATGCCAACATTTTCACAATTCGACAGAAGCCAAGGAAGAAGAAAAAAGGAATCAGAGAAAAGAATGGGGTATAAATGATCCTGTGTTTGGTGAAACAAACAATGGCAAGAGCTTTACATATACGTATGTAAATAACTGTGTGTTTGTGTGTGTGTGTTTGTGCACGCACATATGCCCTTGTGCATATATATGTATATGTATGATGCTGTGACCATGGAGGTTATGTGAATGAATATCTACAATGCTATGACAGGTTACTGAGGGTGGAAGTGGGGTGGAGAGTGAATTGGGTAGGAGAGGATAAAGCCGAGCAAGATCAAACAAAATAGAAAATGTACTTTAATAAAGGCGCATGATTTACGATTCACATAAAAGCTATATTTGTATATATTTATAAAAAGAAATAAAAATTAAATACCCACTGCACTTCCTTGATAGGGAAATGTGATGTTACTATAGCATGCTGGAAATTGCGCTTGAGCACCTGCCACACATGTGATGTCATCTGCCATGTGTGCTGACTGAAAATATTCATAACCGAAGTCTCAGCGACAGGGATAGGGGAAATAAGGAGGGTTTCAGCATCGGATTATTTGGCAGAGCTGTGTTATTCACCAGCAGCCTGGCAAAGAAGTGAAGGTGGAAGACAGAGAGTCCCAGAGGCAGCCCAAGACAGCAAGGGATTTCCATTGGCTTGGGGGCCAGGGGTGGGGGCACCTCTGAGAAGCCTTCTTCCCTTGTTGAGGTCAGGGCAACAGGTCCTTCCATGGGTTCCTCAAAGAGAAAGGTCCAGCAATGGAACATACAGTGGGAGGCCAGGAGTGGCCTAAATGCTAGGCAAATGTTTTTAAGCTGCCTTATTCTAAACTGACATTTCATTTCTCCAGAATTCAAGATTCTTCTTCCATTTAGTATGCTAAACATCACAGTTGATAACATAATCGAGTCACAGAGAGAGGGGGAAAGCAGCTCCTTATAAAAGATATCAATACTTTCTAGAAAAACATCACCGGAACTTGTCTTGATTTCCCCCCGTGGGGATTTTCTCAAGGGCTCCCCATCACCTCGGCCCTATCTTGTGGAGGAGGATGTGCCTGGTAATTAATGAACATTTCAGCTTGGGATGAAAACACCAGACAGTAGTCTGGGCTTTTCAAGACAGCTCCTTGCTTATCATTATGACGGTACATGATAATCACATTTTGGGGAATGCTCTCATTTACAAAAAATGACCAAATTATACCATGTCTGGGAGACCCAATTTCTTTTGCTGTGGGATATTCACTTGGGCTACCCAAGTAATCAAAATAATCACACAAGATTAGCACGTTCTGCCTGAAGCTCAAGCATTTGGCTATTGTATATGTGTAATTAAGCTAAGAAGCTTATTGATATCACTATTTCTGTATGTGATACTATTATATAAACAGATTCAGAGAATTAAGTAAGCACATTTGTTAAAAGCTCAAACAAACGTGGAGATGCAAGTAGGTGAGCATTAGGAAAATTTTCAGCTCAGCAACCAGCATGAATTATTAAATACTAAACATCTCAGGGAGCTGAGGGCTCATGATTGTGTTGGTATCTATTCAAAAGATGTTACTTTAGATGCTTGAAAGTTCTTCTCAGCAAAGGGGGATATAACCAGCTTCCAAGGCCTGCCCTGGAGGAGTAGCTGTAGTTCACAATTGTTCTTTCTGTTTGAAGATGTGGTTCCGGTTGCCAGAAATGTTGTGGGGGGTGAGGGCAGGGCCCAGGTAGCCACTGCCTCTGATTTCCATCCTTATATCCCCAGAAGTAGCCCAGGGTACACTCTTAGGAGTACCTGGGGGCATTCAAATCTCCTCTACTCCAGTGTGGGTGGGACAGGTATATTCCATCTGTTCCCAACATGCTCCTACTTGCACTGGAGGCTAGTTTGTAGGACCCCTCACTAACTGGGAGGTAGAGGGCAGGTTCACTGAAGGGACATAAAATCAACCCCAAGCACTGAGATGTTTGATTTTGCAGTGAATATAGTTTTAAAAACTTGGATTCTAACATGAAAACAGCAAGTTTTACATGGCTCTTTGATATAAATAATCAACTCTTTCACTCCAAAATAAAACTTGATTCTACTCATTTAATTTTAAATCAGTTAGTGCTTAAAAAAAAGTCAGTGGGAAAAAACAAGCCCCAATTAAGGCTCACTGCTGGACAAACTTCCAGCTGGCCTGTAAAATAATTGCCTAACACAGAGTTGGTGCTTCATGATGTGGGAATTGTTCTCCATTTGAAGAGACTGGAGATTAGGAGGAATGTGTTAGTGAGTTTGTGAATAAAAGACAAAACTGAATGGAAATGGTTTCAGCTTCCAGGTTCAAAAGTCATTGTTAGATGTTGCATATGCACGTTGCGTCTTTCTGGTGCAATGGGCCAGGCCCACCATTGAATCTGTGAGGCTCCCTGTGCTCTGTCTCTGCACTCACCTCCATGGGAGTGGCATGGGGGTGGATACATTAGTGCATCTCAGGAAAACCATCCAAGGGAGCCAACGGGGGCCGAGCCCAGCAGGTGCACTGGGAAACTGTGGTGGAGTGGGGAGCCAGAGAAAGGTGGCTAGCCTTCAGAGACAACTGAACAGCAGTGAAGGCCCGTCAGAGGAGAGGGAGTGGAAAACGGCAGGAGAAGTTGCAGAGGGAATCCTGGGCCTACAATAATGGAAAGAGCATGGGTTCTGGGAGCAGGTAGACTGGCACTGCCACCTCCTACTGTGACCCTAGGCTACTTAATCCCTTTGAGCCTCAATTTCTTCATTAAAATAGGGTGATAACACCAACCTTGCAAGGTTGCTGCAAGAATTAGACCCAAGGTACATAAAGCCCCCAGCACAGTGCCTGGCACATTGTAGGTGCACAATGAGTGGTGGTCATCATGGTGGTGGTAGTAATAAAAAGTAATGATTATGAGGTGGGTGGCTCTGATTACAAATAACACTGCATGGAGGATTGAAGCAAGCTAACCTATTGCAATTGTTTCTAAGGTCTTGATCACATTCAAATATGGCAGGACATCTGTATTTTCCCCTGTTCCCTTTTAGAAAAGCATCTTTCAGGCCTAAATTAACAAGTTATCGTGGGCCCAGCAGACTTTGCTGAAGTGCCTCTCTCCGCCTCGGTGGGGAGGAAGGGGGGACAGTCACATGTCCTTGCAATTGTCCAAATCAGGGTTTCACAAAGCAGAGCTGTGACCTTTCAGCACTCGCTGACTCCAACTTTTTACAAATTTAGTTTATCTTTACTAAACCTTCTCCCTTCTGATCAGTTATTTACCCTCAAATTCACCATCACTTTAGTTAGTAATGGGGTCTTCCATATTCCGTTATAGTCAAATATGATTGATTTCTGTAATTGGAAGTAAATGACTTTTTAAAAAGCTTGCTTGAAATGCTGGTGGTAATGGTTCTGTTTTCAGAGCCTGGGATGATTTCTATCCCCATCCCGTTATTTTACTTTATTTTATTCCAGAAAAATAACACCAGAGCTCTTTCTCCTTTTGTTTCCTCTGAGGCTAAATATTTTCAAAGAGGAAAGAGGAAGGAGAGAGGTGGAGATGGACATCCCACCATTTTACAGACGGTGCTTTTCAGGAGTGACATATTTCAGGAAGAACATCGTTTCCCCCTCCCTGAACTTGAGTTCTGCCTGCCTGAAATTCCAGTACGCATGGCTCTGTTTCTTACCGATCTCAGTCCTGGTGGATATAAGCTGGTCATTTTGGGGATAATGCATAATAAGGAAATCTAGGGAGTTAGGACTAGAAAAAAGAGGCAAAGCAGACAACATAACCAAATGAGAGGTTTTTGCAGTGAAGCTTTGGGAGATGAGGGAAGCTGCAGTACACATGGCCCGAGAACTACACTTCTTCAGCCAACAAAATGAGTGAGCAGGGGGAGCGGGAAATCAGAAGGTGTGTAAGAAGGGCTGATGGCACGATTTTGGGTGCTGTGTCTCTGGGGAGTCAACAATTCCAAGGGCTAATATCAGGAAGGCAGTGAATACCCAGAGAGAAGAAAAACAGAGATGGAGAGGGAATTGCCACAATATGCAAAGATAAAAATAATTTACAAGCTTCAGGTTGAATCTTTAGGGGAGAGAGATCCTGAAAAATTTTCTGCGTCCAAGGGATAGTAAATGGAGGCTAAATATACAGAGCCCATTATGATGAATGAAATGTTATTATGATTCTTTAGTGTATTGGTTTTAATGTTTTGTTTTGGTGAATATAAAAATATTTGTAGGGACTTTTATAGGTTTACTTGTAAACTTAATCTTGCTTTTCACATAAAGGCGTAATCCTTAATTATGGCTTTTTCTATCACAGGGATGTTCAGTTCCTTCGTGGCTAGGGACAGGTGGATAACTGTTTCCTATAATGTGGGAGATGTGATAATGTACATCCCAGAGCACAGCACTTGTTTCTAATCCTCATCGAAGCAGAAGTTGATTTCATTTCAGCTAATGGAGCATATTGATCATCAGCTGCTCCAGGGTCTAACAGGTGCCAGGAGGAGACCAAACCTTCACATTCTTTGAACTTGGGAAGGTAAAATTTCCAGAATAAGGAGCAGCCTTTGCCTTCTATGAGAAAGTCTGGATATTATCTTTGAGAAAAACATGGCTCTGTTGGAGACAAGCTAATCATTTTAATGGGGCATTTGAGGTTTGTACATGTAAGGTAAAGATACACCATTATTTTGGGGGAAGCTCTAAAAATGAAATAACCCAAATGCAGGTAGGTGCTTCTAAGTAAGAGTTAGATGTTCTATTTAGTATTCTGTCTTCAGAAACACAGATCGGGTGCTTCTTTAGCAGAACTATAGGTTTGCAGAGCTAGAGATTAAAAAATATCTTCATACAGTTTATCTATGCCTAAAAAGTAATGCTTGTACTTTGGATGTTGTGATGGTTAGTTTTATATGTCAAAGCGTATAGGCTACAGTGCTCAGATGTTTGCTTAAACACTAGTCTAGAGGTTGCTTTTAGATGTGGTTAATGTTTAAATCAGTAGCCTTCAAGAAAAATAGATTACCATCCATAATGGGAGTGGGCCTCACCCAGTCAGTTAAAGGCCTTAAGAGAAAAAAGACTGAAGTCCTCCAGAGCAGAATGAATTGTGCCTCCAGACTGCCTTTGGACTTGACCTGCAACATCAACTCTTCTTTGGCTCTCCAGCTTATAGGCTTGCCCTGTTCGAGTTGAACTTGCCAGCCCCTACAATCTCATGAGCCAATGCCTCAAAATAAATCTCTCTCTCTCTGTATCTATGCACATCCTTTTGGCTCTGTTTTTCTGGAGAACCCTGACTAATACAGATGATGTGGATGTGTCCTTGTCCAAGCACCTGCTGTAGCTCTTTGGGAACAGTGGGCAGTCAACGGTGGGATGAATATGTAGGTCTGATCTTGTCCCCACCTCACATGTGAATGGAGACTTTCATCCAGGTACTCAATAGTGGTCACAACAATGAGGGAAAGACACTTTTGTACTGAGTGAGCTGAGCCGGGTCCTGCGACTAAAGAACCGCCTGTCTCATCAGGCCAATGGCACCCCCATTGAGAAACGCTGCTTTTGAGGAAAGATGGAACAAGTTGTTGGTCACTGGGGGGAGTCCCACCTTGACTGATGACATGCTTGTGTCATTGAAGACTGAATGGCCCAGAGTTTTGGAAAACAAACTGCTATAAACTATCTTGTGAGAGCTATGGGTCCAGGCAGTGCTCTGGAGAAAGTGAACATACAAATAGGCTGTTGGGCCCTGTGTCCACTGCAGGTTTTTCTTGGAGCAGGCCTGCCTGAGGGTGTGTGGAAGCCTCCATGAATGAGGCTGGAAGCCTATGGGTCAAAGCCCTCCAAGAAACCAGAAGGAGCTTTCAGCTGCTCTCCAAGAAGCATTTCTTTTAAGCTTAAGCCTCCAACAGTACCTTGTTCAAGTTTGCCTCACCTAGTCAGATGCCATCGCCAGGGCCACAGGGTCTTTGAGGCTTGGTAGCAGCCACCAGCAATGGCACCATTAGAGGATAGCGTGCCCAGCAGGCAGCAGCCCCTATAGCACGAGAGCAGATAAGGAAGACAGAGGGGAAGGGCCTCAGGCAGGCGCTCCAGAGCAGTGCTTGGAGGCAGTGCTTGAAGAGACTTCTGGGTACAGTCTGGGGACTTGCTTTGATGGGAGTGGATTAATTTCCAGCAGTAAAGCCAGGAGGGACTTTGGCCATAATATTTTGGGAATAAGAAGGAGACGCACCCTGTTTGGCTGTCACAGGCTGGTGAGTCCTGGGACATGTGGGACTCATTGTGAGAAGTTTCCTTTAGTGCTGTCACCCCTCCAGGAACAAGGATGGGTGGCTTATAAAGGCGAGCAAGAGGCAAGAAAGCTGTGCAAACTGGAAAAGGGCGGCATTCTTTCAGACACAGGCTGGATGATTATATTCCTAACTCATGCCAATCCTAACTCACAAACTGCTGAAGAAATGAAATCTGGTTAAATGTGTTCCTTTTTGCCCTTCTTAAAAATATCAAAAGCAAGTATTTTTCAGACAGCTTTATACCGGCCACACTGGCCAGGCCTTGTGGGCTCCAAAACAAACACACCTGAGCTAGACTTGGTCAGCATTGGGAGGCCAGAGAGGTGGCCAAGGAATTAATAAAGGAATCTAAAGATTTTTCTCTATCCCCAAAGGCTGCCACTTGAGATAGTTCTTGCTTTGGGGGAGTCATGTGAGTGTGTGGCAAGGAGAGGGGAAGAGGGTTGTGGGGGAGAAGCTTCTGAATCCATTCAGCTTCATGCGACAGGATTTTGACTCTGGCCTGTCACTGGAAACAGATCTGACCCCTTCTCCACGGTGATATTTGTAATCTTTTCTCTTTGCAGTCAAGGGTATCAATGAAGAGTGAATGTGTATGACATGCAGTTTTTGGTGAGAAGTTTACTGTGGGCCTTAGGATATTTTCTGCTGGAGACAATACACTTGATGTAATGATTTTCTGTACCACAGAAATCACAGGAATCTGTTTTCTAAGGATTGATTACATGTCAGCTGACTAACGTCAACAGTCCTTTGTGGGTTGGTATTTTAACAATGTGGCAGTGTTTAGAGGAATTGGTGGTTTTTACCTGGATCTTAGGAAATCACCAATGATGATAATACAATGGGTGAACAATGGGTAAGCTAAGATGTTGCACGTACATGAAGAAGAGATAAGTATCTGAATGGCAAATAGGTGCCCCTAATTCCTAATAGTGTAACATTATCAATGAGGACAGTGACTTCTAGGAAGTTGTTACAGTGGCCGGAGGCCAGTAGCCTTTCTGCAGTTGCTCAAGTCACTTTGGTTGAGAAAGCCTGCATAATCCAGCTCCCATTTTCCTCTGTCTTCTTTTCACCATCTGAGTTATCTCAGAGGTAACACCCCATACCCCCTATCTTAGTGTGGTTTCTCCTGGAAGCAGACCCTAGTACAAGTAGTTTATTTGGGAAATGATCCCTGGAAGCACTGGTAACAGACAAGGGAAGTGAGACATGGAGGGAAGGCAGCCAATCTAGGGGGCAATGGCAAGCCATTTTCCACTATGGGCAATTGGAGCTCAATCCCACTTGGAGACTCTAGGGGCCTGTAGAGGATACATGCCTCAGAGCTCTCACTCCTGCAGAGGGAGGGAGCTGGGGTACGTATACACCAACTGCCAACAGTCATTGATTGAGTCCTCCCGGGGCAGGGGATTTTAATTCCCCAGCACCAGCCTGCCCCACATATATCTCTTGAGTAGGTGAAAAATGCTCTCGGGGGAGTGGGTAGTGCTAGCAGGTGAAGTCATGCTAGTGTGCACATGCCTGGCATGTGGAAGGGATGCAGGTGGGGCTCTGACAACATCTACCCTGTTCCTTATTTCTTGTTTTTCATTATCCTTGTCTGAAAAATATTACTACTGCCTGTAGTTAATATAGTCTCTTACAAACAAACCTAATTCTTTGGCAACAAAACTAGCAGAGAAAGAGGCAGAGGAAATGAAACATTCTAGCTAGTCTATTGCCTGATTTCTTATAGGCCTGGCTGGTATTTTGGGAGTCAGGTTTGTTTTCTGGCCTGGCAAATAGGAGTAACTGTAGCAGCCCTTGGTTTTCTATGGACCCTATTTTAATAGAATGCAGACTGCTTAGACTTTGGCTCACATTCTGCATGCTGAGGTGAGCTACTCTTTCCTCACTTGCTGCCTCAGTTTCCCTTTTTGCAGTGACACCTCAGATAGGAAGCTCTGACATCAGAAGCTCTTCAATTCAGCTTCTACTTGGGGCAATGGAAAAGGTACGATGTGTTACTGTGATGGAAAGCACTGTCAACCAACCCTGGCAGAGGTGCCAGGGGCATGAGGGACTCAAGCCGTTTCGAGGACTCATCCTAGAACAATGCAAACAATTGTCCTCAATCCTGGGTCTATGGGCCTGTTTACTCACTCCGTGCTGTGCCCGGCAGAAACTTGCAGTGATTTAGGAAGTCAGGGAGAGACATTTCTGGCTGTGCGGAACCTGATGAAATACTGTTTTGTGGAGACAGACTAAAAAATAACCAAACGGTCTTTAAGTGGAACAGAGATCAGAAAATCTCCTGAGGCACATTTAAGAAACCCATCAATTTTGCTGGCTTGGCCATAGAAGGGAAAATTGCACTGCAAATGATTATCTCTGATGAAATGTTCCCAAGTCTTTTACAGGGCACTTATTTGTAGTGACCTATTACTCCACCAACGAGGCCTGACTGAGAAGCCCCCACTGGGTGGTTTATAAGGGGAGTCTGCAGAGTAATTGCAGGCTCAATCCTGAGGGCCTCCTGTGTCCTATCTTCTCAACCACCTTACAGGTATCCTGAGGCTGGGGACTCTCCTATGGATTTGTGTGTTTTCCACAGGGCCTCCAACTTTACAGATGTACATAAATTACTGAATGAATAAACCTGAGACCAAGGCTTTCTGCCCAAAGTCCTCATCGTAGAAGCCCTCAATTTCCTACTTGCCCTGACCAAACTGAGGAAAAGCTGTGGCAAAAGCTCCTACTGCGTTCAGCCTGAAATAATTCACCACAACCTGTATCATCAACCCATACCCAATTACCTAAAGTGCTCTTTCTAGAGAAATTAAAAAAAAAATTCTGTTCTCCAACATAAGATTCATTTTAAAATGACAGCTGAGGTCATTTCTTTTATAAAAGCTGAGGTGGGTTGTCTGATATTCCCTCCTGTCTTCTTTCCTTGGTGGATTCATACTGTTTTATTTTTTATTTATTATTAAATATGGTAAAATTGACTTGGGAGCATGTGTGTGCATCATGGGTTTGGACACACACATAGATTTGTGTAGCCACCTTCAAAAGCAGGATCCCCAAGAGTTCTGTCACCCCTGGACTCCCTCACAAGGCCATGTTGGACTCACACCCTTCTCCCACCCCTGCCCTGCATTGTGGAAGTTCTCACTTTTTCAGAATGTCATATAGCTGGAATCAGATAGTAGGAGGCTTTATGAGACTGGCTTCTTTCATCCAGCACAATGCCTTTGAGAGTCACTCATGTTGTCTTATTTACCAGCAGTCTGCTCTTTTTATTGCTGAGTAATGTTCTATTGTATGCACTCTATTGAAGTCTATCCCCTCACTCACTGAAGGACATTTGGGTTACCACCAGTTTTTGGCAATTATGAAGAGAACCCTTACAAACATCTGCATACAAGTTTGTGTGTGAACCTAAGTTTTCATTTCTCTAGGGTAGGTAGTTGGCTTGTATGGTATGTCTGTTGAATTTTGTAAGAAATGGCCAAGTTGTTGTCCAAGGTGTCTGCCCCATTTTGCATGCTGACTAGCAACATACAAGAGTTCCAGTTGCTCCACATCCTTGCTATTACTTGGTATTGTCAGTTAAAAAATTAAAAACATTTTAAGCTATTCTAATAAACAAATGGTCATATCTCATCATTGTTTAGATTCAAATTTCTCTAATGCTAATGAGGGGGAACATTTTTGCATGCGTTCATTTGCCATCTGTACGTCCTTTTTGGTGAAGTATCTGGTCAGGCCTTTTGCACCCCCACCATTTTTAAAATAAATGAACTGTTTGTTTTCTGAGTGTTGAATTTTGAGAGTTAATATTTATGTATTTTTTATATTCTGTATAGAAGTCCTTTGTGAGATATGATATCTGAAAATATTTTCTCCCAGTCTGTCACTTGTCTTTTCATTCTCTTAACAGTGAATTTCACAGACCAAAAGTAGTTAATTTTGATAAATCTGATTTATTACTTTAATTTTATTGGTTGTACTTTTGGTATGATGTTTAAGAACATGTTGCGAAACCCCAGACATGAAGAGTTTCTCATACTCATTCTTCTAAAATTTTATAGTTTTACATTTTCTACTTAGATCTATGATCTGTTTTGACTCAATTTTTGTATATGGTGTAAGATTACATTGAGATTCTTCTTTTTTCCTTCAGTACATGGATATCCAATTGTTTTAATATTGCTTGTTGAAAAAAACCCTATTCTTTCTTCATTGCCTCGGCAGTGTTGAAAATCAATGAACCTTACAGGTGTGGGTCTGTTTTTGGACTCTGTATCCTGTTCCATTGATCTACATATCTATTCTTTTGCCAGTGTCAACACTGTCTTAATTACAGCAGCTTACAGTAAGTCTTAAAATTGTGTGGTGTGACTTCTCCAGCTTTATTCTTCTCTTATAAAATTATTCTAGCTATTCTAATTCTATGGTCTTTCCATACAAATTTTGCAATTACCTTCACTATAGCTACACAAAGTTCTGCTGGGATTTTGAATAGAACTGCATTACATTTAAAGGTCAGTTTAGGGAGAATTGACATCGTTCCTATATTGAGTCTTTTAATCCATAAACATTTTTTTGCCTCCATTTATTTATGTCTTTTTTGATTTTTTTTATTAGAGTTTGTTGGGTTTCAATGTAGAGATCTTCCATATGTTTTGATAGTTTTATACCTAAATATTTCTCTCTGTATTTTTTGGAATTACTATAAATTATATATTAGCATTTAATATATATATGACTATAATATATTTAAAAGTATAAAATAATATTTAATTTTGGTAAACAATTATTACTAGAATGTAGGAATATAATTGATTTTTATGTGTAGACCTTGTATCCTACAGTCTTGCTAAACTCTTTTATTGTTTATAGGAGCTTTTCTGTAAATTCTTGAAATTATCTAAGTAGACAAATACATCATGTGTGAACAGGGACAGCTTTACTTCTTCCTTTCACATTCTATGCCTTTTATATATTTTTCTTGCTTACTTGCAGTGTCTAGGACTTTCAGTACTGTATTAAACAGGAGTGGTGAGAGTCAACAACTTTGTCTTGCTGCCGATCTTAGAGAAAAGCATTAAGTTATTCACCATTAATTATGATGTTAGCTGCAAGTTTTAAATAGATGTCCTTCATCAGGTTGAGAAAGTTCCTTTGTATTCTAGTTTGCTGGAGTTTTTATTGTGATGAATGCTAAATTTTATCAAATACTTTCCTGTGCCACTTTATACGATCATGAGGTTTTTCTTCCTTAATCTATTAACATGGTGGATTATATTGATTGATTTTTGAATACTGAACCAGAATTGTATTCCTGAGATAAGCCTCACTTGGTCATGGTATATTAGTCTTTTTATATATTGTTGTATTCAATATGCTAGTATTTGTGTATATTTATGGGGGATTTAGTCTATAGTTTTCTTGTGATGTCTTTGTCTGGTTTGGGATCAGGATAATACTGGCCTAATAAAATGAATTGGGAAGTGTTCCCTCTTCTGTTTTCTGGAAGAGATTATATAAAATTGGTGTTATTTCTTTTTAAAATGTTTGGTAGAATACTACAATGAAACTCTCTGGGCCTTCATTCTTTTTGGGAGACTTTTAAGTATGAATTCAATTCCTTTAGTAGATGGTATGAAACCATTCAGGTTATTTATTTCTTCTTGAATGAGTTTTGGTAGTTTGTGACTTTCAAGGAATTTGTCTACTTTTATCTAAATTGTCACATTTGTGTAGACTGTTTATAATATTCTCTTATCCTTTCAATGTCTGTAATGATATTTCCTCTTTCTTATTTATTTTTTTTTGATATAGAGTCTTGCTCTGTTGCCCAGGCTGGAGTGCAGTGGTGCGATTTCAGCTCACTGCAACCTCCGCCTGGGTTCAAGTGATTCTCGTGCCTCAGCTTCCCGAGTAGCTGGGGATTACAGGGGTGTGCTACCATATTCAGCTAATTTTTGTATTTTTGGTAGAGATGGGGTTTCACCATGTTGTCCAGGCTGGTCTCAAAGTGATCCGCCTGCCTCAGCCTCCCATAGTGCTGGGATTACAGGCCTGAGCCAGCTTGCTAGGCTGATATCCCCTTTTTCGTTCCTGGTATTGGTTATTTTGTCTTTTCTCTTTCTTTGTCAACCTGGCTAGATGTTTATCAATGTTATTGATCTTTTCAAAGAACCAGTTTCGGTTTCACTGATTTTCTTTATTGTGTTTCTCTTTTGTATTTTATTGAGTTTTGTTCTTATCTTTATTATTTCCTTCCTTCCACTTGCTTTGGAATTATTTTTGTTCTTTTTCTAGTTTCTTAAGATGGAAGCTAAGCTTGTTGATTAGATCTTTTCTCTTTGCCACTATATGTGTTGAATGCTATAAATTTCCCTCTAAATACTGTTTCAACTGCAGCACACAAATTTTGGTGGATTTTATTTTTATTTTCCTTTAGTTCAAAATATTTCTAGTTTATCTTGGGACTTTCTTTTTGAGTCTTAGGTGATTTGGAAATGTGTTGTTTAACCTGCAAGTATTTGTTGTTTTTGGAGACAAGTTCTCACTCTCTTACCCAGGCTGGAATGCAGTGGCACAATCATAGCTCACTGTAGCCTCAAACTCCTGGGCTCAAGAAATCCTCCTGCCTCAGCCTCCTAAGTAGCTGGGACTATAGGCATGTGCCACCATGCTCAGCTAATTAAACTTTTTTCTTTTTTTTGGTAGAGATGGGGTCTCACTATGTTGCTCAGGCTGGTCTTGAACTCCTGGCCTCAAGTGACCCTCCCACCTTGGCTTCCAAAGCACTAGGATTACAGGCATGAGCCACTGTGCCCAGCTTCAAGTAATTTTGGATCATATCCAGAACATGTTCAGGGTCTTATTTAAATTCTAAAAAAGACTCCTGTTTTTTTTTTGTTGCCGTTTAAGCAGACAATCAGCCTGATTAGGTTCAGGTCACAAATTCCAATAAGCCTTCTTTGAGCTGTGGTTTTTTAATTTTTCCTTTTTACAAGATTGCAGTATTTACTTCAAAAAATACATTGCTTCATAAGCTTCAAAAATAGACCTGGCTTTGCTTTAGATTACTGATGCAGGCACTTTATAAACTTTATATCTTTGATGTCCCTTGCCTATTAAGATGCCCCTTGATGTCTTTTTGCCTGTTGAGTTTATTTGGTACATTACCCATTTCTGTAGTCATTCCTTAATTATTTGCTTTTGTCTTCCAACAAAAAGGAGGGCCCAAGGATCCTAGTGTTTGCTAATGAGTTGCTAGGTTCTGCTACATTCCAGTTATTTATTAGGATGTCTTCTAGACTTCAGCATCATCTCAACATGTGTTAATATGCTGTTTGGCAAAACAACTAAATTTTAAAAATATTCATGCATCATTGGTAATGTCTTCAATAAGGATTAAATTAATAAAATCAGTCTTTACCTCATTACGAAACATATATTTTCAGCAGTAAACTCATCAGACTTGTGGTCTGGTGCAAGTTTTAACCATCTGTATGCAGGAGTCATTTATTCATGTAGTGGTTAGTGGTTCTGAAACAAATGATCTGAAATCACCATCTCTAGTTTTGATCTGGACATGTTTTTAGTGACAATCAGTGTAGTGTGACCAAGGTTACTTTAAATATCTTCCTTGGGCCAGTGCTATAGTGAGGTAGAGTCAGTACCTCCCAATTTAAAGCAACTTGAAAAACAGAAAAAAGCAACTGTCCTAGGGTTCTTCCAAAAATCATAAGAGAAAATTAAAACAAGTGACAGACTGGAAGAAAACATCTGCTACGTATTCTATAGACAAAGGCCTAATATCCAGAGGACACAAAGAGCTCCTACAACTCAGAAAGAGAAATTCAACTAACCAATGGGCAGAGAATATGAGATACATGAAAAAGTATTCAATTTCACCAGCTCTTAGGGAAATGCAAATGAAAACAATAACGAAATGCCATATTTTGCTCTCCAAATGGCAAAAACTAAAATGGCTGATATGATCATGTACAAGCAAGGATGCAGGGAAATGAGTACTGTCACACACTGGAAGGAATATAAACTAATGAAGCTCTTTGGGAAGGCAACTGGGGAGTAGTCATGAAAGTTAAAAATACACGTATACTGTTGCTCCCCCTAATTCTACTTCTACTCATCTATCGCAAAGAAACATTCACATTTGTACACAAAAATGCATGCACTGTTTGTAATAGAGAAAAACTGGAAAAAAAGGTGAAATGTCTGTTACAAGAAAGTAGTTAATAGTATTTACATAGTTTATTTCACCATAAAAAATGGTGAGTTTCTCATTTAACATACTCACTGTTAAATGAGAAAAGCAAGGGGGCAGAATGATACTTTATGGTCCTATTTATGCAACAAAACAAGATATCTTTGTACATAGGTGCCTCTCTCTCTCTCTCTCTCTTTCTTTCTCTCCAAATGCACAGAAGAGGATGGAAGGAGATACATCAAATTGTTGAAAGTGGCTACTCTCCTCTGGGGCAGGGGCATGATTGGTAGTAGGTGAGAGAAAATGTGTGGGCTGCTTACATTTTGCTATGTATATTAATGTATTGTTCAAACTATGGCAAAATGTACCCATGAATCACTTATGCAGTTAAAAAGAGACAAAACCCACCACCCCAATGAATCTATGACTTTCTGAACTCCAGATTAAGGGAGAGAACCTAGGAAGGAAGGCCTGTCCTCCCTTGACTAACTTAGTCCTCTTCCCGTTAACCTCTCTGCCTCTTTCCTTTATTGTCAGCTCCATCCCTTACTAGCTCCATCCCTTACTAGCAATAAAGGAATATTGCGTATGAATATGAGCAATATTCATAAGTTTCAGTTTCTTCATCTGTAGTAGGGGTATTATAATAATAATAGTGCCTCTATCAAAGTTAGCTATTATGATGATGACGGGGACTCTACTTCTTTGACTCTTGCTGGCCTACGGTCTGTGCTTAGATACACAGTCACTGGCAGTGGGCTTCTCTGTTTGCCACCAGTCCTTTCAGGCAATCCTATCTCTGTCCAAGCATTGACACCTGACTTTGGGAAGTCCCCATGGCACTCCTAGTTGAAGTCCCTGGCCACCCTTTTGGCCTTGTTCAGGTAGCTGCCAGGGTCCTGCTGTTACTAGTTTTGCCACCGAAACTGCCTGGGCTGGGCTTTTGTTCATGAGATGCCTCATCAGTGACATAGCCTAGATGTGCTTGGGAGCATCTCTGCTTTTTCAATGTTGCCCAGTGGCAGTCATCTACCTGCCAGAAGGGGAGTGCTGAGTCCCTGAGGATGGACAAGTGTCTGCGTGGTGTTTCACTATCTCCTCTGAAGGTCTGTGCTTTAACAAACAGCTTGCTGTAGGGCTGCACATGCATACTTTTAGGCTGGCTTCAATAAGTTCTGGTGCAGACTATGTGTTAGAGAGCCAGTCTGGTCCACAGGATCATGTTACCACATGAAGCCAGCACCAAACTGAGGCCGTCTCCATGCTGAGTGGAATGGCGGCTGCGAGGAGGGCTATTCCCACCCTTGTGTGTTCTGCTTTTGGAGGCTCTCAGTGGATTTCAACAGGGGGACTCATCAGTGTTTCCAGAGTAGTTGACAAGAGACACAGCAAACCTTCTGCTATTTGCAGGTATTCCCTGTTCAGCATCACTGACAAAACCCTCTTCCCCACCTCTGTCCCAGCTATAAATGTTCATCCTTCTAATCAATACAAGACAATAAAACACACTTTTCCTTCTTAGAAGTGAAACAACAAATTACCAACTATCTGCCCTGGGCAAATCAGTCAGTGGAGCACAGTTCCTGCTGGTATATTTAAAGAGAGTCTCCTTCCTTTTAGAGAGTGCCGAGAGGGCCTCAGCCTGGAGGGACCACACGCTTACCAATATGCCCCTGTGGCTCTGCATCCAGGAGTCCTGGTTTATATACAGCTGCCACTTTTCTGCAGGGTTATTCTGATATCTAGATAATAATATCTGCTGGCAAAGTTATTTTTGAAATACTTGAATGAAAATTATCATGTCAAGAATGTACATTACTACTACGATGAGATTTAGAATGCATCAGCTGCTTTCTGAAAATGTGAAATGACTCTCCCATAAGGGAAAGAAATTTCATTTTAAGGCATTTCATTAAAATGAAATAGGTGTTGAGAAAGTTGGTTATTTGAAAGAGATTCAACTTAGAGCCTCAGCTTACATACCATATTCTATAATAAATCCTAAATGAGTTGAGTGTGAAAAATTGAACAATATAAAAAACACTATAAGTAAATTTAGGAAGGTATTAAACAGATCCCTGACAATGAACAACCTACCATTATTATTATTACATTGACTGTTTCTAAATATGAAAGCAATGGAGGAACTCATAAAAGAAAAGATCAATGGATTTGACTGTATGAAAAATAATAATGTACTATAAATTATAATGTACCTTACTAATCACTATTACTACTGGTAAAACAAAGGGGCAATAGTGAGTTGCTTCTTTGAGAACCTGGAAATTAAGGAATTGATGTCACCTAATAAGAGCTGAACTAGCAAAAAATCTTCACACAGCTCTCCCTGAGATAAAACCAAGAGCATATGCGATATCAATTATTGCACCTGTCCTACCTATACCCTTTTTAAAAGAGAGAGCTTCCTCCCCTTTGCTGCCTAGGTGACCACTTTCTGACATACAAGACCTCTTTTCCTCCTTGGTCATAGTTTCCTGGACCAGAGGTGGGTTCCTGACCCCAAAGCAGCACATGCTTAAGCCTGCCAGCAGCTACTGTCCTAAAGGCCTAGAAAACACAAATTGGTCCAGTCAAATTCTCTTTCTCATACCTTTGAGCTAAGAAATAAGCAGATAAGTAGCTCATTAGCCTTGGGGACTGGATATTAAAGGATATTTTCAGGTACAGCTGGGACCAGGGAAGACCAAAGCCATGAGGAAGTGGGACTATGGTCAGCAGGGCCAGCCGGTTACAAGAGCAGACAGGCACAGAGGGAGCAAGAGGCGCTGAGGGAGGCCTGGAGGCAGAACGCTGGGCTCTAAGGCCACCCTGGGTCCTCTTGGCTCTCCAGGTCCTGGTTCCAGCTCCTATTACAGCTTGGAGGGGCCTCAGATCTTATGATCGTATCTTAATGGGATTCTTGTCATCACCACACATGTATCCTAACCCTGAGCTAGCTCATCAGGTTTATGTTTCTAAAATCAAAAGAGCCAAACTAGAAGTGATTGTTTCTGTGACCCCAAATCCTATGAAAAGTGACTTGCGGTTCATCCTGGAGAGGTAGGAGTGGGATAAAATTATGGTTTAGTAAGAAGAAGCCTCACAAATGGTGCTTTACTGTGTCTGGTGAAAGAGGTATTGTGTGCAGAAGGAGGCTGGTCAGCCTGGAGAACAGATGAGTCAGGTTGGCAATGGTGAGTGAGCACTGTCCAGAGAAGGCAGGGATTGGACCAAGGCCTATCATTGTTGCAGGAATGTTCACTGCTGTGAGCAATGGAAGCCTTGTGAGGCTTAATTGTGACCATGGGAACCTATCTCTCCAAACTCTTTACTTCTCTTAGTTTTGATTCCCTTTGTGCTTGGAGAGGCTCACTTATCAGCCTTTCAACAACTAATCTAGCTTGTTTCCTGGGAGGATGTGCCATGGATAGAGGTGGTTTAAGAGTTCCTGGCTATAAAAGAACATCCACCATGGTAAATAAATAAGTTGTCCCCCTGATTTGCAGTCCATTTGACGGGCATGGGTCAGCATTCCTCTGTTCTCCTAGCCAGGTCGTGGACCTTGGTTCACTCACTAAGGCAAGACTACTCTGTCAGGACTCTTGGAAGGTAGCCATCCATCTTTTCTTGGTGGCATTCCAACCAAATCATTGCTTCCTTCTCTATATATGATAATTATTAGTGTTCAATCTTGCTAGTGAAGGTACACTACAGCCCTCCAACTTGCTTCAAATCATTTTTTTTGTTTGATCTCCAAACTATGACAGCAAAACATTAAATTTCATGAAGATATCAGTCATACTGGTTATGGGTTGTTACTCAGATAACTTCATGTCTTGGAATATTCTGCAATTTCAGTGATACCTGAACTGTTACAGAGAGACCTTAATAAGTCATCTTTGCTCTTTTCGTCTCTAGATACCTGAGTCATCTCAGAAAGATGCTTTTGTGTCTTGCTTTTCAAGAGTCCCGTGATCTCTATCATTTAATAACCTTCTTGTCAAAATGTTCTTTCACGTGATCAAATACATTTTCAATACAATTGCAAATTATTTCTTCCTTTTTGGAGTCTCTTTAAAGCTGAATTATAATTTATTGGTCCTTCTGTATATCATCAAGTAATACACAGTCGGTTCTCTTACAACCATGTTTCTTTAACAGGAATTATCTCATATGCAATTGGTTAACAGGGAACTGATGTCAGTGTAATACATAGTCTTATTTGTTCACATAGGATTTTCTCCTCGTATGTTAAAATTTTGCACCACCAAGTAAAAACAACTGAATACAAAGTAAGTTGGCACAGCTGAGCCCAGGAAGCTGTGGAGAAATGCAGGACTGAACTGCAGCCCCCTTGCCTCCATGTTCCTTTTTGTGGTCCAGCGTGGCTGGGTGCTGTCTCTTAGGGGGGGCTTATCGTGCTGCTGTCCCCCATCTCTGCACATGATGCTCATGTCTCCATCTCTCAGCAGCCTCAACCCTTCCTTAAATCCTCTTCTATCATGATAACCTTATTTTGGAAAAAAAAAATCTGATGTTTTAATAATAGATTGTGTTGCCTTATGTATTAGGAATTTAGCATGCCATTTTTATCATTATTTTTAATAGGGTTGTAATTGGTTTTGTTAGAGTTAAAGCAGTGTGGGTTCTGAGTGGTCTCCCTCAGTCTTAATTTTCCTATAATCCCCGAGTTTTCAGTGTGCCATTTTGTATTTGTTCCATTATAGCACCTATACTTAAATCCAATCTTTAAGCTCCCCATTCACAGCTTTCTTTTTTCCAGGATAAAGAAGTCTAACTGTTGTCTTTTCTCATAAGAACTACCTCCCATTGCTTTACAGATGTCTCCTATTTCAGGCCATAGATAAATTTCTGTAAGGTCTGTAGTAAACATAATTTTTGTGTGCTTAGCATTTCTTCCTTTGGAGAAAGATACCTGCTCTATTCCTTAAAAATTTTGTTCAGTTTATGTGGTGCAGATGGGCTAAGCACCTGCCTGAGGAGTGGGGACATGATCTAGGCCTAGTCAGTCAGAGTGTTTTATTCCCCTGGCTATAGGGATTGGTTCAGAGATGGGTACCTGACTTAAGCCAGGTCGATCATTCGTCCCTCCAATGACTTTTGCCAGTGTTGTTGGGCAAGGTCCCTTTCAACGAAGGTACGAATTCTAAAGACCACGTAAACTTGGAGTTGCCAGGGGCATCTTGCCACTAACTGGGGAGAGGCTGTCAGACAATGTAGTCAAGCAGAACTGAGACAAGGAGGGAGAGGAGAGGAGAGGAGAGAGAGATGCATTTGAAGCTAGTTGTACTCCTTAGATTCCCCACTTACCTGAGACAACACATTTCCTTCTATTCTTACAGTCAAACATTGTAACCAATGCAAGTTGGGTACAAAAAATTAATTGAAGTTTTTGATAAGCGTAATTTTAAAAATCAGACAATACTCTAGTGCACTAGCAGAGTGTGTTATTGAAAATAAATGTGGTGAATCATTTAATAAATCAAAAATTACTTTGTAACTTTTAAATCATCTCTTTACCTGCTTTTCTCTGAACCATTTCTATTCTTGTAGGGATCTGGAATTACTGAGGAAATGCAGTATAATGTTGACATGGAAATGCTGGGTAGAGGGAAGGGATGACATCTTGGCTTTTATATTTCTTACTTTTGAGAATATAATATTTTTTTTTACTTTATGGTAACACATTTTGATTTTCTGGTCCCCGATGACTCCTCTGCCTGCCCTTAATCAGGCTTTCTCGAGTCCTTATTTGTGCTGGTTTTGGTACATAAGCATAAATATTTCATTACACCTATTCCTACTAAACCACATCTACGTTTATGCTTTGAATTCTTTTGTATTTTTTGAAGCATCAGTAAACCCACTCAGTTGGAATTGTATACAGCCTGAGAATACAACCCTTCAACTCTATTCTCCAAACCACTGAAAATGATAGTTGAAACACATGTGGGACACTGAATCCTACCACGGCTGCTGCAAACCCATGGGGGACCTTTGTGCAAACTAGAAAAAGGTGTGCCTTCCTATGGGCAGATGTAACGCTGAGTGGCGCACATGGGATGGAGAGCAAGGGCAGGCTGGACTTCAGCCCCACTCACTGCCACAACTGGGCCCCAAAGTGCCAAAGATGACCTGTCATTAATCACGCTACAAAGAGACTTTTAATTTTCGTGGGCTATGCTCAAAGCTCCTGAGCTAGGGTCTAGTTTGAGCCTTTTGTTAGGCATATCGTGTAGGATAAAGGCCAAAGAATCAGGGAAACTGAATAACAACTGAGAGAAATTTAAACTCAGAAGACAATGTCAAAGTCAGGTAAATGTGAATTTATGGAGATCATATATAGTGTTAAAAAGTTCTGGAGTTGGACAGAAATTCTAGTCTGGCCACTTACAAAGGCCATTTCACTGCAACTCATTGAAAAAAAAAAATCTGGCCAGGTGTGGTGGCTCATGCCTGTAATCCCAACACTTTGGGAGGCTGAAGCAGGTGGATCACAAGGTCAGGAGTTCAAGATCAGCCTGGCCAAGATGGTGAAACCCTGTCTCTACTAAAAATACAAAAAATTAGCCAGGTGTGGTGGTGGGCGCCTATAATCCCAGCTACTCAGGAGGCTGAGGCAGAGAATTGCTTGAACCCGGGAGGCAGAAGTTGCAGTGACCCGAGATTGCGCTATTGCACTCCAGCCTGGATGACAGAGTGAAACTCTGTCTCAAAACAAACAAACAAAGAAACAAAACCTATAAAACAGTGAAAATACCATATTTCATAGAATCTAAGACAATGTCAACTAGAAGACCAATCGCCAATACAGAGATTTTTAAAATGTAAAAAAAAAAAAAAAAAAAAAAAAGGCCAAATGGGACGGTTAAATACATCCCGACAACACAGATGTTAAGAGTGTAAAAACTGTGTCCTTAGAATCTGTGACATATATGGTAAAACCCACCTTACAGGTGTGTCTCCTCCCTGTGAGGATTAAATGAGATAACATAGGTCAAGTTCTCAGGCCAGCCTGGAGTAAGTGCTCAATAAATGCTGAAGGCTGCTGTTACTGCTGGTGTTGTCCTTGTAATTTGGAGCTGGCAACAAATAGTAACAAAAGGATATACTTGATCCGGGTCATCATAATCTAGCAAAACAGCCTGGATGTTGTCTTTTCCTTACTCCAGGATAAGTTACAAGAAGCAGACATGCAGGAGGTAGGTCCAAAAGTAAACCTCCAATGACGCTTAAGTACAGAACATGCACAGAACTGACAAATAGCAAAAACAGTCTGGTTTATTCTGCCGACAGAGACCCAGATCTGAGAAATGATTTTCCCAAATCCCAGATGTACAAGAGAAACATTTTTTAAAAGGGCATTGGTCAAATGGTGGGTTGGGGGGTTCTTTGAATTTGGAGTAGGGGGAAAAAAACTTCCAGAATATTTTGCTAGCTTTTCTAGTGTTTGTTTTTCTCTTTCTTTGCCTCTCACTAACAGCTTCTTCTATTACATTCCCCGTGATTTTTGAATTGATTGCTGAGTGCCTCACTAGTGAAAACCCACTGTGCAGCCTCCTGTGATGTGAGTTTTCATTTAGGCCTGGAGGGGTCTGTGGAGGGATGAAGAGGTGCCAAGAGGTGTCAGTCAAGCTCTTTTACCTGCCTGCAAGGCAGCTGTTTCAGGACTAGTCTGGAGTGGGCCTTAAGCCAGTGAACAGCCATTCATTGTCCTTTGTTGCCAAAGACAATGCTGCCAGTGGTAAAACAGTGATGATGTAAAAAAACTAATGCCTGGATTCTAGTAAGCAAAACCATGCCTGGCTTATGCCACTGCCTCTAAAGCAGTCTACTTCTTTTCCCAGTTTGGGCTCAGTGGCGTTTTTGGAGACATGACAGATGGAAGCAGGGTGTAAATGAACATGTGCGAAACCCCAGCCCATGTGAAGAAAAGCAGCCGAATGATCTTGTATATGGAACAGGTAGATACAATAAAAATGGCTCTCCGACAGAAACACAGACTCTTATTATTTTTCAGGGAGATTTTAAATTGGTTACTCCTCCCATTTCTTATTTCAACTTATTTCAACATCAGGATTGATGTAAATGGCGTCTAGAGAAAGACAAAAAGGAGTTTGTGGCAAGAGTTTATCTACCTAGTTGGGTTGGCTTCTTTTAAGAGAAGGAAATTATATGGAAGTTCAGACTGATTATGCCATATAAAAATTAGATATTATACAGCCACTACTAAATTGATAGCCTTTAGGGAGTTTTGAGAAGGAAGGCAGCTCAAGAGGCAGCTGTGGATCACAATGTCAGAGAAAAAACAAACTACCCGAGGAGACAGTGGCAACCTGAACTTTAAACATGTGGGCTGACTGGTTTGCAGTTCACAAATACAGCTTTTGTTTCTTCTCTGCAGGCCAATTACGTGTGTACCCCTCGGCATCTCAATCTTGCCTCAGGGTCCAGAGGCAGGATGTAGCCCAGTTTGGGAGTGGAGCTGAGGCACCATCCCGTGCAGACAGGGCAAATTCATGTCATGCTCCTGCCTCCTGCCTCCTAGATTCACTGAAGGACTCCTTGGGGACTGCAAATTCCATTTGATTTCATTTCTCCCTAAGAAAAATGCACTCACTCATATCCTAAATTTCCAGAAACTTGTGTCCTTCAAGGTTGCCTTGGAAATTTTAAATGTGTGTGCAAGTTCCACCTTCCTCCTCCTTAGTCCTAACCTGGTGTCTGAGATGTCGTGATGGCAGGCTACTCCCTGAGGTCAAGCACCGTGAGGGGGTATTCAGTAATACGGCTGAGTCTCAATGACCCACTCACCTGGGCCCCTTGGATTAGAGCACAATTTGAAAGATGGGTGGCCAGGAATGGGTCTCACTGTGGTATTTGCATAAAGTGAAGTGAAGACTGGCATTGGCTTTATAGGCATCACTGAATTAACTATGTTCTTGGCAGCAATGGAAGCTTGAATCTCAATATTGGTGTGAACTATGCTTGTTATTTTCTGGATAAAACAAATGTTTACTTGTCCAGATCTTCTCCTAGCATATCTGGGCCCTTTGAACATGAATTATAAGCAGACATCTTCTCTGGGCAGATCAAATGACAGCCCTCAGTTGGTTGGCCCTTGGCTCTTGGGCAGGAAACACCTGTGCAGATTTTAAGGCAGCCCCCAACCTGCCTAATCTTCAGAATGTGGCAAACTTGCTCCACCAACATACACGATTGCACCACAGTTATGGGGAATTTGTAGTTATTTCCATTGTACTCAGAGTGAAAAAACTAAGTATATTAGTATAGTCAATTGGTGCCTTCCATCATTAGTCTATTTCATTAATGTTGGAACGGTTTTATTTTGGTTTACAGAGTAAGATATTTTTTAAGAGCAAAAGTTTATATTATTTCTTAGGGAGAAACAGTTTATAAAAGGTCTTCTCTCTTATCCCTCCAAGGATGAAAACAGACCACTGGGTCCCTTGAGGTAAGAGGATGCTGACAAATTGGCCCTGGCTCCACTGAAGTCAGCTTCCTCTTTCCCTCCTTCTCCCCTTCAAGCCAAGTAGACTATCACTGCCCACTGTCTGGGACTGGGATGCCCCCCAGCAGAGTGTCTGCCTTCCCACCTGAAGGAGATCAGCCTAGGATCAATTTCCTTATTGGTGTGGGTGACTGGGCCCTCTGAGAATCAGATGAGCTATGGATGGACATAATCTTCAGAAAAATACAAACATTCCTAACTCCCAGTTTTTCTCATGCAGTTTTAGGATGTTCAGGAATCCAGGTCAAGAAAGGGGTTTGAAATCTTTTTTTGTGCCAGCGATCTTCTGGCAGTCTGATGACCTTACGGACCCCTTCTCAGGATAATAATTTGGTGCATAAATTAAAATACGCAGGCTTTTAAGATAAACCAATTATATTGAAATAGTTATCAAAATTGTAAAACCTTTTGTGATACAGAAATATCTATGTACTTTTATATAAATGTATTAAATAAAAAGATCTAATGGTGAGTCTAATAACCACTGTAATTTTGTACTGATAGCACAAAAGATATTTTACAACGTCTGCCCCTCTGTGATATGACATGCAGGCCTCTGTGACTTCCACTGGGTTCATCATTGAGGTGGTGCTAAGTTTCAGTTAGAGGTTAGTAGAAATACAGGGGCATTTCTCTCCTATCAAGATCCTGGACCTTAGGTCAAGAACTCCTGAGACACAAGGATTCTGAGTGTGGCTGTTGGCTGTGTCTCTGGGTCTGGCTGCCTCAGCCCCTTCTGTCTCAGGCCACAGAGGGGACTGTGGGGCTCCTGTTTACCGACCGAGACAAACTGAGGCTATCGTGATTTTTATATTCTGTTAGAAAAATTAAAGGGGGCACTCACAGTGGCTTCTGTCCTGTCCTCACTTGTAGGCGGAGAAAAGGGGGTAGTAAGAGAGACCCAGCGGGCCAGCTGTGAGCCAGTAACTGCTGCCTTCTCCAGCACAGAGGTGAGGCACAGGGATCGCCTCTGTGAAGCTGCCCTGGGCCTGGGAGATGGGTCTCTGTGGTATCTTTTAGTTTGGGATGAAAAAAACATTGTCCTCTTACTTTTAAAAGGATTTGAGGCTGGGTGTGGTGGCTCACCACCTGTAGTCCCAGCACTTTGGGAGGCCGAGGTGGGTGGATCACTTGAGGTCAGGAGTTCGAGACCAGCCTAGCCAACGTGGTGAAACCCCATCTCTACTAAAATCACAAAAATTAGCTGGGTGTGATGGCATGCACCCATAGTCCCAGTCACATGGGAAGCTGAGGCAGGAGAATCACTTGAACCTGGGAGGTGGAGGTTGCAGTGAGCTGAGATCACGCCACTGCACTCCAGCCTGGGCAACAGAGTGAGACTCTGTCTCAAAAAAAAAAAAAAAAAAAAAAGAGAATTCGAGGCACATTTTACTGAGTTGCCTCTTGCCTTAACTTCACCTTTGCAGGGGTACTCACCTAAGTGGGGAGCCCTCCGTGGCAGCCTCCACCTTGGGAAGGCACGATGGCTTGTTTTTGCTTCTTATCCTTCCACCAGCTTATTGACTGATGCTAAAATATCATACCTGTGCCAAATATGCTAAGCAGAAGCTTTGGGAGGTGTAAGAGTGTTTCCCCATACTTGAAATACGAAATGACGTCTCACTGTAACCGTGAAGTTATGATTAGCTGAGCTACTGCTGAAAAACACCAGGGAAAAGCACAACTCTCTGATTGGGATGCTGGAGCTCAGGTCTGCCTGAGGATGAAAAGTTCAAGTTCTAGACAAAAGAAAGTGCTTTTCCTGCTGGGTGGTGGGAGGGATCACACACTTCCTAGGGAAGGCTCTCAAAGCAGCTTCCTTGGCAGGGGCTCTCCTGAAACTGGCCATTTGGGGCTTCATGGCCATTTGGAGGCACATCATGACCTGATTTTCACCAGGAAAATGGTTTCTGAAAGAGGCTCACAGAATATCATCTGCTTACCAATTTTACTTCTTGCTTCATTTATACTTTCTCCCAGGGCCTTGGCTTCAGAAAATCTGGAGGGGAAAAAAATGAAAATTGTAGTTTTTCTGTTCATCCTACAAGATGTTTTAAAAATAATAGATTTCTTAGAGGTCACTAAAATATGATGAAACTTTATTGAAAGACACAAAAGAAAAATCTAAATAAGTAAAATATATTAGGCTTAAAAATAGAGAGAAAATTGGTATTAATTATAGGTATTGTTAATTTTTACTCTATCCAGCACAGAATTTGTATTCTCATAGTCTCTCATTTATGACTTTTAATTTATATTATTTCATGATGCAAAGATATCAGAATAAAGCCTGGCTGTAAGGTTTCTGTGCTGTGTTCTATTGATTATGATACCAAGATCTTATAACCAAAGAATATATACTTACATAACTTTTTTCTGATTATAAAATAATATATCAGAGGTTGTAAAACTATGGCTGGTTATGAGACAAATCTGGCCTGCTGCCTGTTTCTGTAAATAAAGTTGCCCTGGAACACCGCCACTCCTATTCACTGACGCATTTTCTGTGGCTGCTTTCACGCTACAAGACAGAGTCGACTAGATGTGACAGAGACTGCGTGGCCTACAGGGCTGAAAATATTTTCTACCTCACCCTTTATAGAAGAAGTTTGCTGATTCCTGTTATATACCGTTATTAAGCCAGATTTTGAAAATACAAAAACAAGAAAAAAATTCTCAAGTACTCCTCTACCCAGAAATAAGCACATTGGATACACGTATCCACCCCGTCTTTTATAGAGCCAGTTTTTATAGGGTTGGGATCATAATACAGATATGATTTTGTGCCCCGATGTTTTTTTTTCACTTAGCATTGTAACATAAGTCCTTCCCTGTATTATGAGATGCATACCTTTGATGGCTTCATGCTAGTCTACTAGATTGCTGTGCTAATGTTTAGTGAGTGATTCCTTTATGTTTCTGGCCTATGTTTGAGACACCCACGATGAGCCAACTTTGCGCTAGAGAAGCAGACAGGACATGGCCTATGTGAGAACATGTAGTTCAGTCCCTATACATAGTGGGCCCTCATGAAATGTTAGTTGCTTTCCCTCCTCTCCTTTCTGCCATGAAGTTAAAGAGACAATTGAAAGCCTATGAAAGCAAGCACCTAATAGATAGCTGAATTAAATGGCTGTACCTTGGCGGGGCTAGTCATGCCATTAGCGTTTGACTAGGGAGTGGCCTGTCCACGAGTGAGCGGAGAGCTGTCAGGAAAGCTTCATGTACAAGGTGGGAGTGACCTGGGTTTTGTGGATCCACAGGAGTTTTTAGAAAATGTTTTATTATGAAAATTTCCAAATATACACAGGATAGTAGAATGAACCCTAACATACCCAGTATCACATTTTATTAATTGTCCAGTTTTATTTCAACTATTTCCCCTCCTCCTCCGCACTCTTCTCTTCTCACTTCCCCATCTCTAATATCCCGGCAAATCCCAGATATCCTATTGTTTCATCCTTGAACACTTTAGTTGACTGGGATTGTGTTGGAGGAAGTGAGCAGAGGAGGGCATTCCAGGCAGGGGAACAACAAAAGCAAAGGCCAGAGTGCCACGACTGCTCTGTGTTGGATGGAAAAGAAGTGTGAATTATGTCATTGCTATTTTCCAAATCTGTCTGCTTGGCCTGGGACTGTGGACAGGAGGTTTCCAGGGAAGGGGACTAAAGTTTTTCTCAATGTTAGTTTCTTGGGACTCCGCCCCTGGCTCCCTTATTAAGGCTGTTCAGGCTCATCGTAGATTATGTATGTTCTCTCCTCAGCGACGGCCTGTCACCTTCCAGGGAGAAGTACAGTTCCACTTGATGCAATTCAGACATTTACATGATGCACAGGTCACTGTGCTGGGCTCTGTGGGCTCATATGGCCTCTGCTGCTGGGCAGGCATAAGGCGACATTTGCTGCAGGCCATTTGGAAGATGAGGACCATCTTCAACTCTCCATTCTGCCAAGGGAGGGCCTATGATCATTTCATCACTGCTCTGTCCATCCCTAGTACCTAGGATTCATAGGATCTGACAGTCACACGTTGCTCAACGAGTGACTCCTCCCATTTCCTGTTCCATAGGCTTCTGGAAGCTTTAGACTCTTCGGAATAAGGAAAATACAAGAGCAAGGGTGCAAAACTGCTGAAATTCACACTGAAATTCACATCAATGCTGGAGGAAACCAGAGTACAGATAGAAAAGGAAGACAACATAAGCAGAAGAAGGACTTTCCACCGCAGTGCTGCCCAGAGAATCCCTGACAAGCCTGGGATGGAGTCCCCCAGCCTTGGCGGTGCCCAGATGTGTCTGGGGGGCCTGGCAGAGGGAGCCGCTGAGTGCTGTGGTCAACTCTCTCCAAAGAGCCGCCCTGCTCCAGAGCTGGCAGAAACTGTGTGGAAAGCCACGAGCTGTTCCTGTTTCTCTGTTGCAGCCCAGTCCTGAGCTAAAAAGGGCTTTCCCACTGGAGAGGTGTGGTCTGAGGGCTGTGCAGTCTTCATGAGACCATTTTCCCGTCACTCTGGAAGTTGTCACCACTCCAGGCCACCCCACCCACATGTGTTCCTGATCCCTGGTTGTCAAGACGAACTCTGAAAGGCCCAACCCTGAGTGTGTAGAGGGAAAGAGCAAGTGTCAAAGGAGATGGGAGAGATGAGAAGGCTAAGGACTCGGTTAGGAAAGATGCGAGAAAGAGGGTGACCCCATCAGTGCTGCCACGTTCTTCCTGGCCCACCTGCATCTCCACGCCTCTCCAGCCAGCCCCAGTCTCCCTCCCTCCTCACTTACTCCCTTTCCTCCTGCCCCTCCGTCTGAATTCTGCTCACCTAAACTTCACCAGGGGGAGTTTCCTGCCTCCTGATTATCTAAAAGGCGCATCCTCATCCATGAGATGGCTCAGGGAGCCAACTTTTGGCCAAGGGTATGCTGCACCCCTGTACGATATCCTAAGGTGCTGCTCACTGCTATGCTGATGAGGCTGCACCTTGAGGAGGGGCAGGAAGGTTGTGTAACTCAGCCAGGACCACTGATGAGCGCCCGAGGGTTTCTTTCTATTGGTGCCAAAGCATTCCTATTAGGGCGTCGTTAGTTGTGTGGCTGGCTTTGGGGAGTGTAAGATAGCTGGGTGCAGTTCCAGTGTGGATGCAGGCAGGCTGCCATGTCACCTGCACACAAAATCCTGTGCAGGGGCAGGGGCTGGGCTTGGAAGGGAGAAGGAATGCGATGCTCTGCTGTTCTTCTACTAGCCTGGCTTCCCGTAACACCCAGCCCTCCTCAACTATGGCTCCCACTGTGTGCCAGACAGGTACTTGCAGACCCTGGGGAAATGCTCTGTTATTGGCTTCCAAGGGCCCCGGCTCTTCTGTCTTTTTCCCCCTCTCTCTGGCACCTCCTTCTCAGTCTCCTTTGCTGATGTGTTCTGCAGCCTGTTCCTTGAATGTTGATAATCCACAGGATTTTGTCCTAGGCCCACTCCTCATTTTCCCTACTCCCTGTAGGCATTCCCTTTATGCCAGCATCTCCTTGGCTATCTCAACTGTCATCTCTCAAATCTCCACCTCAGCCCTGCTTTAGTTCCTGACTCAGGTATCCAACAGCCTGTTTGATACCTTGAAGATAACTAAAATCGACTGTACCCAAAAAGAACTAATCATCTGCCCTGAACACCTCCCCTGTTTTTCCTGTTGTTCCTGTCTCAATGCACAGCACCATCACTTACGGATGGCTCATGTCAGTAACCTGCACGCCACCCTTTGCCCCTCTCTCCATTAGCGCCTTCCCTCAATCCTGGAGTCTCAGCCATTCTCTATCCTCAATATCTATCAGAGCATTCCACTTAGCTCCAACTGCCTGAGAGCAGAACGCTGCCATCTCTCCCAGATTATTGCAACCACTGCTTGCTCCTTCCCCTGCAATCGCACTGCCTGTCCGCAGGCTAGTCCCCACATTTTAGCCTGAGTGATTCTTCTTAATGCAAACCTGGTCCTGTTACTCCCCTGCTCAAAACTCCTCAAGTGCTCCCCAGTGACCTCGGGAGAAAGTCCGGATTCCCTAACAGGGCGAAGTAGACTCTTCACGCTCTGGCTCCTGCTGCCTTCTCCAGCTTCTTCTCTTCCATCCCCCACAACATTCCCAGGCAGGCTTGAATCTTAGTTTCGTCAAGTGTCACACTGTCTCTCATCTTGGGGACGTCCCCTTTACTTGGAGCCTGTCTTTTCCTCTGACTAATTTCTGCCTAACCCCTTAGTTTCCACAGTGATGTCTCCTCCTCTGGATAGCATTCCAGGACTGTGCAGGTCTACAATACATGACACCCCCAGGTGCTCCCCAGCACCCTGCACTTCTGCCATCATAAGCAGATGGCATACTATATGTGAATTGCCTGTTTACTTGTTTGTTTCCCTTTCAATATGGTAAGCTCCATGAGGACAGCAACCACATCTGCTTAATTCACTCTTTTCTCTGGGGCTTAGAACAGGGGCTTGCACCTAGTAAGCATTCCATAAATATTTGTAGAATAAAAGAAGATAAGCACGTGAGCAAGTGTGTGTGCCAAGGCAACGTGCACAAGTGAGGAGCGCTAGACTGGAAGTCAGAGTAGGACCAAATGCCTACCTCACCTCTTAGCGACTGGGTCTCAGGCTCTTCATTTCTAGGATTAGAATGAGATGCCGTCAGGGCTGGGTTGATGTGGAAAGAGCATGCATGCAAATATGTTTTGTGTGTCATAAATTCATTATGACCATGGCCTGGCAGTGTAGGAACCCCCCGTAGGGAATGTGATGGACTGTGAAGTGGGAATGTGTGTTGGAAGCAGTAACCACAGACAATAGTTTGTCTCAGCAAACCAAAGTATTAGAAAGGATCTCTGCAAGTCAATGGTCAAGGACACTCAAGATGGTTGCTGAGTTTCTCATTTTCAATGGAAATGAAAAGGATGGAGGAATTGAGGGTGAATCTGACGTTAACTTCCAAGATCAGTTCCAGAAAGAATCCCATCCTGCTGTGGGGTGTGTCAGGCGGAGATACTCATCATGACTGGGGAAGCAGCTGGCTCTGCCCCACACACCATTCACTAGGGATCATGGGCAGTGGCTGCTTTTACCCATGGGCCAAAGAGAGGGGCTGGTGTTCGTTCAGCAGCCACTCAGTCCCCAAGAGCCTCTGCAACCAGATGCTCTGTCATGCCAGCTGAGATTGCCTTCTGAGAATGGTGGGCCAATATGTGTTTGAGGGCAAAGGGTTCCTACAATATCTTTCCTACTTTTCTTGTCTAGAACAACTAACTTAATATGTTGCTTTTTCATAGAGTGAACATCCAATACCCTTCCCTGTCAGAGAGGAGGACAGAAGACTGGGCCTATATTTTGCCATTTTTTTCCTCCATAAACTTGTACCTTGTACCCTGGCTGCCTCCACTTTATTGTAATAAAGATCCACCCTTTGTTCCCCTTATGCTTTTTAAAAAATGCTAGTATTCCTTTCCCGTTTCATCTCTCCCACTATGGCCTCCCTCTCCCGCCTCCAGTTGATCAGCTCCTCCCCTGACCCTCCAGAAGCCTGCTGCATCCTCCTACTTCTCGGAAGCTGTAAAGTCTTCTCCAGCCATTTTCTTGGCTGCCAAGATTTCTCAAAGTCAATTTCAAATTGTCATTCACAAACAAAAAAAGTGTTTTTTGAGTACCTTTTTTTTTTTTTCCTGTGGCCAGCACTGCTTTTAAAATTGTGGAGAGGCTGAGAAGATTCTAATCTAATCTCTGCTCTCAGAGTTTATCATTTTAGTTCAGCAGAAAAGATGTAAATACAAAAAAAAAAAAAAAAGGAAAAATCATAAGGGTTAAAATGAAAGTCTAATGGGAGCCAGGAAACTCCTCCTCACCATGGGAGTTACCTCCTGATGGTGCCACACGGTTTCTCTCCACCCTCGGTCCGGTTTTCCTGTTGGTTTTAGATGGCTGTTTGATTCTATGTTAGAAGGATCCAACTGAGTGAAGGGGTGCTTTGCTTTGTTTAGTTTACATTTTCAACACCTTCATTTCCAATAGCAGTTAATCTCCCCATTTATTTCTTCTTTTGTTATTGAATGGGACTCTGAGACTGATGGACTCAGTTTGTATGAAAAATCTGCCACAAAAGAAAGCTTGCAGTGCCTGGGCACTGGTATTTGCCAAGCATGGGGTTTCCAGCCTCTCTTCATATTATTGTATACTATAGGGATGAGTCATGCCTGGAAAATGTGATTGTGAATTGCAATTGTTCTCTGCTGAAAAATCTGGCTTAAGAATTGGCTCACATGCTCTAGTTCACCAAAGGGCGAACATCCTATTCATGTGCCAACATCTTATTTCTCTTGTCACATACAGGCAGCACAACTTCCTCAGACTGGAGACCAGAGCTTAGAGATGCTAGAAATTCCCCGTGAGAGCAGCAAAGGGTGCAGGAAAAAGGGGAAGAAAAACCTTTCTATTAAGTAACATGGGGCTGAGTGCATTGGCTTACACCTGTAATCCCAGTACTTTGGAAGGCCCAGGGAGGGGGGAGGATCATTTGAGCCCAGGAGTTCTAGACCACCTTTGGCAACACAGAGGGACCTCATCTCTACAAAAGGTAAAATTAGTCAGGCGTGATGGCATGCATCTGTAGTCCCAGCTACTCGGTAGGCTGAGGCAGGAGGATCACTTGAATCTGGGAGGTTGAGGCTGCAGTAAGCCATGATCACACCACTGCACTCCAGCCTAGGCGACAGAGTGAGACTCTGTCTCTTCAAAAAAAAAGTAACATGGAATGAAGGGGATGGGGGAACCACTCACTGTCCCCTCCTGCAACTCTAAATCAATTCTTATACTCTGGGTCAGGGCTGAGAGAGTCAGAAGAGATTGTGGGTCACCAATAATCCCTACATTTGTGCTTAGAACCTACTTGCTATGGGGTAGAGAGGCTGAACTCATTCAAGGCTTTTGCATGGGGGCAATTAGTTCCAGCCCCTATTTAGTGGCACTTTGCCAACATAATGTCCCAACACCAGCATGGTCAGACCACAGAATTAGTCTGATGTGAGAAGTCTGGGGTGAAATGGGAGTCCAGGCTGGTGGGTCCTGGTTGCTGAGGTCTATTGGGAAGCTGAGGCTTAGAGATGAGGCAGGAAGCCATCGCTGAATTTCACCCTAAGTCAACCCCCTCCAGTCTGTGTCTGTATTCCCAGAACTGCCCATCTTCCCACAGTTGGGCCACATGAGTCCTTCCTGTCACTAGAGGGAATGGAAGCAAATGTGTGGAAGGGGCCCGGGTTACTGGAAGGGCATTTCCTAAAGTAAGGGTGGCATGGAAGTGACCCTATGAGCATCTGTGAAGCCTTCCTTTGATGTCTGTTGTTGAAACCCTGCTTATGCAGTTATTTGTTTTCATACAAGAACATTTTTCTTATTCCCCTTCCTTAAGCAGTTATGAACATGTAATATCTAATAATTCAATACTCTCCATCAATGCAAATAAGAGCTCCAATCCTAAGAAAGGGGTAGGTTCTGGGTTACATCCCCTATACCAAATAGTCCTTTAATGGTTAGTATTACAGGAACATTAGTCAGATATAGAAATTTTTAAAAAAATATGGGCTGGTCTCCTGACTTTTCATTTGATTTAAAAAGACTGATTTACTGCTGGGAAAACCTCTTTTCAGAGGAAAGGTTGTGTGAGTTTTAGTTCCCTTGCACTATGGCCACAAGGAAGATGGGATCATTGGTATTGCCAGCCCATCCTGCATAACTTAGGTATGTTTAAACTCAAAAGCACATTTGTCACATGGGTTGTCAGAACTCTACTGTACAGAGTTAAGTGAGCTCTATATTAGAAGGCTTTGGAAGACCACAACATCCTCATCCCACTCAGCCCCGACCCAAATCCCTGCTGAAAATAGACCTAAACTCAGGTTACAAACCAGAACCAGAAACAATGCCAACTTTATAATAAGAAAGATGAAGTACTATGTTCTCCCTAAGTTAGTGGTTCTTTGATTTGAGCATGTGTAAGAATCACTTGGTAATTTTTTTCTAACCTGTAGTGTTTGGGGGATCTTACCTTAGGGATTCTGGATCTCATGGTTTCTGGACACTGTCTAAGCCAGTGGTTTTCAAACCTACATGCTACTGGAATCTGCTTTTTAAAAAGAGATGCTCAGGTTGCACCTAATTTAATTAGAATATCTGGGGAGTCAGGGCCAGGCTTTGGTAGCTTTTAAAAGCTCTGTTGGTTGTTTTAATATGAAGCCAGTTACGAGTCCCTGGTGTAAGCTAAGAAGCCTCTCGTATAGACATGGCTGAAGGTTCTTTGGAAGTCTTTTGGATGAGACAGCTAGCTTAACATGCTTATCTTCAGACAGACAAGGTATCCTGCCCCAACACGTCCAACTAGCCATATTAAAAATTCATGTCTTACAACATGGATAAGCATTAGAAGGCTTGTGAAACCCTTGGATTTACAGGCTAAAATTTGTGCAGATGTGCATATGTCCCCCTTTCTAGGGAGAGAGTATTCAGCTTCACTGGATTCACTTTATTTTCTTCCCTATCCCCTTGTTTTATTCGTTTATTCATTCATTCCTTTTTATCCCCATGCCCTGCTCCCATTCTTGTGGGTAAAGTATGCTAAAGTATATCTGGGACTCATAAAGTATACCAGGGACTCATAAAGTATACCTTTTTTGCTAAAGCATATCTTTGTTTGCATGTTTTTCTTTGCTTTCTGTGGATCTATTTGTAATTTATCTGAATGATGTGATCTTACTCAGTGCTATGCTTTTAAGGTCTATGTTAATTGGTATGCATACATCTAATCCATGACTCCCACCTGCTGCGTCCTGCTTCATGGGGCATCGGCATTATTCTACCTGTCTACTTCCCCAGTGATGGATACTCAGCATGTTTCCAACTCTCCTTGGCCATGAATAGCCAAGGCTGCTCACAGCAGCCTGGAGTATGTCCCCTTATAAACATGCACGAGAACTTCTTGGGAAATAGACCCAGAAGAGGAACTGCTGGGTCACAGCAGGAAGCAAGTAGTTCTTTTGACTAGGAAGGGCTGGACTGCCGTCCATATACAGAGCCATGTACTCCCACTCCCTTCACTGGATTCCTGAATGAGCTGAGATCTGCCTTCTGGTAAAGTGTAAAAGCCAGGATGATAGTCTAGGCTGGGCCTTCGACCCTCATTGCGGTTTGCTTTTCCGTTTGCCTTTCTTTTTCCTTCTTCCGGGTCTACCTTCTTTCCCATTCCCTGTGGCTGCTGTATTAAACCTTCATCACCACCCTCAAGTCTCTTATTCTACCTCAACTTCTTTTTCACAGAGAAAACTTAGGTCATCTTTAATTTTCTCTCTCTTCTTCTCAGTGTGCCAATGTCAGCCCCATCTTGATTTGTTTTTCCATTCTTGCTCCCTTCCAGGGCTAACCTCCACTGAGCTTTTATTCCCTACCTTCCTGTCTTCCAGGAGCCTTGCTGTGTCAGCTTTTCCTGTTGTTTCTCTACCTTTCTCTTACCATTAGCTTATTCTGTGGCCTATAATATTAGCCAATTCTTTCCCATCCTGAAACCAACTTCCCTTTTACTTAAGCTACCTCTCTTTGTTCTTTCTAAAAATGTTTTTAGGCCAGGCGCAGTGGCTCATGCCTGTAATCCCAGCACTTTGGGAGGCCAAGGTGGGCGGAACACGAGGTCAGCAGATGAGACCATCGTGGCTAACACAGTGAAACCCCGTCTCTACTAAAAATACAAAAAATTAGCCAGGTGTGGTGGCGGGTGCCTGTAGTCCCAGCTACTTGGGAGGCTGAGGCAGGAGAATCGCTTGAACCCGGGAGGTGGAGGTTGCAGTGAGCCAAGATCACACCACTGCACTCCAGGCTGGGCAACAGAGTGAGACTCTGTCTCAAAAAAAAAAAATGATTTTCATCTATCACCAACTTTTTGAAGGCAATGACATTTCTTCTCACTCGCTCCTCCATGCCCGGCAGTCCAGCCAATGGCCTTCTAGTTGCAAAATCTCTGTACACTTCCCAGTTCCCTCCTGCTTATTTCTCTGTCGCATCTGACACTACTGACAGTCTGCTTCTTCTTGGAGCCGGCTCTCCTCTTGACTTGGCTATCAGGACATTATTTTCTCCTGGTTCGCCCCCTCTTCTTTATGCTTCTTCTCAGTCTCCATTATGGCCTCCTTTCTCTCTACCTTCCCTTCAAACTCCTTTCCCTTATGGCTCCCCTCTTTAGGCCTCAGCACTGCCACATGTTCTCCTGAGAGCTCATCTACTTCTTAGGCTTCCTGAGTTGTCATATGATTCTCAAACTCAGATCTCATTTTAATTCAACAAATAGTTCTTGAAAACTTACTGTGTGCTAGGATCCACAGTCTCATGTGACATATGAGAGTTCACCCTTTCTTCTGAGCTCTAGACCCCTACATCTGATAGAGTTTGTTTGCTACAGTTTGAGGATATGCATATACCTCACAGACTAGCTAAAAGAAATTATATACCTCTAAGTAAGCTTCTTTTGAAGGGGTCCAGAGCACAGCCCCATCTGACAACATGTCAGCAGATAATCCTGCCTGCTCTAATTTTGGCCTGGAGAAGACACCAAAGGCTTCTGGGTCACAAGATGTGCACATATTTTCTTTGACTAAGACAGGACTGCTCTCCAGAACAGCTGGAGTGCCTGCAGTTCTAAGAATATAATTTGGTCCATAGACTTTTTCCCCCCTCCTTTGCAACAGTAAGACATGGATAGAGTACAGGCTGATGAGAATGAATGTATGATGTGAGAATTGTAAATCACGTTGATACTGTCAGTAACAGACCCTGCCCTAAAGTTGCTTACCCCAGTAGTACTGGGATGGTGAGGCTCACACATGAAGGAGAATTGTACCAGGCTGGACATAATTAAATGTGAAACTGAATAAACATTATGCTTTTCTTGTAATAGTTATGTTGGGCAGATTAGGAAGGACAGAGTAAGCAAATCTCTTCTAGGCTGGCCTGGCTGAGCCTCGGAGGACCAGCTGCTCTCTGAGACAGCCTTACCTCTGTTTCAGAATCTGTTTGTTGTCATCGATGGTAACGCTGTCAGCGTGGTCCCTCTTGAAGATTTCAAAAGCCTCCTGGCATCCTAATGACATTTCCTCTCTCATTCCTGTTTGGAGACACAGGGAAATGGCCTCAGTCACAGCATCAGGATCCTATTAATTTCATTGTCACTTCAGTCAGACCACAAAACCAGCCCTGGCTCCAAGAGGCCCACAGCAGAGAGACTCTGACCAGACAGGTGGCCCCAGGCTCTTCCAGCTGGCTGACAACCTGCTGAGGAGGCCCTTCCAGTGCCACCCGCTGCACCCCTCAGGACTGTGCCTGCACAGCCATGTGACTCGTGGGGGGCGGGGTTTGGAATGCCTGCTCGGGGGAAATGAAAACCACAGCGCCAAGCCCTGGACTGCCGAGGATGTCTGCAAATGCCTTTTCTTACCATCGTTCAGTGCCACATTTCTCCCTGGTATGCCCTATTTTGTTTTTCTGTTAAATTTCCAGGCATTTAGTTAAAGGAATTATAATCCAAACTGAAAGATAGCATCTAGAAAATTCTGCTCTTAGTCTCTGTATAACAATTCATTCTTGTTTCCTGTGGTTAGTGAGGGGGTCTCGGCTCTTCTTCAGGAGTTAGGTCCTCAGTTACAAGACTCATGAGCTGGCCATGGCAGGGGTCCCTAGGTCATCTCTAACTTCAATATCCTGTATCGCCTTTGCCAATAAAGGCCAACCCTCACTGCTGGGCGCTGTTCAGAGTTCAACTTCTGGGACCCACGGTCAGTACAGCCAGGACCAGGCTCTCCTCCTCACCACCTCCCGGAGTGAGGGTCAGCGCAGATGTATGCCTGGGACCCCTCAGTGAGAGCTGAATTCACCGCTGGATTTTGGATGCATCTATAGAGCCATTTTTTTTTTTTTAATGCTTCTGCCCTTGGTTCCTTTGCCTGGGAGGCCTTTTCTCATGTTTTCCTCCAGTAACTCTACCTCCGTGGAGCTTTCGTCAAAGCCCAGGCAGAACAAACCCTCTTTTCACCATGTTCCTTATCAATACACCTATAATATGCACAGCCCAGTGGACACTGCCACTTCACATGGCAATCCTTTCTGGTGAAATGTAAGTTTCTCAGGGGGTAGAGATAATAGTTTTTTGTTTGTTTGTTTTGTGAATCCTTGTGTCTTGTTCAAAGTCTGGCATTTAGAAGGTGCTCAGCATACATCTGTTAAATGAATCAGGTTGAGAATGAAGCTGGGTGGTGCTGAGCCTTGCTGTTATTGCTGCGGGAACACAGTCCAGGGTTAGTGAGGCTCACTCTGAGGCCAAGGGTTCCGCAGAGGCTTTCATATGGGCCACATACCACGTCTCCTCTTGCCTGGAAAAAACTCTCTGAGTCCCATCACCCATCCTAAGGGTGAGTAACTGGACTAGCCCATCTGACACCAATTTAATGATTACTCTTGATAAAAATAGCACCGTGAAGAATGTCTAAATGGTGAGGCACAAAAATACACCCCACCCTTTTCTGATCAGAAGCAAATGGGCACGACTCAGCTTTGTCTCCACATCTGCCTTGCACACTCTAGAATTGGGTAGGCCTGGGAATCCGCTTGTGTGAGACGCAGAAAGATGATCCCTGATGCATGAGAGACATTGAGGGGCACGTTTCACCAGCAGAGCCCATTAGGAGCCAGCGGATTCATTCCATACCTTTCCCCTGTCCGGGTCTGCACCCAGTTCTAACAGTGCATGCCTTTTGCTACATAATAAAATAATAACAGACAGTAGAGGGCATGAGACTTTGGACTGGAGATGGGAAGAGAAAAGCTCCACAGAGACCACACTGGAGCCTGCTTGGGGGATCTCCAAATTGCTCCCCCCCGCAGGGGAGCTGATGAGCAGCCTTCCACCAACAGAGGTGTGGGGGTGGTGGGTGAAAGGGGTGTGGGGTGGGAGTGAAAGCTTGCTTAAGCTGCAGGGAAGAAGGGTTCACAGCCTCTTCCCTCCCAGGCTCTGCTTTTTCTGCAGAGCTGACTGTGAATGGACAGCTGGGTGGAAAGGACCACTCCAGAGCCCACGGCACTGTGGCGGCAGCCACTCCTGGGAGAACTTACAATGCACTGAGCAACCATTGGGACTAACTATATTCCCAACAACGAACAACACAAAAGTAAGTGACAATATGAAAACACGAAACAACATGAAACACACCTTCCCTGAGGTGCACTGGGGCCTGGGCCGTGGGAGCAGAAAGGACGTGGAGGGCACAGAGGAGACAAGCGCAGGCAGTTTGGGATCGTTGTGTACGGTCTTGAAGGTCCTACTAAGAAATTCGGGGCCAGCAGCATAACATATTCTACATGCATCGCCAACTTTCAAAGACTTACAATGGAATAAAGTACACATTATGGGAAAGTTACACTGGAAGGATTTAATACTCTTGGTGGCTTAAAAGGCACTTAGGGGTCCTGAAGTGCCAAGGGCTTATCATCAGGAACATAACCTTGGTTTTCCTTCTGTCACGGACAAAGTATTCTGGAGTTGGAGTTCTTTGATTGTGGTGACCACAGGTGAAGGCCATCAGAATGATGGCTATTATCTTGTCAGCTGTTTTCCCAAATGTCCACTCAGGGAGGCCAAGGTGAGGTGGCTGAAGCATAGCTGGAAGGCAAAGAGGCAAGGCAAGGCCAGGATGCCTGCAGAGACTTCAAGGCCACCACTTGGGGCAAGGCTGAGGTCCACAGAGGGAGGCACATGGGAAGGACTCACGGGCAGCTCCAGTGTGTGAGCCCAGGTCCCAGCCTGGCCCTACCCTTGCCCATCCCCATTCTGCTTGTTCAGAGCTCATGCGCAGCTCCTTTGGATTGCACTAATATACCACTTCTCACCCCATTTTGGGATCAGCTGCAAAGTTAATGAACGGCTTTTATTTACTGAAGAAATCACTTCCTTGTCCCTCTGAGGATTTAGAAAACAGGCTCTTTCTCCTATGGCAGTTCCCGTCCCTGAGCATGCACTGTATGCATTTGAAAGAGAAAGAGCAAAGGAGCAAAAAGAGTGATTAAAAGCTCACCTTGCTAATGAGACAATCGTCTATTTATTCTCTCAAGAAGTATTTATTTATATTAGGCATTGTGCTAGGCATGTGACAGAGATGTAAAGTTGAACATTAAAGCTTTGATTCTTGATTTAAAGAATTTGGAGTCCAGTAAGGGAGAAAGAAAAATGAAAAATGGCAGGGCGCAATGGCTCACGACTGTAATCCTAGCACTTTGGGAGGCTGAGGTGGGTGGATCACCTGAGCTCAAGAGTTCAGGTTCAGTCTGGGCAACATGGTGAAACCCATTTCTACTAAAATACAAAAAAAAAAAAAATTAGCTGGGCATGGCAGCACGCACCTGTAATCCCAGCTACTTGGGAGGCTGAGGCAGGAGAATCACTTGAACCCAGGAGGCAGAGGTTGCAGTGAGCCGAGATAGCACCATTGCACTTCAGCCTGGGTGACAAGGTGCGACTCCATCTCAAAACAAAACAAAACAAAAAAACAAAACAAAACAAAACAAAAACAAGAAAAGTGAACAAATATTTACAATGGAGGTTGCTGCTTGCTGTAGAGAGGTATGTGTCCAGCATGCGGGAGAGGGAGGGAGGGAGGCAGGGACTCTCAGCGAGAGTGGGAGAAGGCTGCAAGCAGGAGGGAGCAAGTGAACTTCATCTAGAAGGATCTGAAGGATGAAGCAGCATTTCCCAGGTAGAGAAGACATGGAAGAAGTTTCCAGGTGGAGGGGGCAGAGATGGAGTGTGGATTACAAAGGCAACCTGATTAATATGGGTGGCTCTGCCATCCAATAGAAATGATCTCTAGGTGATTAAAAAATGAATTTCTTATATACTCTATACCAAGGATAGTATCATGTGCTTTCTTATATATTATTTCAGTTAAATTTCTCTATGATCTCCGCAAATAAGTTCATTTTATAGATGAGGAAACTGAGGCTTACATAAATAAGTGATTATAAAGGGGTGAAAAATGCCCAGCTTTTAGAGGCAGTCATTGCGGCTCTTAGATCAGTTTTTCCAGGGAAAGTAGGCCTGACAGAAAGGGCAAGGTGGTGGGGCTCAAAATGACCTCGTAATATTAATAGTAGATTTACCCATGAGATCGTACTCTTATTAGTGCTTCTCTATCTAAAATGTTGATTTATTTTTACAATATCACAGAAAAACAGAACCATATATGTTTTTTACTACCTGCATAGTTTACTTCATCTGTTAATATGTTTTATTATTACTTCTAGAATTTGTAAGCTCCATGAGGGCAGGTATTTAAAAAAATTTTTTTATTTCAATAGCTTTAGAGGTACAAGTGGTTTTTGGTTACATGGATGAATTGTACAGCAGTGAAGTCTAGGATTTTAGTGCACTCCTCACCTGAATAGTGTACATTGTACCCAATAGGTAGTTTTTCATCCCTCACCCCCCAAACCTCCCCCATTTGAGCTCCAATATCTATTATACCACTCTGTACAAATTTGCATACCCATAGCTTAGCTCCCACTTATAAGTGAGAATATGTGGTATTTTGTTTTCTGTTCTCGAGTTACTTTACTTAGGATAATGGCCTCCAGTTTCATCCAAGATGCTGCAAAAGACATTATTTTGTTCTTTATGGCTGAGCAGTAATCCACACCACATTTTCTTTATCCATTCATCAGTTCATGGACACTTGTGTTGATTTCGTATCTTTGCAATTGTAAATTGCGCTGTGATAAACATATGCATCCAGGTGTCTTTTTTATATAATGACTTGTTTTCCTTTGGGGAGATACTCAGTAGTGGGATTGCTGGATCAAGTGGTAGATTTACGTTTAGTTCTTTGAGAAATTTTCATAGCGTTTTCCATAGAAATTATATTAATTTACAGTTCCACTAGCAGAGTATAAGCATTCCCTTTTTACCACATCTGTGCGAACATCTATTGTTTTTTGACATTTTATTAATGGCCTTTCTGGCTGGGGTAAGATGGTATTTCATCGTGGTTTTAATTTGCATTTCCCTGATAATTAATGATGTTGAGCATTTTTGCATGTTTGCTGGCCATTTTTATATCTTTTTTTGAGAGATGTCTCTTCATGTCATTTTCCCACTTTTTAATAGGATTATTTGTTTTTTTTCTTGCGGATTGGCTTGAGTTCTTTGTAGATTCTGGATATTACTGCTTTGTCAGAAGCATAGTTTGCAAATATTTTCTTTCATTCTGTAGGTTGTCTGTTTACTCTGTTGATTATTTATTTTTCTGTGCAGAAGCTTTTTAGTTTAATTAGGTCCCACTTATTTACTTTTGTTTTTGTTGCATTTGCTTTTAGGGTCTTAGTCAAGAATTCTTTGCCTAGTCCAATGTTCAGAAGAGTTTTTCCTAGGTTTTTTTTTTCTGGAATTTTTATGGCTTCAAGTCTTAGATTTAAGTCTTTAATCCATCTTGAGTTAATCTTTGTATATGGTGAGACATAGGGATCCAATTTTATTCTTCTACATGTGGCTATCCAATTTTCCAAGTACCATTTATTAAATATAGTGTCCTTTCCCCAGTGTATGTTTTTGTCTGCATTGTCAAAGATCAGTTGGTTGTAAATATTTGCTTTATTTCTGCATTCTCTATTCTGTTCCATTGGTCTGTGTGTCTACTTTTACATCAGTACCATGCTGTTTTGGTTATTATAGCTTTGTAGTGTAATTTGAAATCTGGTAATGTAATTCCTCCAGATTTGTTCTTTTTGCTTAGGATTGCTTTGGCTATTCAGGCTCTTTTTTTGGTTCCATATTAATTTTAGGAGTTTTTTTCTAATTTTGTGAAAAGTGATATTAGTATTTTGATAGGAATTGCACTGAATCTGTAGATTGCTTTAGGCAGTATTGTCATTTTCACAACATTAATTCTTCTGATTCATGAGCATGGGATGTTTTTCCATTTGTTTGTGTCATCTATGTTTTTTTTCATCAGTATTTTGTAGTTCTCCTTGTAGAGATTTTTCACCTCATTTGTTACATATATTTCTAGGTATTTTATATATTTTTTGTGGCTATTGTAAAAGGGATTGAGTTCTTCATTTGAGTCTCAGCTTGGTCCTTGTTGATGTAAGCAGAACTACTGATTTGTCTACATTTATTTTGTAAACTGAGGCTTTACTGAATTCATTTATCAAATCTAGCAATCTTTCAGAGAAGTCTTTAGGATTTTCTAGGTATAAGATCATATCATTGGCAAACAGTGATAGTTTGACTTTCTCTTTTCCAATTTGGATAAAAGCAAGGATTTTTGTCAGTTTTGTTTGCAGCAATATTTCTAGAATCCAGATAGTACTTGGCATACAAGAGCACTATAGCATATTTGGCACACAAAATATCTTTTGAATGAATGAATGAATGAAAAAGTGCTTTAGATGCTTAACGTCTTTCCTTCTGGATAGCATATTGTGATGGTGTGAAAAATGAGGCATGTATCCATTGCTCTCTCTCTCTCTGCCACCATGCTACTGGACAGTTTCATCTCCTACATAGTATGATTTTAGAAATTCAGCACCATCTTCTCCCCAGTACATGTCACCATGCTTACTGGCCCACCATTAGAGATGAATTCCAACTCCAAGAAGCTTTTATAAAAATGCAACTACAGTCCTGCCCCACATAAAGACGTTTCAATCAATGGTGAACTGCATGTACGACGGTGGTCCCATATGGTGTCATAGTTGTCATAATGTCATAGTGCAACACATTTGTCACATGTTTGTGGTGATGCTGGTGTAAATAAACCTACTGTGATGCCAGTTGTATAAAAATATTGCGTATATAATTATATACGGTACATAATACTTGATAATAAATGACTATTTTACTGATTTATGTATTTACTATACTTTATTTATTTATTTAATTATTTATTTATTTTTGAGACAGAGTGTCACTCTTGTTGCCCAGGCAGGAGTGCAGTGGCCTGATCTTGGCTCACTGCAACTTCTGCCTCCTGGGTTCAAGCGATTCTCCTGTCTCAGCCACCCGAGTAACAGGGATTTGTCCGCCACCACGCTCGGCTAACTTTTTGTATTTTTAGTAGAGATGAGATTTCACCATGTTGACCAGGCTGGTCTCGAACTCCTGACCTCAGGTGATCCACCTGCCTCAGCCTCCCAAAGTACTGGGATTACAGGTGTGAGCCACTGCGCCTGGCCTATACTATACTTTTTATCATTATTTTAGAGTGTACTTCTTCTACTTATAAGTTAACTGTAAAAAAGCCTTGGGCAGGTCCTTCAGGAAGTATTCCAGAAGAAGGCATTGTTATCATAGGAGATGAGAGCTCCATGTGTGTTACTGCCCCTGAAGACCTTCCAGTGGGACAAGGTGTGGAGGTGGAAGACAGTGACACTGAAGGTCCTGACACTGTGTCTTCATTTTTAACAAAAAAGTCTAAAAGCTTAAAAAAAATGAAAAATTTTTAAAATAGGGAAAAGCTGATAGAATAAAGATATAAAGAAAAAAATATTTTTGTACAGCTGTATAATGTGTGTTTTAAGCTAAGTGTTATTACAGAATTAAAAAGTTAAAAAAATTAGGCTTATAAGATAAAAAGTTACAGTAAGCTAAGGTTAATTTATTATTGAAATATTAGTAAAAATGAATTTAGTGTAGCTTAAGTGTACAGTGTTTATAAAATACACATAGTGTACAGTAATGTTCTAGGCCTTCACACTCACTCACCACTCACTGGCTCACCCAAACCAACTCCGTCCTTCAAGTTCCATTCATGGTAACTGCCCTGTACAGGTGTTTTTATTTTTATACTGCATTGTTACTGTACTATTTCTATGTATAGACACACAAATGCTTACCATTGTGTTACAATTGCCTACAGTATTCAGTACAGTAACATGCTGTACAGGTTTGTAGCTGAGGAGCATTAGTTTATCCCATCTAGCCTAGGTGTGTAGTAGTCTATACTATCTAGGTTTCTTTAAGTACACACTATGATGTTCACAAAATGATGAAGTCACCTTATGACGCATTTCTCAAAATGTATCTCAGTTGTTAAGTGACACAAGACTATACTCTTGAAGGTATCATTATTTCAGTGCTAGCAAAGAAAAATTCCACAATTTATTGACAATTAGCTAAGAGGTACTGCAAAGACATACATTTTATCTTCTTCCCAACTTTGTTTAGTCTGTCAGACTCAGCTCCTCAACAGAGCTGAGGACCTTGGGAACTTGCCATGCTCATTTCTAGAGCTCATTTCTTAGTTGTTTGCTTTTAGTGAATTTTAATCACAGGTTCCCAGCGCTGGATCCCTGAAATATGAATGATTAAGAGAAGCCTGCTGGCTTGCTGAGTTACAGAACCATTTAAAACCTAAAAGAGAGGAATTTCTGAGTCTCATTCTCCAAAAGACGACATTGCAATTTCGGTTGTAAGTTGGATGGAAAATATTTGCAAGTCCCAAAGGTGTAATCTCTTCTGAACTTTGATAGTGGTCAAAGAGCACATAGGTAGAAATGGTAGTCAACAAGGGGCTTTCAACATCAGCCTCAGGGTTGGGTTTCTGAAACATTAGGCATCCAAATTCTTGTGCGCTGGTCCCTTACCCACTTCTTAATGCTTTCTTTTTTTTTCAACCTGAAATTCAGTTCCTTATTTTGCTAACGAATACAACTTGGTACTTTGGGAAGCCCTCCCCATCCCCAACACAGGGTCCCATGGAAACCAAATGGAAAGGAAAAACATCGGAAGTGGAGAGTTTATGCTATTGCCTTTGGGCCTGCGGTCTGATTTCCTTTAGTCTGGGGTACATGGGCCAGAGCTTATTTTCCTGGCTGCTCCTAAACAACCTACTGCTGCTTAAGCTATTGCTTAAAAATTGACAAAAGTACAATGATGGAGAGAGTTGTGTTATTCATGCTGAAAAATGATTTCCTAGTCGGAGCCAAAAATATATTTTCCTTGGGAGATATTCACTCGCGTGGGGCCTCGGTTCCCTCTGACTAAAGAAGAGAGGGATGAGAAGAAGACCAGCAGGGGACGATGAACAGTGAGAAGGGGGGTGGATTCCAAGGAGATGGGGGTTTGGAACACACTGTTTGGGACTGAAAGCATGAGAAGGCTCAGAGCTGGGTGGGGAGCATGTGGTGCTAAGGCAGGAAGGAAGCTGATGATTCACGGTGGGAATCGTATTGAAGGATGATTATACTCTGTGGCTCAATAGTGGAAGCTCTTTAAATTGAAGGTAAGGGAACAGCTCTGATACCACAGTATGATGAATACCTACAACGTGTAGAATCTGGAGGTGCATACAAGAATGAGAAGCAATGGGCAGAGATCAAGTGTGTTTTTTGTATGGTGCCTGAAATAACCTTCTATCTGAAGTGAAATTTCTTGGTAAGTGTTGACTTGGGTGAAATAGACAAAAATATCGTCACCTAAATAATTAGAAGAGAATTCCATTTCAGTGTGTTCCAAACCCCTGTCTCCTTGGAATCCAGCACCCCCTCACTGTTCATCGTCCCCTGTTGGTCTTCTCTCCCCTCTCTTCTTTAGTTGGAGAGAACTGAGGTCCCTGAGTGTGTGGAGAAGGTAGAATGAACGGGTTGATGGGAGGAAAAGGAAATAAGGATTTAGAAGAGAGACAAGGCAGAGCTGAGGAAGGGATAATCTATCGAGCTGTAGCATGAAATATAAAGGTCAAGAGGGATAGGAAGGTCAGGGGGAAGGTCAGTGAGCCCACACTCTTGGGAGTGGTGCTGGATGTCTCCAGGGGCATAGAGAGGAAATGGTGGCTTCAGCCAGAAACCCAGGTGCAGGACAAGCCAGCAGCTTTGACGATGGAGAGCCAAGGATGCACTGACACTGGACTGAATACATGCATGGAATGGGGTTGGGGGCTATAACAGATCTTATAAGAGAAATGAGCCATCTCCAAGAAAGATTAGATGGAACAGTGGAGATAGTGTCTTTACCTTCCTCCCACAAGGATGCTTGTGATTTAGGAAGGAGGAGTTTTTGAAAGGTGCATGAAAGACAAGGATGTTGAATATGCAGACCCTATGTTACCGCTTTCACTCTTCATACCCCTAGAAGACATCGCTGATCAATCTCAGCATCTTTCCTGGGAAACTAATCATAGCATTAGAGTTCTCAGCACAGTTTTTCAGCAGCCTCTGCCAGTCAATCATCCCTGGCATAGAAGCTCTTCCTTTAATAGGTGGCTTCCAGATTACTAACCAATTAAATGACAACTGCCATTTGATAATAGCAAATGTCATCATTTACTGTTACTGTCATCATGCCGGTGCCACCTGGTCCCATCGCTTTAGGAACTACTGTGCAGATGGTCTCCCCTGGAGAGCAGCATCATGCCCTAGCATGTGTGTATCACTGAGGAGCCCTCCATTCATGTTCCTCCACCTCCAGGGTGATGGAGGTCACCACAGTAAGCAGAGCCATCTGTCACGGTTCTGCTGACTTTAAAGGGCCTGGTGTAGCCCAGCTACAATTTGAGGGGTTGCTGCGCTGGTACCGCAGGGTATGAAATCTGAGGATGAGGGGAAGAAAAAAAGCCACGGCCAAAGTGACTGCAGATGTGAAGACCAGAGATCAGATCTTTTGGGGTGACCAAGGACACTCACTCAACCTACTTCCTCCTCTCGATTGACAATTTCTGGAATGGGCTAGTGCCCCAAGGCTTTGAGGTTAAAGGGCTATGTTCAACTCAGATAATATCACCTGGGCTAAAGTCCTCAGATTAGGACTTGCCTTAGAGTTTCTTAAGTAGCCACATGAAAGATGTCAAAGGAACCTTTAATTAGTAGGTTCTGAGGGCTGGCTTGGACCAGGCTGAAGCATGGTAGGCTTGGCAGGAGCTCTAGGGAGGAGAGCGAAGGGAAAATCTGAAGTGGAAAGCCACATAAACCTTAGGAGACCCACCCAATGGTGGCACCACATCTAAATAAATCAAATGGGTTCCTGACTCCTGATGCCAGAAATCACACATCCCACGGGCAACCCACACTGGCCCAGCAGTGCAGACCACGCGGGCTGGGTGGAATAAAGGGGGCAGTGCTCAAGGCAGGTTGTGTTTTCCTTTTGTCTTGGTAACTGCATCTGATTCACCCACCTGCTGCGGCTGCCTCCTGGACTTTCCCTTGAGCAGGTGAGGAAAGGGCTGGCTTGCCAAAGGAGTGGACAGGCCTGGAGCCTCTGAAAAAATGGCAGCTGCTCTGGGGTAGCTTCTGATTGCCAGCAATAACAAAAGACATCTAAACAGTGGTCCTCAAGAGCATCTGCAGAAAACACTCATTTTCCTAACCTAGCATCTCTGGGGTTTCTATTTTGTAAATGTTCTCATCCAGGACAAAGTGCCCACATGGGCTGTTACAGAAATCCGTGGACAGACGCAGGCACTGAGTTTGGAAAGCCGCCTGGGTCATGGTGGCATTTCTGCATTTTGGAGCCAGCTTAGGCATCTGGAGGCCAGCAACGTTTCCATTAAATAAGACAGCACGCTGTGGCTCCTGCTGCCAGGCCAAACTGGATCTATTGAGTCTTTTCTATTGATTTTAGCCCGTAGATGTGGCAGCACTGAAAAAGCCTGGATGTCTAATTCCAGGCTCAATATTTGGACCAATCCTGGGAATCTGAGTGGAAGAACGCGTGTGTCTGAATTCTTTGTAGGTTGACTGACAGCTCCCTGAACGGAAAGGCAGCAGTTTTCTTCAGCTTAGAAAGAGGCTCCAGATCGGCTGGGCGCGATGGCTCATGCCTGTAATCCCAGCACTTTGGGAGGCTGAGGTGGGCGGATCATGAGGTCAGGAGATTGAGACCATCCTGGCTAACACGGTGAAACCTCGTCTCTACTAAAAATACAAAAAAATTAGCCGGGCGTGGTGGCGGGCACCTGTAGTCCCAGCTACTGGGGAGGCTGAGGCAGAAGAATGGCGTGAACCCGGGAGGTGGAGCTTGCAGTGAGCCGAGATCACGCCATTGCACTCCAGCCTGGGCGACAGAGTGAGACTGCATCTCAAATAATAATAATAATAATAATAATAATAATAATAATAATAATAATAAATAAAAATAAAAAAAAGAAAGAGGCTCCAGATTCTACAGAACATAGGATTCCCTGAGTCTCACATGTCCTTGACTGCTTCCAAAGGCCATGGTTCACAGGGTCCTGTTGAGTGGCTTCCACCCTAATGAGATTAGCTCTTGTGTGAGCCTGTGCTTCAGAGGCAGTGGTTAAAGCATTGTTAACGTGTCCTGTTGTCTGAAAAATGAGGCAAATTTTCTATCTATGCCTAAATTAGGAATGGATTCACTATAGACTCATTTATTTTCATGTATTTAATTTTATTTATTTTTATTTTATTTAAGACAGAGTCTTGCTCTATTGCCCAGGCTGGAGTAGAGTGGTGCAATCTTGGCTCACTGCAACCTTTGCTTCCCAGGGTCAAGCAATTCTTGTGCCTCAGCCTCCCAAGTAGCTGGGACCAGAAGTGTGTGCCACCACACCTGGTTAATTTTTGTATAACTAGTAGCGATGGGGTTTCGCCATGTTGGCCAGACTGTTCTCGAACTCCTGGCCTCAAGTGATCTGCCCACCGTGACCTCCCAAAGCACTGGAATTATAGGTGTGAGCCACCATGCCTGGTCAATTTTCATACATTTTAAAAAGAGAATTAAAGAATTGCATTCTAGCTAAGGAGCAAAAAATACCCCTTCCCTGAAATATGTATGGATTTAAGTAAAATTCTGTTTCCTTAGCTTGTAAGTAAGTAGATGCAAAATGGAGTTTAGATATGCTTATGTTCATGTTTTGGGGAAAAAAAGGAAGGGGAAATTTAATTTTTGTGTGTCTTCCATGTGACAGGCACTGTTCCATATTTCACAAATATTAATTCAATTAATCTTCACAACTCTATTGGTAGTGGTGGAAAGCTGATGCTTATTGAGAACTTTGCATATACTAGAGGCATTACATATGTTCTTATTTAATTCTTACAATAACCGAGTCAACTAGGTAGTATTGGGCCTAGTTGGCAAGGTTATTAAGGTTGAAAGAGGTTAAAAGTGACTCCAAGTCAACAGTTAGTAAGTGGCAAAGCCATAACTATACCCTAGGTTTGTCTGACTCCAAAACCCACCTTTCTTTTTTTTTCTTTTTTTGGAAATGGAACCTTTATTTCTGCACAGGCCACCCCGGCTTTACTGAGGCATAATTGACAAATAAAATTGCATATATTTAAGGTTTACAATGTGATGATTTGATGCAGGTATATGTTGTGAATGATTACCACAATCAAGTTAGGTAATACATCCATCAACTTATATAGTTAGTTACCTGTTTTTTTGTTTGTTTGTTTGTTTTGTGGTGAGAAAAGATCTTAAGGTGAAAAGACCTTCTGTTAACAAGTACTGAGAATCTACGCTATTGACACCCTTAAGATCTTAAGATCTCTTTTAGCAAATATCATGTATACAATACAGTATTATTAACTACAGTCACCATGCTGTGCATTAGAGCCCCAGATGTTGGGCTCTATACCTCCTCATTTCCCCGAACTCCAGCCCCTGGCAACTACCATTCTACTCTCTGTTTCTATGAGTTCAATTTTTTCCAAAACGCTCCTTTTGCATGCTATGTTGCTAAGTGAAAGTCATTTGTCAACTAGAAATGATCTCATAAATACCAGCAAACCACTGATATCAGACCTAAGGGTCAGAAGGTCAGAGATGGTTAAAAAAAAAAAAAAGGAAATTTTTGGAGGGTTGTGAGCTGGAACGTGGACCAAAACCCATCAATTTGCAGTTCACAAGAGCTGGAGATCTCTGTGAACAGGAAACTAGGGAAGGCACCAGACACCTGACACCTGGGAGGAGCCGCATCACCTGAGAGCCCAGGGTCTGGGTTATGGAGCAGGGGAAAGTGAAGATCTGGCTGGCTTGTAGTGAATCCTTGACTCTGCCATTAAGGACTTTTTGGTTAGAGAACTCTGTTAGGTTCAATTAAGTACGGTAATTATCTTTCCCCAATCTGTACAGCGATTGTACTCTGAACAGTCTCCACATTAAATAGGTTATACACTTGAAATGGTGATTGGATTGGAGTTGAGTTTTGGTGGGGGCACTACAGAGAAGATGAAGGGGCAGGGCCCAGGTTCTAATAATGTGGGCTTTGAGGAGAAGAAACTCCCATCCCCCAGTGAACAGTGGTGAAAAGAGGCAAGAAGCATCCAGGAGGTGATCCTTTAACCTCTGACCTCTCTGTATCCTAATAGCTTCTTCTCTGGAAAGCATTTTATTGTTTAAATATAACATTCGTTTATTCATTCAGGCTGAGTCAACTGGTGAAACAGACCATCTGTTAATAAGCACTGAGTGTCTACGCTATTGACACCCTTTTCTATGGTTAGTTGGAGATAAGTAAAAGAAATATTGTCCTTGACCATACAATTTAGCTCAGCACTGAGGGCATGGGAAGGCCAAAGTTTATGTTAAAAGGCAGGTGAAGCAGATAGACAAGGCATCAAAGGTCACGTGGTTCAGAAGGTATAGATGACTGGGAGAGAGCAGAGAAGCGGGTGGTCAGATTGCAGAAGGATTTCTCAGGGAATGTTCCTCCTGAGGCAGGTTTTAGAAGCACTGAGAAGCAGGAGCTAGAGGAAAGGGGGTCAGTGTTATTCTGCACAGGAAATAGAATGGCAAATCCACAGGGATGGGGAGGATCCCACCAGGTGAAGGGCTTGGCATGGAGACTGGCAGGACCTTGGGGATTTCCTTTGGTTGCCAGGGGCATTCAAGCTCAAGTGGCCACTGGGACCAGACACTGCACCCTCAACCAGTTCCCTGTTTGCCCAAGGTATTCCCAGGCAGAGACCCAATGAAGTTTTCCACAGGCTTGTCAGGCAATTTTCCCTCCCTCCTTCAGATGATTGAAGAAGATTTCCTTTAGTGTAACAGCAGGCTGCTCTGTGATTCCTGTTCAGTGGTGGGGGAAAGGAGATAGGACTTGGAGGCAGAAGCCATGGGTTGAGTGCTGGTTTCGACTACTAGCTGTGTGCCCCGGATCTGCCATTTATATTGCTCTAAGTTTCAGGCTCCACATCTATAAAATGAAACACATAATAACTGCTATCTCTTAATGGTATTGTGAGGAGTTAGGAGTGGGCAGTACCTTGTGCATCTCTCCATTTTAGAACTATCCAATGCCTTTGTAATGATGTAATATTTCCATGATATCTCACCTCTCTGCCTCCCCTACCCCTCAGGCCATGAGCCCCCAAAGGCATGTGACTTTAGCTCCAAGCTCACTGCCTGGGATACAGTAGATGCTCCAAACAAGATTTCTTGACTGAATAAATGAGCAAGAAGGAGAGATCTCCAGTGAAATTGTTTTCTTTTCTTTCCTTTTTCTTTTTTTTAGATGGAGTTTCACTCTTGTTGCCCAGGCTGGAGTGCAATGGTGTGATCTTGGCTCACTGCAACCTCCACTTCCCAGGTTCAAGCAATTCTCCTGCCTCAGCTTCCTGAGCAGCTGGGACTACAGGTGCCACCAGGCCCATCTAATTTTTGTATTTTTAGTAGAGACGGGGTTTCACCATGTTGGCCAGGCTGGTCTTAAACTCCTGACTTCAGATGATCCACCAGCCTCGGCCTCCCAAATTGCTGGGACTACAGGCATGAGCCACTGAGCCTGGCCAAAATTGTTTTTCTTAAAAACGTTATTTGTTAAACTGTACTTATGTCTTTAATGTAGTTTTCTGTGAATATATTTTATATAAAAATAAAGAAAACAATATGGCAGCAATGAATCATTTATTTAAAAGTCTCTGACAGAATGAATGAGTAAATGTGGAATATACTATAAAAAGTGAAAGTGTAAAAATGTTATAATTACCATCATAAGTAATAATGAGTCACCTAAAAACCCACCCACAGCAATCTGTTACGAGTGAAAGAATTACTTTAACACAGCAGGAGGATTTTAAGGTAGTTACAAATGACGGGTTAGCAATGTAGGGAGAGACAGTGGCTGAAATGGTCAGTCTGCCTCTACTGTTTCTGTGTTCTCTGCTTCCCAACCACACCAGCCAGGCTCATTCCACAGTAACAACCTCATCTCATTGAGAAAATGAATGTGACAGGACAGGGGCTTTCCACCACCATGTCTTCCAGTGGACTCTCATGTATACCAGAAGTCCAAGCTTTCCCTCTGGTAACAACTAAACATCATCCACCATCTTATCAAAGCCCACCCCCTTCACCTGGGCTGTGGCTCCCAAACTCCTCTCCTGGCCTTCTTCCCTGAACCCTTATCTCCTGCCTGAACAATTTCCCCCACTGGATTATTTCCAGCAGCACAAAGTCATATTTTAAAATGTATGCTGAATCGGTTATAGTTAAATGTAGCTATATTTGAATTTGTAGGTACCAAATGGAAGGTTAAAACATTCATGTTTACTGGCCTTGATTTCATTGATGGAAGAGGAGAAAAGATAATCTATTTGTAGTGTGACTGGCAGCGTAGGGGACTTAAGAACACTTAGACACTTGGGGGAGGAAAAAAAAATACTCTTTTAACAATATCCTTCCTTTACCCCATTAACCTTCCAGCTATCTTTCAATTTCTTTGGTCCCTTTTCTTGGAAATGCTTCAACAGAGCTGTCTACATTCACCTCTCAATTCCCCCACTTCCTGTTCTCGCCTTGCTGTAGTCCAATGGACTTCCATCCCCTATACTCCACTGAAATTGTCCTTTCAAGATCCCCAGTGATCCTGGATTGCCAAAACCAGTGGTCAGTTTTCTGTTTTTATTTGAGTTGGCCTCTCGGTAAATGGTACAGCAATAAGGTTAGGGAACTGCACGTAACTGCTACTGGTCAGCGGGCTGTGAGCGGCAGTGATACGTTTCTTCCTGGCTAAAGCAGTGGAGAGCCCCTTTGCGATTCTTCATACTCTCTCTTTCCTCACTCTGGTGATGGGGGTCATCGCAGATATAATCTCCATCAGCCTCGGTCTCTGGGGACCAGAGCTCCTACCTCTCTGGCCCACATTATTCATGCAATATGAACAAAAAGTACATTTTATTAATTTTTTTTTTGAGATGAAGTCTTGCTCTTGTCGCCCAAGCTGGAGTGCAGTGGTGCGATCTTGGCTCACTGCAACCTCCTTCTCCTGGGTTCAAGTGATTCTCCTGCCTCAGCCTCCTGAGTAGCTGGGATTACAGGCACCTGCCACCACACCCGGCTGATTTTTGTAGTTTTCATAGAGACAGGGTTTCACGATGTTGGCCAGGCTGGTCTCGAACTCCTGACCTCAGGAGATCCACCCGCCTCATCCTCCCAAGGTGCTGGGATTACAGGTGTGAGCCATCGTGCCCGGCCAAAATATGTTGTATTAAGTGACACTGATATTTTGTGTTCATTTATTACCAGAGCATAACTTAGTCTAGTCTGACCAATATGCAGTCGGTGAAACAGCTGACAAGCTCCCTCCTGCCTGAAGCACTTCCTTCCCTGGCTTTCTGTGACATTACTCCCTCCAAGTTTTTGTCCTACCTCCCTGGCTTCTCTTTCCAACCTTCAGATATTGTTTAGCTCTGGAGACTATTCTCTTTCAACAGGTGATTTCATTCAGGTGCATGGCTTTACGATGTATTACACACAAATGGCTCCAAAATGACTTTCCCTTTGAGTGCCAAAGTGGGACATCTGACAGGCCACTCCACTGGGAATCCTTACTTGAAGGTTTAATTGGCATATCAAACTTAACATACCCCAAACAGAACTCTTAATTTCATGCTCCATTCTAAGCTCTATCCCAAGCTGTTCCCCCTAATTGTTTCCATATCAGTAAATGGCACCATTTGCTCAAGCAAAAAATCCTAAGATTCTTCCATGATTCTTCAACCCCCACATGCCATCAGCTCTAGCGGCAACTCCTGCCAACAATCCCTTCAGAATAATGCCTTACACCTCTCTGCTTCTCTTTGTCTCTTTTTTAGCCTAACCCAAGTCGTTGCCATTTCTTCTCTGGACTGTCTCCTGATAGCCTTGCCAGCTTCCATTTTGCCCTCCTGCAATATATTCTCTATATAGCAACCCAAATGATCTTTTAAGAATATGATTACGTCACTCTCTGCTTTAAACTCTCCTGTGGCTTCCCATGGACAAAGCCAAACCTGAATATACCCCAACCTCCTCAGCCTACCAGGACCTCCTGGCGTCATCTGGTCCCTGGCTACATCCCTCCCTCTTCATGCCACACCCAGGTATTCTTTGTTCATGCCTTCTTGGCTCCCTGGCCGCCTTTCAGCTGCTCAACTATGGAAGTAGTGTTCCTGCCTTTGGGGCTTTATACTTGCTGCTTGTTTCACTGTCTGGAATGTTCTTTTCTGGGATCTTTATGATTATCAACTCACTATTCAGTTTGCAGCTCCCTTGTCCCCAACCCACCACAATGATTTTCTACCCTCTTTTTCTGTTTCATATCCTTCCTTAGCACTTATCACCCTCTGAAACCACATGTATGTATGTATTGTATGGAATGAAAACTCCTCAGAGGCTAACCTGTCCTGTTCAGTGCTCCTTCTCCAGTACAGTAGGATGAAAGAGAGGAAGGAAGGGAGAGAGCAGTCGCAGTCCCATTGTAAACAGGTCCTCTGATAGGTACCAGATTGGCACACCTGCCTGCCCACATCAAGCCCAAACTGCTCTCCTATGAAGGTGCCAACCCTGGAACTGAGCTTTTTCCTCTCTGCCCCCACAATCAGAATTTTTTAAATAACCTTTCTGTTCTGGGGGACTTGGCTCATGTCAACATCCACAGGCCCTTGCTAACCTGTACCCTGACTAACCTCATCACCTCACTATTCTGCTGTCTCTTTCTCACTAGGTTTTCATTTTTGGGAGTTTGTGGTTTGTTTGTTTTGCTTTTATTTTTATTTTCTACATTTTAACTCCATGAATAATTCTCTCCAAAGGGGGCCAAACAAAATGCCACGTATAAATGGCAAGGTGGCTAGTGAGAGCCACTCTCTTTTCCTGGCAAGAGTTTCCATTTCTGAAAGTGACACATGAGAATCTTTGGAGACATCTATCATCATTTCAGAATGCTATGGGGTCATCCAAGCTAATATCTGTACCTGTTGTACATCCTCAACAGACAGAAGTAATTGACCATTATGGATGGATTATGTTAGGCTATCTAGGAAAGTTTCAGAGGAGTTTTGCTTTCATAGATGCATTATCCTATAGGAGCTCAGAGAGGGATATAGTCGATACGGAAGGCAAGTCCTAAAGATGTCAACCTCATCTATGCCTGAGGAGGTAAGAATATGCAAAAGGCATTACTTTACTTTTTCTAATTATCAAAGTATGGCTTGCCCATTGAAGAAAACTGGGGTAACAGAATGATGTAAAGAAGCAAGAAAGGCCGGGCACAGTGGCTCACACCTATAATCCCAGCACTTTGGGAGGCTGAGGTGGGCAGATGGCTTGAGCCCAGGAGTTTGAGACCAGCCTGGGCAACATGGTGAAACCCCATCTCTACCAAAAACACAAAAATTAGCTGGGCCTGGTGGTACATGTCTGCAGTCCCAGCTACTCAGGGGGCTGAGGTGGGAAGATTGCCTGAGCCCGGGAGGTTGAGGCTTCAGTCAGCCATAATCGCACCACTGCACTCCAGCCTGGGTGACAAAGTGAGATGCTGTTTCAAAACATTAATTAATAAAAGAAGCAAGAAAAATCACTCACAATCTCTCTACTTTCCTTCCAGTTTTTCTATGCTTTGTTTTACTACATAGTTAAGATGATACTATATATACAATTTTGTAGCCTGTTTATTTTACTTAACATTATCTCATAATCCTTTTTTCGTCAGTAGTGAAAGTCTTTAGGAATGTTGCTTTTTATGGCTGGATAATATTCACCATTGTAGTCCATTCTCTAATGCTGGATTTTACATTGCTTTATATATATACACTATGCAAATAATGCTGCACCGAGTGTCTTGGTGCATTAATAAATTAATTAATTCAACAAGTATTTACTCAGTGGCCACTATATGTCAGTTACTATTCTTGGAGCTGGGAATATGGTGGTGAGCAAAGGCTTATTTCCTTTGGAGAGCTTATGTTCTACTGAGGGCAACAGACAAGAGAATCAAATAAGCACATGCTATTAATTAGTTCTATGAAAAGAGATGACGAAAAGTAAGAGGATAGAAAGATATGAATGATGGGGCAGGCTATTTTACTGAGGGAGAATACAGGAAGGTCTCTCTGAAAAAGTGTATTTGCACAAAGGCATTTTGGATTATTTCTGTAGGCTGGATTCTCAGAGGGAGGAATTGAAGTTCTTGCTTTCTAGGAAGCCAGTTTATTCACTGACAGCAGTTCTAGAGGAAAGAACTGTTATAAAAATGCACTCTACTAGGGCATAACCTTGAGAAAATTACTTAATTCCTCTGCTCCTTGGTTTTCCTGCCTGCAGTGGAATCGATTACACCTGTATGTGTACATCTATATGTATATGTGTGTGGTAAGGCTGAGGGAGGGGCATGGCTGTGAGGATGGAATGTTAAGGTTCTTACATCCCAGAAAACTTGGGTTAGGGAGCAAACACATGTCTGTGAAAAGGGAATGGTCAGGCTGTGAAATGCATGCAGGGCATTCCAGGTGATAAAAACCCTAACTGAAAAAGGGTTCTGGAAGGTGTGACATGAATACTTACTGTGTCTGGCACATATTAGGTAGTCATAATATATACTGAATGAAAGGAAGCACCCAATCTGTCCAGAAGAGCTTACTTAAAATGGGTAGCTAGGAGAAAATGTCTTGAATGATCACACAGAGGCTCAGTGTGGCTTGTGAATCAGATACTACAAAGACAGCCCTTCAAAATGGGCGAGCCTGCAATTCATGAGCCTGCAGATAGGCGGCATCCTCAGTTTCCTCATCCATGAAATAGGGCTAATGTCTACTTCATAGGGCTGTTTTGGGCAACTGTTTTTGCTGCTCTTGGTTTACAAATCCTGTCTTGTCTTTAATCCAGAAGCAGAACTGGATTGTGGAAAACAATACCAAGGGCTTGGGGCCCCAATTGCCCTCATCTGTTACATGACAGGAAGAGGAGAAGGAAGGAAAGGGTGCTAAAAGTTAAGCTGCTAGGATGAAGAAGAATCTAAATTGGATTTGCTTAAAAACTCAGCTTGGCATTCATCTGTGGTGAAAAATGTTCACTGGCGGATGCTCCAGGACCTAGTTAACTTTAGCTGGTATGGCTTGGTAGTGACCATCCTCTCTGCCCAAGCCCAGGAAGCTGCCTTTCACTTCATTGGGTTCACTAATGAGCTTTTGGTTGCCTTGAGCAATAATTTGCTCTCTGGATATAAAGAATGCAAGAGTGGGTAAGCTGAAAGCCCCTCTGGCTGGGTTTCCTCTTGTTACAAACAGTTAGTCTCTGAACTTGTAATTATGAGTCATGGGGCTCCCAGTCTGGCACAAAAGTGACTCATTTTAAGCAAATTATCAGCTTTCGCCCTTACCAAATGCTGTGATCAACCATTCTGTTCAAGAAAAAAGGGAACATTTTTATTAAAAGAGCAGGATGTGAAAAAGGAGAGCAAACTGCAACTATGATTTCCAGACGTATGGATCAAAGTCAAGTTCAGGCCCAGTGTAAGCCAAGCAACAAAATAAATAGTAAAAATGGCACAGAAAGCAAATGGTCAGGAAAATTCATTTCAGAACAGGCGCAAAATCAACCCTTGCAGTCAACAGCATAAGATTCCTATAATGCTATGATTCTTGGACATTCTCCCCTCCCACTTCCAACTCCCTTGGACCTACTGGAATTGAGGTCAAGGAAGAAACATCTTTCTTTAGATGACTTAACCCACAACTTTGTTAAAGAATCAGTGATGACGGATGCCTCCAAGTTGCCCAAAGCTAGTTACTTAGACAGATGAACTGATAGACAAAGCAATCAATTTAAACAAATGTGATCCAGAGATGGATCTACAATGTATGAAGAATCCCAAGGCCTTCTACTACAGAGCATTTTCCTGAGGACACCTGTTTCATTAATGGTCTTTGGCTGAGGAAACATTTGAAATGATCATTACCTCTTTGTCAGCTGCAAGAGTAGTAACTGATCTCAAAAGACAAATTTTATTCTCCGATGTCTGGGGTGTATTAACACTGCCCAGGACCACAGTAAAGGGAAATGGGTCCAGGGTGGACTGAAAGGCAATGTCGTCCGAGTTTGTGTTTTCTGGAATGGTTTGAGATTTCCAATTAATCTTTTACAATAGCTGCCCATTCATCTATGTCACTGAAGAAGATACCATAAGCTGCATGAGGAATTTGGCTCTGGGACAAATTGTCTGACTTCCAACTGTTACATCCTTTCTAAATTACTTTCAATTTAATACTGCTTTTCTTATATCTTGACTCTATCACTTCTCGTCCTTCATAAAAAAACAATGGCTACCAAATGGCTATTTTTGTATGTTCCCCAAACCCTAAAATAAAATCCATTAATCGATCACCCAATATTTCTTGAATATTTATCATCTCTGCTTTCTGGTAATCACTGTAGTTGATAAAGAATCAATAAAAACCACAAAAAAAGGGCAGAATATAACAGTCATTAATCACCTCCCAACTGGCAATTCAAGTGCACGTTTTGCAATTCTCATGCCTCTTGGCCTCTCTGAGGTATTTAAAAATATTCCTTAATTATTAAAATTTTCTTCTCTGGCTTCTTGGCATAGTTCTCTCCATATTCCCCTTGTATGTCTGTGACTGCCCCTTCTGAGCCTCCCTTACTGACTACTACACTGCCTT